>NC_000008.11:25617678-25920708 GCF_000001405.40 Homo sapiens | reverse complement strand
ATCCATTAGCCAAAGTGCAGCTTTGTTAACTAACTGCTTTACACCTTATTGCTTAAATGCCACCAAATTTCTTTCTCCCTCATAGCTGATTAGGAATTACTCAAAAGCTAACTAACTCTGCGTGGGTCACAATCGCTTTCTCTCCACCTGCTCTCACTAGTACATAGTTTGAAATTGGGTAGGCAAAGCTGAAGAAAATAGCCAAACAAAACACAACCCCAAACCCAACTTCAGCAAAACCTCTTGCCTGTCAATAGGTGGGACTTGCTTGAAGGACCTGCCTAGCTTTTTCTGACTCTCAATTCTGCTCTAGTCTCAGGCCAGTGCTTTATGGAGGAAGTGGCGAAAGCCTCCATTTCACCCTGTGAGTTTAGCCATTAAGCACTTTCTTGCTTTATAAAAACAGACGTGCACATGTTCCTGACTACAGAGAAACCAGGCCTCCTATTATAACCACTCAAAACGGGATATGAGGAATCTGAAAGAAAAGCATAATACTTTCAAATGATTTTTCCTGAAAGGTGAGGACATTATTAAAGATTTCCATGACCCTTTGTGTATTCTTTTGAGAGAAAATAATTTTGGCCTCTTATTAGTCTTATTATTCCAGCTGCTGTCATGTTCCTTCAAGAAACTACTAGAAACACAGAAAGCTCTTTTTCCTTGAGGCTTAAAAAAAAAAATTCCTGAACCATTTAATCTCTTTAGATGGGTACTGATGCAAAAGCTATGGTTTGGCATATAAAAACTCTCCAAAAGTGTTATGTTTCCAAACTACCCAAGTAATAGCATTGCTTAACTCTGAAAACCTGTGACAGCCTTTTCCAGGTGCTTTCAAAATATTTTTTGCACTTGAGTTAGTTGTTGCAATAGATAGCCCCAGGAGGTTGCTGGGTTCTCCTTCCAGATAAGGAGAAGAGAAGGCAGCTCACATGAACATCTTTCAGGGAAGAAGCAGAAACAGTACCCCTGGCATCTGCTCCCGGCTTTGGCCAACAGCCTCCGAGGTGCTGGTGTACTTTTCAACTTTCTCAACTCCCAAGCTAGCTTATCTTGTAGCTTTGTTTAAAAAAAAATTTTTTTTTGGCTGCCTGGTATTGAGAAGGTGTATTTAAGACAGTAATGAGCCTGGGAAAATGGTTTCCATTCTTCAGAAATTTCTTTTTATAGACTCACTATAAAAAACTGAATTAATAGAAAGCTAAACACATTTCAAATGGCTTCATCTTTTTGACTTAATCTTTTGGCCACTGATAGTATAGTGACTTTGCTGAGTGGAAGGGCCAGGGAGCTCTCTATTTGCTCTAAAATTATATTTCTCCTCTCTTTGAAGGTTGACTGACTTCTCCTTGCCAGAACATGCATTTCCTACTTTCTTTCTGGAGTCTTCCTCAACTTGCATGACCACTAAGCTTCCCTTGCCCTTCCAGATTCCCACCCTGCTCTGAATTTTCTAACAAGTGACCTACCCAAACCTTGAGCTCTGCTGATCCTGGTTTATTTTTGGGAGTCAAAATGAAGCTTGATGCTTGGTTGGAAAACTCTATAGTTTTCACATTTTTCAGTGCACAGATGCATACTTTTCTTTGAGACTCCACTCTCCAGCATGAAAGAGGGACCCTTCATTGTAATAATTACCGAATGGATACAGTCCTAATGGAACTTAATTGTTTCCACTAGATGGATCTCGGGTGTTTTTGGCAGCCAAAATGAAAATGATTCCAAATACCATCAAAGGAGCTTATAAGCACCCAGCATGCACAGAGTGTTTTGATATACAGTGGAGTGTTAATATCATTATCTCTCCTAATACAACATACGGTTACTTTAATCCTTTCCCGCCTCTGTGATCTTGGAAGATCCGACGGATAGAAGGCAAAGAATAAAACGTTATATACAAGGAGACAAAGGGAGAATTAGACCCCATCCTCTGGATATGATTTTTTTTTGATTGTTTGAATGTTGGCTTCAAATATGTACCTTTATCAATACTGACTTCTGTATCTTCCACGCTAGTTTGAGTTTGTATGCGACATCAAACATACCTTTTCACACATGTTCTTTCCAGATTTTTTTTAACACTTACTTAGCAGTTTATAGAAGGAAGTGAATGATCTCCTCAAGCTGCTTACAAATTAAAAAAAAATCTGTGCTTATTAATTATGCAGGATTAGTCTAATTATAATTCAGCAAATTAATTAGCGACAGAAGGTGTTCTGAAACATTGGAGTACATTTGCATGTTAAATGGAGAGGCTAGTCTGTAATATATGTAAATTTATGCATGGCTTCATAGTTTAATTTAGAAATTTGCAGCTGCATATGGTATGGGAGCAGGTGAAAAGTCAGTTTTAGTTTAATGATGCTAACAAACATTGGATGGTGTCCTGTCTTAGCAAGAGAATGCACTCATATCTGCTAATCTATGAATCTGTCATAAGAATATAACATTACATAGATGCACAATCTCAAGGTCATTGGAGAGTGAACCCATAGTTGCGATAGGTAGAAAGCTGAAAACTGCAGAGAGAAAATGATGCCAGGAGAAGCCCACACTCTGAACTTTGTCCGCCACTTTCTCCAACATTGCATGATGCGTCATTCTGCCTTAGTTCAGGGAAAGTAATGCTCCAGCCTGGGTAAATAAGGGTTTCTTTTTGTCTCACTGGTATCTGTTCTGGCAGGTGTGAAATAGTTGTCCAACCTTGATTCCCTTTCCAAATCTCCACATTTGCACTCCATTTCAATTTCCTGGAGTCGTGGGAAAGTTATTACCGAGTTATGAATTAATGGTAGGGTAGAGAGTTTTACACATTGGCCTCAACCATCTGGCAAAACAGTAAAACCAGCGGACCAGGCAGCAGCAAAGGGCTCTGGGTGTAATTGGTGTTCACTGCTCAGCCTAGCATAGATGAGCTCTGCCGGGAGGGCAGAGAATGGGAGGGGGAGGGGAAGGATGGGGAAGGGGTGCTGAGGAAATGGGACGGTGAGGACCCATTAAGCTGATGGCTGACTAATAACTTCATTTCTCTCCTTCACCCGAGAGTCATGGTACTGGCAAGGGAAATAGATTTGTATTCTGATTCTGAAGTCTCACGGAAAGATTTTTTTCTCAAGGAAGTCCATAATATGATTCAGTTTTGCTGAGTTCTTTTTTCTTTTCTGGATGAGAAGACAGAGGAAAGGATAAGGGCAAAGAAGAGGACATGGGTTGTTTCTTTTACCAAAAAGGAAAGGATGGAAACTTGTGCTTTGCAAAGAGCCCTCCAAAGACATTTTGTGAGAACAATTAGAATTACAAACATGCTCTTAGTGTGTGTCTCATTCCAATTCAAGCCCAAAGAGTTCAATTATTATTTTCATTAATGGTGTCAGATTTTTATCTGAGTACAAAAACAAGGACTTTTCCTCAGAGATTTTTTTCCCTGTGAGCCTCATGGTGTCGAGGAATAGAATTCAGCAGAATGAAGATGCGTCTGAATATAGAAGGGGGGATAAAAAAAAAAAAAACCCCAAACCACAAACACACAAAAACCTCACAACATCTAACCCCAGGTCCTCAGAAACTGTAGTTACCAATCAGAAATAAGTGGAGAATCAAATTGGCCCCTTGTTTTTGCACTTCAGCAGCCGTTTACAGTCAACTGCTTGCCACTTGGGCTATGGGAGACATTCCCTTCAGAGGAAATAATGAAATTCCTTTGAAATGAAGTCTATCGGTATGGAGTCAGGGAGTCAGATTTACATAGTGGGGGAAGTAGCTCCTTCCTGATGTCTAAATGAATGCAGCAGATTCTACTCAGAAGGCAGTGTGTTGAGTGATGAAGGAGCTCTTGCCAAACTGAAATGCCACTTCCAGGGACTTGAGCATGGAATAGAAAGTGACTCGATGGGGCCTGTTGCCAGTCAGAAGCCAGCATATTGTGTGGGTAGCTCTGAATTTTTTGCTGGCCAGAGTTTACTGAAAACAGGAATGAGGACTCCCATCGACCATTTTTTGTGTTTTTGATGTTGTTTTCTCCCCTACTATCTGTGAGAGTGGATTAATGACATGTGTGGTTTTTTTTTCTTTTACTATCTCTCTCTTAAAAATTAAGGGAAGTTCTTCCAGTGTAGTATATATTAATATTGGAGAGATAAGCAGGGCAGAGAGGACCAGATTTAAATTCGTGACAGCTCCTTCTGGAATAATTTTGTCTGGAAAATGGGCTGTTTTAAAATGTGGTGGGGGAGAAAGGGGCAATACATGGGAAGGGATCATACGTATGTGTAGCAAAAGGTGAAGAAGCAGACTTACTTTGTACCAGGCATTTACCCAAACACTTTGCATGAATAACTAGTCCTCACTATTGGCCTTGAAAAGTGTTTTTTTGTTGTTGTTGTTTTTTGTTTTTTTTGGGTTTTTTGCTTTTTTTTTTTTTTTTGAGATAGAGTCTCACTCTGTAGCCCAGGCTGGAGTGCAGTGGCACAATCTTGGCTCACTACAAACTCCGCCTCCCAGATTCAAGTGATTCTCGTGTCTCAGCCTCCCAAGTCGCTAGGATTACAGGTGTGCACCACCACACCTGGCTAATTTTTGTATATGTAGTAGAGACTGGGTTTTACCATGTTGACTAGGCTGGTCTCAAGCTCCTGATCTCAAGTGATCAGACTGCCTCGGCCCCCAAAGTGCTAGGATTACAGATGTGAGCCACTGCGTCTGGCCATAAGGTCTTTAATTGTTACTGAAAGTCCCTAATTTTTACAGTAAAAATTGAATCATCATCATCATTGCCACTGTAGAAGCTATGAAATCACGTGGGCTTGGTATGGACACCCCAGTTAGCTGCCGCATATTGGACTGAAATTATCTGCTACCAAAGGCATTAGCTTGCTGGTCTATTTAAAAATCTCCATTATGGAGATCCTGCTCTGTCCCTTGGGTAAATGCTTCCAAAATTTAGCCTTGGTGACTTGATTCCCAAAAAATGTTTTCCAAGATTTAATTCAACTTCTTTCATTCCACGTTTGATTTTCAGCTTTTTCCCTCCCATCGTCTTCATAGACAAATGGTCCTGAATCTTCCTCATGCACTTGAGTAACCTTTTTTTTTTTTTTTTTTCCAAAAGGCTGAAGCTATTTGGGCTATGCCATCTCTTTGGACAATTTGGGTTCTTGAGAAGTTTTGTTTTCTGAATATCTGATAGATTTATTTATCTTTTCCTTTGCGTCCTCTAAAATAGTCACAGAACTTCTAGAGAGTGCACTCCCTGATAGGAATGGTAGACATTTTTATTTGTTTGCTTGTTTTATTTTGCAACATGAAGGACTCCACTCTTATTCCAGCAGAAGAGGAAGACAATGACAGGATCCCCCATGTGGATCAGTAAGGCAGTTGTCCTGTGAAACAGTGCCGCGTGGCAACATGTTCAGCCTTTTTTTTTTTTTCCAAAGCTTGGCCAAGCTCCCAACAGACCAGCATTTTGCTAAGAGTCAGACAGACTACTTCCACTCTTATTTTTTCTGCTTACTAGCTGTTTTGACTTGGGCAAGTCATTTAACCTTTCTGAATCTTGTTTATCTCCTCTGTAAGGTGGAGATGTTAATTTTCCTCCTCCCAAAGTTGAGAAGATTACATGAAATCATACCTGGCAAATAATATAAGCTCAATGAATATAGGCTATTATTAATTATAATTACTGTTTCATCATAGTCTTTTAGGCAAGAGGAATTTGAGAAGTTGAGTGTAGTTGGAAATAAGAAAATTTATTGCTTAAAACATTTCTGTAAAGTTAAATTTTTCAGATCTTAAATGGGCTTTTATTGAAATAATCTGGGTGAACAAGCCTTAATGGTAATAAGTCCCTGCCTTAGGAATGTCTGTGGAGATTAAAGATTCTATACCTCTTCTGTTCATGTGTTTATTTTTACAGTTTGAGGGATTGTTTAACTAAATGGATTCGGTAGAACATCAGCTTACAAAAATGAGTTTAAACTTCATTTCGTTTAAGCCTAAAGAAGCCAGTAAGTCAAAACTATTAAGTCATCTTTCCTTTCCTTGAATCTTCTTGGGCTTTTGTGCTAGCCACCATCTTGCCAAGCAGATCTCAAATACTAAGCCAAGTGTTCTCAGATGCGTCATCACCAAGTTACTGTAGGGTGTAACAAGAGCCCATTGGGAGCTTGACCTCCTGGAGTCTTTTCATTCTTGTGGACTTTAGTCAGAGTCTTCACAAGATCTTAAAAGCTTCAGGGCCCTTTGTAGCCTGGGCTAACACCTCAACAACCAATAGATGTATCCAGGGCACTTCATCTCCAGGCCAAGGCTGGGTCCCACTGCTAACCTTCACCTTCCCTAGGGCTGCCTGGGTGTAGACTCTGCTGGGGGATCTTGAAGGAGGAAAGAATATTCTCTGTTGTTGGAAGGGTCAAAGAAGATATTCCAGTTAAGATCTAGATTACAACTGGAACACCACCGTTAAGATTTTCTCTGGTCTCAAGTGGAAAGCAATCACTTGCGAGTTTTCTTACCATACGAAGCAGAGTGAGTTGCTATGAGGGCCATTCTCAGAGTGAGAAAATGAACTCATGGGTGTGGCCACCCAGTAGGCTTCTCAGTCTGGTGTGAGAGCTTGGATTGCCTAATCGCCCAAAGGATGTAAACTTGTGGAGAGGATCCTGGAAGAAGAGAGGCAACTGCCCATTCCTTTCAAATGTGATTCTATGACCCAGCCTGTCCCTGTATTGCATAGTTCTCAGAAATGGTATGAGAGTGTTTTAAGGGAAATGGGCCATCTCCTTTTCAGAGGCATGCACAAACAATGAAACTCAATTGTATTTTAATTTATTGGGCTAAAAACAAGGAGGTTTAACAGCTAATCCAGACAGAAAGTGTCTTCTGCAAAATCAATGAACACACGTGTTTAAGTCCCTATGTGGTCTGTGAGGCCATATCAACTGTACGTTTGACTCAGCCTTTAGTGACCTAGCCTGCTTATGTGACCATCATGGCAGAGAAAGAGAACCAGATACAGCATCCCCTCTCTTGGTCTTTGGAGAGCCTGGGGTGTTCTCATCCCTGTGATGTATAAAATGTGGCCATTATCATAGCAGAAGTTGTTTCCAGGGTAGGCAGAATTAGATTCTTTTTTAAGGGAGTAAGGAACTAAGTTTTCAGAGTGAAAGGCATTTTGCATATTATTTTGTATACAGACAGGTTCTGTATAATGGTAGCTGTTAACTACTACTAAGTTCACATTCCTTCTATGTGAATTCCCATTTATTTTTTTTTCTGACGGGGTCTCACTTTGTCACCAGGTTGGAGTGCAGTGGCGTGATCTCGGCTCACTGCAACCTCCACCTCCCAGGTTCAAGCGATTCTCCTGCCTCAGCTTCCTGAGTAGCTGGGACTACAGGTGCATGCCACCACGCCCAGCTGATTTTTGTATTTTTAGTAGAGATGGGGCTTCACCACGTTGGTCAGGATGGTCTCGATCTCTTGATCTCGTGATACTCCTACCTCAGCCTCCCAAAGTGCTGGGATTACAGGAGTGAGCCACCGCACCTGGCCTTATGGACTTCTTTTGTATTAAAAATTTTAAGGAGGAACTAGATCTTGTATTCCAATTTGGAGGTAAATTGAATGGCCTCTTCCATAAATCCTGGAGAAATATTGTGCTGGGTTTTGTGCTAGACCATTGATGAGAATTCCAGAGTCTGGCAAGAATATTAAGTAGTTACCTTTCCTGTGATTTCAAGCCTCCTGTCCCCACCACGGAACCTTAACTCTGCACTGTATTTGTGCATCTCGTTTGAGATGGGTGGGATGGCGGAAGACATGTGGAAGCCACCTACACACTTTTACTGTATTCCTGAATAGTACAGGATATTCCAGTATGTTAGAGATTGGAAAGGAGGGTATTCAGTAATAGATTCAGGGGTCTCCAGACTCATTTCAGAATCTGGAGAAACGTATTTGAATAGTTTGGTCGGGGGATCCTTGGGGCCAAGGACTTTGCTTGCCACTGTGCCTGAACTTTCTGGCACACAGAGCACAATACATATTGATCAAATGAGTAAATAAATGAATTCAGCAGTTTTCAATATTAAGCATTTAGTTCCATGTTTCCATATGTCTATCTTTGACTACTGATTTCAACTTGGGACACTGCAGTCTCTTCAAGAAGCAAGAATCTTTCACTTTTTTTTTTTCTCCTGATTTATTCTTCCTGTTGTGTGTGTGTGTGTGTGTGTGTGTGTGTGTGCCATTTTTAGACCATTTTGAAGTGTTTTTTTAATAACAGGTGTATTGAGATATAACTTACATATTACAAAGGAAACCCATTCAAAGTGTATAATGCGATGGTTTCTAGTATATTCACCCAGCTGTGCAGCAATCTTCACAGTGTCATTGGTGCAGGAAACATGCAACACCACATGGAGCTTGTTGCCACAAAGATCCAGGCTCCAATCCTTGTGTTCACCACTTACAAGCTTATGATCTTTGGCAAGTTTCTTAAATTCTTGAGGCCTTCGTTTTTCCCAGCCGTAGGATGATTCGTCACCCATGGGGTTGTTGTGAGAATGAAATACAGTGTTGTGTATTGGGCAGAGTGGCTACTCAGCAAACTGTGTTTCCCTCCACTCCGTGACCCCTGTACCCTTCAGCTGCTGGACCGTGCAGGATTGTTAGAGGTTATGTAGGTGGCTCTGATCTGTGATATTCCTGAAGCACCCTCCCTGCCTCAGAAGCAGAGAGAAAGGGTCCTAAAGGGACAGTGCAACTCACCCAACAATCTGCCCATCAGCCTCAGGGCACCGCCCACTCTGGGCACGGCGTCACCCTGGATGTCCTATTTCCCACCAGTCAGCTGTCCCCACTTATTTATTTTTCACAGTTTTATCTCAGTGGGTTTCACCTACGTCTCAGAAACCCTCACTCCCACCTCTGCCACACCCACTCAGGTTTCAATAAGTCATGGTCTCTTGTTTTCAGTGGTTTCTTTCCCCACTGTAACCCTTTTTGGAAGGAAGGTTCTCAACTCTGTACATTTTTCTTTGCAGTCATAAAATATTAATGTTAGAAAGAACCCTACAGATCCCATTCAACTCCTTCGTTAAGAGAGAATGAATGTGAGGTAACTTGGTCCTGTGGTCAGTTGGTAGCCACAGGTCAAGGCTAACCCTTGGGGCATTTCCAATGGATCTGTAGAGTAAAGGAATGCTCTGGTACATTCTCCTGCCCCACTGACCTAGGGACCGGATTGCCATCTGAAGGTTTGAGTTGCCATGTTGACTCCTCTTTCCGATCCTCTTCATCCTGTAACATGAGGATAAACCTGTGATTGTTAGTGTTCGCTCTTAAGGAATGGGATCAGAAGCTTTGTCGTGTGTAGCATGCACCGTGGTTATGATATTCACGTTGTCAACATTGTTTGGAGAAAGTGGAAATAGATTTCATCCTGATAATCTGCACATTTGGTCTGAATCTCATAATTTATCTGGGTTTCCCGTTTCTTAGTGGAGAGTGCCGACATTTTCCAGGCAGCTCTGGCTTCAGGAGGGATCTAGACCCAGGGGATTTGGAGAGAATTTGTTCCCTGTAAGTTACCCCGTGGCTAAATGGATGGTATGATTAGTGAAGGTTTTGTATCAAGACCCTGAGCATGGTGGATGGAGAGGGTGGAGGGCGGAGAACCAGAAGACACCAGTTAAAGTAAGAGGAAAAAAAAATGGAGATGTCAGTAAGCCCCAGAATTTCTTTTAATTAATTTTTAGATCCATATATTAAAAAATCCAGGCCATAATTTCTGGTGCAAGCCATTTAGAAGTAGCAATACCTTCTTTTAGAAGATACTATGTAATGCAAGAGAACTTTCTGTCTCTGTCTTCTCTCACTCACCTCCCTCTTCCTCCTCCCACTTAACCTCCCCTTCTCCTTCGTGAACCCAGTGCTAAGTCCTCAGAGTGCACGGGGCTGTGTAGGTTACAAATTCAGCCCCCCAGACAAGCAAAGAGTCAAACTAGGTGTTTTCCATCCAAATCACTGTTAAGGGTCCTAATTTAAAATGAATAAAGCCTTTCAGCAGGCTCCATGTTTCCCTAAATCAATTTGATTTTATGTAAACATTTATCTCTTTTGCACTTTTCCACCTACCACACCATTCATATAATAATGCCTTCATGAACATTAATGTTTTCACCAGATACATTTTGGAGCGGGGAGTGGGGGTAGTCTAACACACACAGAACACATTACAAGGAGCACAGTTGTGGCAAAACTTTCCAGAAATCAAGGACTAAATGAGAAAAAGCCCTCCATTTGGGTTTAGCAGGGGAAAAATGTAAGTCGTAAATTGCCGCTGGGAGTGGTTGAGGGCCAGTGTGGGGTGCAGCGGGGGCTATTGTTCAGAAACACACACAAGTGGGAAAAGGCAATATTTGCAAGCATTGTGAGTGTCCGTGGCTGACTCTGCTACGAGTGTACAAACGGAGGGGATGTTTACCCTTCAAGAAATAAAATGTTTGAATTCTGATCAGTCTTTACTTACATAAAAGCAATTCTCCTTTCTAACGCACTCTGACGACCCGGGCAGAGATGCTACTGCCGTTCAGAAAGCAGCGGCAGGTTGTGAATTTGAACACTGAGGTCGGACAGCCACGCACAACATTTTCTCTGCCTTATCCTTCCGCAGGTCTCTTCCATAAAGACCCCAACACCTCCGGGGCACAGGAAGCAAAGCCCAACCTCCCACCCACCCTATAAAAGATTGAAAGAGAGAAGTGAAAAGCAGATGTTATAAAATCATGAAAAAAATATTTAGCTGTTGCTTTCAAATTCACACTCAACCTTATTCATGGGAGCATGTGGCCAAATATTTCCAGCAAACAGAGTAAAAGAGCCTCAAACACAGAAAATACTCTGAAAAGCCAATTCCCCTTCTCTCCTCCTTTATCATTTACTGTTTATCTACTCATCAGTTTTTTAAAGTGATAAATACATTTAATTGGAGAGCTATCTAATTCTTTTGTGTGATTGTTAAACAAAAAATAAAAATCAGAACGTCGCAATGAGAACATTTCACCAACCATTGCTTTAGAATAGAATTTTTGGAAGCATTGTTGATTTCTACTTATTTTTGTTTGTAAATCCTGAGGAAAATGTATATCTTTTCCTTTAAAGTTCTAATTCAAGACATGGATGTGAGAGTTCTGAAGGGACTTTGGGACTGCGGTAAAATTTCGTTGTCATAGTAACAGAAAGGGAAATAGGCCTAGCTCACCTGGGACTTTAACACTGCAAAAGCTGGATTTTTTTTTTTTTTAAGGGAAAGGACTCTGCAAGTGAAATAAATGAAAAACTTACTGTATTTTGAAACAAATTTTCAAACATTAACTAGGTGAGTTGCTGAAAAGGCCACTTCTGCCATTTTTCTTGGTTAACGTAGTTGCCTGATGAAAGATGCCCAATTTTAAAATTGCACAGATAGGCCATTTAAGAGAGAATATTGGCTTCAAGAAATATATATGACAAATGCTAACCTCAGACCATGATTCTGTGCTTTCATGTTTCTCTGAATAATCTATACATGAACTGAGAGGATATTCACACTTCTTATTAATCATAAAAACTCTGGCATATACCTGCACAGATGGACTTTGTCTTTGGAAGATAACATATCATTTTCTGATTTTGTAAACATTAGTTGAATATATCAGGCCACCTTCACGTATGAGCATGAAGGTGTCTGGGGCCAGTGGAGAGCCACACAGACGAGACGCCCTGGGATTCTGGGGCCGGGTCCTGCCATTTTTAACCCTGGAGCAAGACTTTCTGTACAGCAGGGGTCACTGCTGCATTTGAAGCCTTTTTAAAAAAATTTTCCAGAACGAGTGCTCTACAAACTCCGGGGGCCAGTGTACAAACCAAAGCCCACCTTGTGAACCACTTAACAATCCCCCACAGTGATGGGGAAGCGGGTGCTGGGCTTGAGATTGAAAACATCCAAATTTGCAAATTGCAGAGGGTCAGCAGTGTTCCTTCACAGGCAGGGCAGGTTGAAATTCCCCAGATCTGAAATAGAATCGCTGTCAAATCAAATCTAATGGAATGCAGCTATATTCTCCCTTTAAAAATGTTTACTGAAAAATGTAACACATCGCTTTCTCTTCACAGATTCTTTTTAAAATTTTTCCTCAAGTGCAATCAGAATTGTTTGAAAACAGCAGGAAACCCAAGGGACATGAGACGGTTTCAGGTAAGGGGCCCTGCAGATCTTTCCTGTTAAATAAGTCATCCTGTTTTCTCTCTCCTTCTCACTCTTTTTATTTTCTTTTTCTTTAAAAATTACTATTCACTGCTACTCCTAACAATAAAAAAGACAATGGTAAACGATGACCCTCAGCCACTAGCATTGAGAGTTTCTTCATCTTGTAGTGTTTAAGCTTTCTGCCCCCATTGCCAAAGCCCTATGGGGAGAGGCACCAACCGGTGCTGGAGATTTGATTTTCAGCCCTCGGGCTGCCCACTGCACACACAGCTGCCCACAGCAGGAACCATGTTCTTGATATTCAGCCACCTTGGGATTTTTCAGAGCAGCTTCTCTGTATTTTCTGCAAGCAACAGCTCCTGTCTTCCCTTTTCCACCGATTAACTATTCAGTGGTCGCTCTCTGAGCCTTCTGGAAGGCAGCAGCCCAAGCAGCGTGGTCACTTTAAGATCGCAGCGTGACAACAAGACCCACGGGACGGTGACCCAGCTGCCTGGCAGTTAAATCTGCCACCGGTTTCATCACCCTTGCCACTGATGTACTGAGGAGACGAGCTAATAAAAACAGAGCGAGGCAAAGTGTATCAGGCTGGAGACGAAAGCAAGAGCAGCTCCTCTCGGCCCCCTTCCTTGAGCTTTGAAGGACCCATATTTAATTCACCAAATGGCTTTCCTGCCACTCACACCCCGTTCTAGATGTGGCACCTCCTTTTCCATAGAAAAATTAAAAACATGTTAAACGATAGTATGCAAGCTTGAGACTTCAAAAAGTAAATCCTTGCAGCCATGAGAGAGATGGGGAACCTTAGCCTCATGTTTCGCCTGAGACAAGCGAGGTTCTGGAAGGTTAAATAACTTGCCCCTAATCACAGTAAGTAGGTGGTAAAGCCCGGAGCCAGGAGCCGGGAGGAGTTGTTTGATCAAACTCTTTCCAGCACACTGTGGGCATGCGACACGTTGCAGCTGCTAGGTTTATCTTTTGCTGTTGTCTTCTTGAAATTCTGAATAATTTTTTTTTTTTTTTTTTTTTTTTTTTTTTTTTTGAGGCAGGGTCTCACTCTGTCACCTAGGCTGGAGAGCAGTGGTGTGATCTTGGCTCACTGCAAACTCCGCCTCCTGGGCTCAAGGGATTCTCATGCCTCACCCTCCTGAGTAGCTAGGACTACAGGTGTGCACCATCATGCCCTGCTAATTTTTGTATTTTTTGGTAGAGATGGGGTTTTGCCATGTTGCCCAGGTTGGTCTCAAACCCCTGACCTCAGGTGATTCACCCACCTAGGCCTCTCAAAGTGCTGGGGTTACAGGTGTGAGCTACCACATCGGACCCTGAATAATTTTTGAACAAGGAATGTGACATTCATTTTTTATTGAACCCTACAAATTATGTAGCTGGTCCTGCTGGAGAGCTTCTGTGGTTAGGCCACAATCAGACAGATGTTTAGGAGCAGAGCCATTCAAGAGTTAACAGGAAGATGGCCATACACAAGGGCTACTGAGAGTTACTTTGAAAAAAAAACTAGTAGTAGTATTTTTTAACCCCATCATGGCTATCAATCTTGCTGTGACAGGAACATTTTTCATTACAATACTTAACACTATTACCAGCCTCCCTTTAAAAAGTTGGAGACTTTTTCTCTCTTGGGCAGGCTGTTTCCCTGCCTTTTTTTGTTTGTTTGTTTGTTTGTTTGTTTGTTTTGAGATGGAGTCTCGCTCTGTCACCCAGGCTGGAGTGCAATGGTATGATCTTGGCTCACTGCAACCTCCTCCTCCTGGGTTCAAGCAATTCTCCTGCCTCACCCTCCTGAGTAGCTGGGACTACAGGCACATGCCACCACGCCTGGCTAATTTTTGTATTTTTAGTAGAGATGAGGTTTTGACATGTTGGCCAGGCTGGTCTGAAACTCCAGACCTCAAGTGATCCACCCGACTCAGCCTTCTAAATTGCTGGGATTACAGGTGTGAGCCACCGCTTCTGGGCCTACTTTCTTGTATGAAGAAAAACAGAAATAAAACCAGCCTTCTTGGGGGATCAAACAGGAACTTCGTGCATGGTGGAAATTCACTGTGCTCAATATTCCAAATAAAAATGTAAATAATTTCAGTCCAAAGAAGAGTAAAATTCAAAAGAATTCCAAAGTGCCTCCATGACCAAAGCTTAGCTTTATTTCTAGAAGATACAGAGGCAGAGAAAAGAGAGTTGGCAGTTTGGATTTTTATTCCATCCTACTTTCTACCAGCACTTTCAAAGAGTTTTAAATTTGAGAATTTGAGGATACTCTTGTAAATGTGAAGAGGCTTCCATTGTAGGAGAATGCCTTGTCATTTTCTTTCTCCCAAAGTTTAGGAATATATTCACAAAGCAAATGCATGCTAATATTTCCTCTACTTCTTTAGTTATTTACTTAAATGGGGTTTTCATGGTGCCTGAGTTTTTCATTGGCATAGAATAAATATTGTTGATCTCAAAATGATATAGAATTCTCATCCTATGTGAAAGTATTTGACTTTTGCAAAGACAAGGGCAAAAAGAATTGTTTAGACTTTGTGGATTCTCTGATTGTCTTATTTCAAGGGTAGAGCTAAAGTCAACTGGCAATTTGTTTGCATTTTTTACTGAGATAAAATTCATATAACATACAATTCACCATTTTAACCATTTAAAAGTGCAGGGTCCAGTGGTTTTTAGTACATTCAAAGTGTTGTACAACCAGCACCACTATCTAATTCCAGAACTTTTCTATTATCCCAAGAAGAAATCTCATGTCTCCCAGTTCCTGTTTCTCCCCATTCACTGGCAACCACTAATCTACTTTCTGTCTCTATAGGTTTGTCTATTCTGGGAATTTAACATAAATAGAATCATACAATATGTGGCTTTTGTGTCTGTTTTTGTCTGTTAGCATAATGTTTTTAAAGTTCCTCTATGTGATAGCATGTATCAATACTTCATTCCTTTTTACAGCTTGACTATTCCATTGTATGGATATATCACATTTTAAAATTCATTAGTCAGTTAGTGGACGTTTGGATTGTCTCACTTTTTGGCTATTACAAACAATGACACTGTTAGTATTTGTGCACAGTTTCACTGTGTGACATATGTTTTTAATTCTCTTGGGTATACAACTAAGAACAGAATTTCTGGGTCATATGGTAATTGTTTCTTTAAGTTTTTGAGGAACTGCCAAACTGTTTTCCATAGTGGTTGCACCATTTTACATTTCCACTGGTAATCTGTGAAGGTGTCAATTCCTCGCCAACACTTGGGATTTTCTGTTTTAAAAAAATTCTAGTCATCCTATGGGTGTGAAGAGGTATCTCATTGTGGTTTTGATTTGCATTTCCTTAATGATTAGTGATTTTGAGCATCTTTTCATGTGCTTATTGCTCATTTGTATATCTTCTTTGAGGAAGTGTCTATTTAAATCCTTTGCCCATTTTTTAGTTGCATTATTTGTCATTTTATTGTTGAGCTGTAAGAGTTCTTTATATATTCAGGATACTGGCTCCTTCTCAAACATGTGATTTGAAAATATTTTCTCCTATTCCATGAGTTGTCATTCACTTTCTTGATAGTGTCCTTTGGTGCACAAAAGAATTGGCAATTTTTATACTGTACTTAGATTCTACTAAGAATATAACCTTCAATGAAAGCTCTCTCATAGAGAAGGTTATTATGAAGACAGGCTTAGCAATATGCTATCATAGTCAAGTAAGAAACTTAGTTCAGGTTCCAAATATGAAACAAAACCAGAGAGAGTGCATACTCATGGTGGTAGGACAGTCATCTGAATGGATGGTGACTTTCAGAAATTCCTAGAGTATGTATCTCACTCAGAAGGACAAAGACAATCATTTAGAGCCATATACACAATTCCTTCAATTCTCTACTTTTGTGATATGATCAAACATAAATTTAATATGAAGGATTCTTTCGTGAGGATTTGATCTGAATGGAATAGAAATATGAAAAATTTCTACCCAAATCCTGAACTCTATAAAACTCTCCCCCCTCCTTCCCTTACCCCCAAACACTGGTGGAACCTGGATTCTTTTTACAAAAATCATCCAATCAGACCAAAATTGTTACATCAAGGTTATTTTCAAGCTTGAACCAATCCTCTCTTTAATTTCATTCAAGTCCTAAGTATTATAGGACATAAAAAATACTGAAACACAAAGGGTTTTAACCCTTTTAACCCTTTTTAACCTTTTTTTTTTTTTTTTGGCCCAGACCCCTTTAAGAATCTGGTAAAAGCTATAGTCTGTATCCCATTGAAATACTACGTTTAAAGTTTTAATTAAAATTTCAGGGGTCTCCAGACCACTTGAAATATCTCAAGCTTCCATGGACCTCTAGTCTAAAGAAATGGAATTCATTTAAAGCCCAATAGGCATCCTTCATGTAAGGTAACCTTTAACAGTGGGGATCTGTCCACTTAGGACTTTTCCTGGTGATCTCTCATCCACTCTCTTGGCTTCAAATGCTCTCTGTTCCTGGATGATTTCTGTATCCATATTCTCAGACTTCTTTAGAGCTGCAGGCATATAATGCTAGCTTCCTTCTGGGCATCTTCCCTGGATGACTAATGAGCACGTGTTCAAAACAGAACTCACTGCTTGTTCCCTGATTCATTCCCTCCTCTTTCATTGTCAAAGTGTCGCTGCCTCCTCCTAAGTATCTATTAAATCCACCTCTCTCCTCAAAAGCTGCCACAGCCCCTGTCTTTTTTTTTCTGTTTTTGTTTGTTTGTTTGTTTGTTTTTGAGACGGAGTCTCGCTCTGTCGCCCAGGCTGGAGTGCAGTGGCGCGATCTCGGCTCACTGCAAACTCCGCCTCCCGGATTCACGCCATTCTCCTGCCTCAGCCTCCAGAGTAGCTGGGATTACAGGCACTTGCCACCACGCCTGGCTATTTTTTTTTGTATTTTTAGTAGAAACGGGGTTTCACCGTGTTAGCCAGGATGGTCTCGATTTCCTGACCTCGTGATCCACCCGCCTGGGCCTCCCAAAGTGCTGGGATTACAGGCGTGAGCCACCGCGCCCGGCTGTAGCCCCTGTCTTTATTCCTCCCCTGTCTAACCCGTCCTCAGCATGAATGCCAGAGTTACCTCTTAAAATATGTCAGGGTGCTAGGCACAGTGGCTCATGCCTGTAATCCCAGCTCTTAGGAAGGCAGAGGCAGGAGGACAACTTGAGCCCAGGAGTTTGAGACCTGCTTGGGGAATGTAGTGAGACCTTGTTCTCCACAAAAAGGAAAAAAAAAAAAAAAAAAACCCAGACAAAATGTCATGAGGATGCCGCATTTACCCTGATGTGATTACTGTGCATTGTATGCCTGTGTCAGAATATCTCATGAACCCTATAAATATATATGTCTGCTACGTATCCATAAAAATTAAATACATACACCTACTAAAATGGGTATCAACTGTCCATGGACACAAAGCCTGGATTTAAAAAGGCATGGCTGAGAAGGCCACTCAGCCTCTGCCTACCAGGAAAACCTGCCATGCCTGTCCCAGAAGTTCTCATCTGCCTGCTGCTCACCACACACCCATCTCTGATTTCTGTTCCATCTAGGAAGCTTTCCATATGTTCACCCCTCTGCCTGGGAACCCTTCACCCCTCTCCAACTTGTGACTCCTTTTCATGCTTTAAGGCTACAGCTGAATGTCACCACCTTAGTGATGCATTTTCTGACTCTTCCAAATGGAGCTGTTGGTTCCTGGGTCTGTGCTGACACACCCTTCTCTGCAGGCCCCTACCCTGCCAGTTATCACATCATCTTGCAGTTCTTGTTTGTCTGTCCAATAGACTGTGTGCTGCTTGAAGGCAATCGATATGTTTTATTTATTTTTGTATGTATTGCCAATGTCTAGCATAATGGCAGGCATTCTGTAGATTATTATTAAATAAATAGATTAATTATTAAAATAATTGATTAAAATAATGGATTATTATTAAATAAATTTTTAAGAGAGCAAAAGAAAAAAGGAAAAAAGAGAAAACAAACTTAAGATTTCCAGGGCTCCTCAAAGTATCTAAATCCATGGGTCATGCATGCGGAAAATCACTTCTGCCCTCCTTGAAATGGAACAATTAGGTGAAACACCCAGATTAACAGCTCAATGAAGGAAAAGAAAAGAAATGTATGTCTAGTTTAAGCTGACAGGCCTGTTAAGACATAATGAATCCCATTCTTTATTTCTTTCTGCTTGTGTGGGTGGAGTGAAGGCAGTTGTAAAATCCAAAAGAAAATCAAGCTAGGAAGAGGAAGTCAGGCACACGGTCATTTCCCACATTCACATTCTAAAAATCACTAGGAATTGACAATAATTTAGAGCTTATTGTTGCTAATTCACTGTCATAGATAGGATGGCTGGGTCTATTCCAAGTCATAGTGAAAACATAGAGGTACTCATTCATTTATTCATGCACCCAGCCAATATTACTGATGAAATTCTGTGTGCCAGGCACTATCCTAGGTGCTGGAGATACAGCAGAGAGCAAATCATAAAATTCCTGCCCTTGAGGGGCTTGCATCCTAGTGGAAGGATATAAAAAATAAATGAGTGGTTTGCATAGCTCAAGTCTGCTTCTCTGTGACATTCAGGTGACTTTCCTGGAAGCAGTGGGCTTCCGTACAGTGCCAGCTGTGTTTGTGGTGCTTGCTGGAACTCAGCAGCTTGGTCAAGTATAGATGTTTGTGGAGCTAAATGATACTCACCATTATAGTAACAGTAAGTGTGGATGCTCTTATGAATAGTTTTCTGAGCTTTCCACAGCATCACCTATTATAGGACACAAATGTCAGCAGATCTACTTGAGACTGGGAAGCTTAGAGGCCTGAATGCTGAGTTTTTACCCTCTGCCTCAAAAGGACTTCATTTTAAAAATACATGATCATTGGGGTGTTCTCTATCCTGTGGGCAGCACAAGCGTGTATATTAGGTCGTTTCAGATGTAGTAGCATTCTGGAATTGAGATCCTTGACACAGTCCAACCTCAAAAATCATTAACTTTTTTTTTTTTTTTTTTTGAGACAAGATGTCACTCTTTTGCTCAAGCTGGAGTGCAGTGGTACAATCTTGGCTCACTGCAACCTCTGCCTCTCCAGCTCAAGCCATCTCCCCACCTCAGCCCCTTAAGTAGCTAGGACTACGGGTGTGTGCCATCAGGCCTGGCTAATTTTTGTATTTTTTATCGAGACGGGGTTTTGCCACATTGCCCAGGCTGGTCTTGAACTCCTGAGATCAAGTGATTCACCCACCCGTCTCAACCTCTCAAAATGCTGAGATTGCAAATGTGAACCACCACACCCAGCCTAAATTTTTTTTATTGATATATAATGTTTGCAATCTTTATGGGGTACATGCAATATTTTGTTGCATGCATTGAATGTGTAATAATCAAGTCAGAGTAGTTAGGGTATCCATAGTCATCCATCATCATGAGAATTGATCATTTCTCTACGTTGGGAATATTGCAAGTTCTCTCTTTTAGCTGGTTTGAAATGTACAATACATGGTTGTTAACTGTAGTCACCCCACTCTATCAAATATTAGACGTTACACCTTCTAACTGTATGTTTGTACCCATTAACCAACCTCTCTTCATCCTGCCTAATCATTTTTTTTTTAGTTTTCTCACTTTTTTTATTTTTTATTTTATTATTATTATACTTTAAGTTTTAGGGTACATGTGCACAATGTGCAGGTTAGTTTTTAATGAACTTCACTCTAATCGACAGCTTACTTGTAATTAAGATAAAGATGCTTACCTCAATTTGCTGAACTTTCATGAGAGACCCTTGGGTGTCTCAAATTTACCCCCTAAATTACTCCCTTTTTAGATTAGGTCCACCAGAATAATCATTTTTAATTTACAGAGTCATGCTAGGGAGAAGACTGAGATATATGTGCAGGTCGTGTCATCCTTGGCCTCAAGAGATATGTCAGTAGATATGGAAAGACAGATATATTTCTTTTTCTTTCTTTTTTTACAGACAGGGTCTTACTCTGTCACTGAGGCTGGAGTGCAGTGGTGCAATATTGGTTCACTACAGCCTTGGTCTTTTGGGCATAAGTGATCCTCCTGCTTCAATCTCCCAAGTAGCTGGGACTACAGGTGCATGCAACACAAAAAACCAGCTAATTTTTGTGTTTTTTGTAGAGACAGGGTTTTGCTATGTTGCCCAGGCTGGTCTCGAACCCCTGGGCTCAAGTGATTCACTCGCCTTGGCTTCGCAAATTGTTGGGATTACAGGTGTGAGCCACCACACCTGGCCAGACAGACACATTTCTAATGAAAGAAAAATCATTCCAGGAGTCAGGCTGGGGAAGCCTTCAGTGCTGAGTTGGTTCCAGGTTGCATGCAAGCCCAGGATGGGCCTGCTGGAAGGGCATCTTGATGGGGATTTGAAGGGTTCGAGGGAAGGGGTTGGAGCTTTTTGAAAACACACCTGGCGCATCTGCCAGGCCTGTGAGAAAGCAAGAAGAAGCGCCCGGTGTGGGAGAGAAGGGAACCAAGGGCAGAAAGATCTGCCGGATGGGAATGGAGAAAGGAAGTGAGGCCCCGTTGGGACTGACTGGCGTCCACAGGGTGGTTGGATCATGTGAGAGGCCTCGTGCCTGTTGCTGCAACATGCTGGATGCGACAACTGCAGAAGAACGATGGGGCAAATGAATGGCTCTGACAAAGACACCTCGTACACACAGCTGGGCACGAGCCATTAGTCGGGTTTACTAAACGACGTGAGAGCAAAGGGCACGGCTACTCATGTCTTGGAAAAGAGCCAAGCTCCATCCAGCAACCCCTTATGATTTTTAAACCCCCAGCTCTTATATAAAACTTTTTAATGGCACCACCATCTATTTTCCTTAAATAAAAAATGTTGAATGTTTCTCTCACACCCGTTGGAGAGGGAAACGAGAGTTTAAATTAACTCCAAATGGTAAAAATTTAATACAGCTCCAGCTGCCTGCAGGTTTCTTCAGTTCACATCTTTCAGTGTGAGAGCTGCTCCAGCTGCTCTGTGATCTCATCTACCATTTGAAATCCGGAGTGCTACTGAGCAGCAGTTTTAAAGCACATAATGGAAATCACTTGACTTATGGCCTCTCTGATCAGCAGGTGAGTCCATTATCTGATGATAAAACAAACCAGATAGTCCTAGTTAAGAAATCATAATTATCTATTTGGAGTCAGAAAAAAAAAAAAAAACTGTGGAGGGTCGGAGGATCTTTCTCTTAGTCCAATGATGTAAGCTTGGGGAAGGCTCTCTGGAGTGACTTCAGGCTTTTCTCTGCTGTTAGAACCTTCTGCTGCCTCCACCCCTAAATTTTGGTGTCTTGAATGGGGACAAGAATCAGGATGACAGAAATCTTGACTGACTCACCCAGGAAATGAGTTTTGAGCTCTTTGTAAAAGTATAAGGTGAGAAATGAAAACCAGTAGTTGCCTGGGAAACTTTTGGGAGAGGATATGTCAGACTGCAGTTAGCTGGAAACACAATCTAAATGCTCAAATATTTTAAGGGACTCTAATTTGGACACAAACCTGCCGCTGAACCCATTCCAGGACTATCGAATGCAGAACTTCCTGGAAAGCAAAGTGTTCTTAGTCCTGCAATAAGAGTGCATAGTTCCTCAGCTGCTTCCAGGGCCTGTGTGCTCCTGATTTTTGATAGGCCACAGGTGATTCAGGTTGTCCCTGGGGCTAGAGCTTCCTAGACAAGAATGCCCAAGCCAAACAAAGAACTGCATCAAATATGTTATGGCTCCCCTGTGGCTCTCAAAACTTTTGCTAGTAAAATATTGCCCTTGACCGTAACCATCCCACTTGGCACAAATTTTAGTTGGGAAAAGTAATGGGTTCAATGGAATAAAATGAGCTAGGGTGGGAGTAGCAAGTATCTGTGGCCTTTAAGATGAAGAGACATTCAGTATTGCAAAGCAGATGAATGATCTTCACACTCCTCAATGACATGAAAAGCTGGTTTTTTTTTTTTTAATTGCCACTGGATTTCTCAATTGGGTTTTTAAAAGTAAGCTCTAGAAGGTGTTTACTCTAAAGCCAAATTAGCCAAAATACACCAACGGAGAGCTCTTGGGCATACTACTTCCTTTATGCCAATTAGAATTCTTCTTAGGTGCCAGAATAATCATCTCAGTAATCTCAAGTTGTGTAACTCCCCCAGTTCTTCAAGGTCTGTTCTTAAATCTCACTTTCTTGATGAAAATGGCTGTGATAGCCTTCAATTTATGCTGATTCTTCCCAGCGTTGGGCCCCTAGAGTACACAGTGGCCACAGTTTAATCCTCAATGACAGATTACCGTGCAATAATATTTTCTGATTATGTCTAGTGTTTGCTATGCTTTGTCCACCGTAGGGTGAGCTCCTTAAGGCTGCGACAATGTTTCCTATAAACTTCCATTGCATGTAGCAGAGCGCCTAGGGGTCTCAATAAATACCCAGTGACTGATGGAAACACAGTGCTGTCTGGTTCCTTAAGAAAGTATCTTCTCTAGTTAAAATGAAAAAAATAAAATCAAACTATCATTTGACCCAGCAATCCCATTGCTGGGTATATACTCAAAGGAAAGGAAATTGTTCTACCCGAAAGACATGCACATTTGTATGTTCATTGCTGCATTATTCACAATAACAAAGACATGGAATCAACCTAGATGCTCATCAATGGTGGATCAGATAAAATGTGGTACATAGACACCATGGAATACTTCACAACCACAAAAAAGAATGAAATCATGTCCTTTGCAGCACCATGGACACAGCTGGAGGCCATGATCCTAAACAAATAAATGTAGGAACAGAAAACCAAATACTGCATGTTCTCACTTGTAAGTGGATGCTAAGCATTGGGTACCAATGGACATAAAGATGGGGGTAATAGACACTAGGGATTACTAGCAGGGAAAGAAAGGGAAGGAGGAGAGGGCTGAAAAACTACCTATTAGGAATTATGCTCACTACCTGGGTGACAGGATCATTCATATCTCAAACTGCAGTGTCACACAACATACTCGTGTAATAAACCTGCATGTATACTCCTTGAATCTAAAATAAAAGTTGAAATTACACAAGAAAAAAAAAAGTAAAATAGTTAAAAGAAATTTTTTAAACTGAGTAAATTGACCAGTGTTGGTTTAGTTTATATTCTTGTCATCAAGTATATCAGTTTAAACTTGACAGAATTAAAAATATGTATTTTTTTTTAAAAAAAAAGAAAAGAGCACGTCTTCTCAGGAGTAATGCCATTGATGCCCAGTCCCTTCTCTCTGCTGGAGCAACCCAGAACCTCCCACATCTGTCTCTATGGCAGTCAACTCTGTGTTCTCCTGTCTGGGACTTGATTCTTCACTGAACAGAAAATTTAGCCTTCGGGAATATGAAACAGCCATTGCTGAGAATTCTGGGAATTCCTTTTAAAGAAAATGACAAAATCCATGCTTGTGGGGTAGGTGTTTAAAGGTAATTTTGGAGACTCTGGAGTCCCATAACAAAGAAGAATCTGGGCCTTAAATCTGGCTTGAAAATATGTGTGCCAAGAATAAAGTGGTAGGGCAGAACAAACTGCAGTAGCCCATTTGTTAGTTGTTAGCCTGGATTGAATTAATGGAGGCTTAGACAAAACTGTGTCATTAGATTCACCTTGTCCATGATGAGAATTCGGGATTGTGTAAAAACCCGACGTGTATTTCTCCTTGCAATATGGAACTGCAGCTTGGTCGCTCGCCATAGCCAGAAGTCTGTCTTGATTTTCTCTGTCCCTTTAATGGTTTCTCTGTCCCTTTCCTCCTTCCACAGGTGGAAAATAAAATCCCACATAACAGTTATGCTTTGGGAAAGCTGAAATAACATATATGGCAACCGAACAGTTATAAGGGAAAAGCACTTCATGAATTTAATTCCATTTCCAGATGTAAAATGTCATAAAGAATTTTTTTTCCCACTCTTGGCAAAATAACAGGAATTTTCGAGACCATTTTATTTAGCTGAGTGTATGCACATTCATAAGTAGGGTATCAGAGTCTTCAATGTGGAGTGTGCTATAAATGCGATGTGTTATAGCTTTACTGAGATTAAACTACCAAAGGCCCCACATTCAGCTAGGAGGTGCATGACCCTCATTGAAAGGGTGGGGAACTGTGTCTGACTAATGGTAGAACTTGGTGTGTTTTCAAAGCAAAGACTCTGGCCCATACGGGGAGGTTTCTGACCAGTGTAATTATTCTCTAGTGACTGCAGACATTGGAATTGTCGTCTGTTTCAAAGAGCAGATCATTTGGTGATTCCACACATTTTTCATTTTGACTTCTCTTTTTCTTTCAGCCTCTTTGTATGAGACTTAGGGTCTTTGTAGAAACACCTGGGTAGGAGCTGAAAAAGCCTAGCTGGGAGTAGGGCCCAACTGGCCATTCCTTTGGCTTATGTAATTCAACTAAATCATACAGTTAGAGTTTTGAGAAGGATAAGTACTTAAAACACACACACACACACACACACACACACACATACACACACGGTGTTCCAAAAAGCCAAGGACATTTTAGAGAAGGGCTATAAAAATAACCAAAGGGTAGGAATAAGTCAGTTTGGTAAAAGTCTCCATGGCACATGCTATCATTCTGATAACTAAAGAAATAACTCCTCTATTGGAAAATTAGCTGTTCAGGCAGATTAACGGATGTGTCCACCTGAAGGGTGACCCCCACTGTGGCCTTTTACTAGCAGGAAAGGGCTCCTTTACAACTCAGCTCCTGCTTTGTATAAATTATTGGAGTGAGGGACATGGGAGAACTTTTGGGGAATGAAAAGAAAAATAGAATTTGAGAAAGCCGATCGGTTTTCTTGAGAACTGGTAGAAGACTGCTAACGTACTTGTAGATTCCGTTCTTAAAACTTTCTTGTATTTTTCATGGGAAGATACAGACTTTTTATTCATGTTTCTATTTCTGTATAACCAACTAACATTGCCATATAATTAAATGATTTAAAATGGAACCTACCACCGTCACTCTCCAATTGGTCTGTTTGTTGAGTTGGTGTTACTAAAAATGAGAGATCACATCAAAGCAAAATAGGGAATGGCAGAAGGCGAAAACCACTTTTATTTAGAAAAAAATGCAAGCAATTTCAATTGATCCTGATTTCTCTCTCAGAAACTTGGGTTAAAGGTACTTTGTCCTAAATAAATTGGTTGTTGCTTTTGCATTGCAATATATCAGTTGAGGAGAGCTGTCATTTACCATGACTTAGTTTTCAGATCTGCAGGCTTTGAGCTGTAATACAGATGTATCAACTCTAAGAAATAAATGAAAACTGTCACCAGTGTCAGCAGCAGAAACTGGGGGTCCATCCCACACAAATTATGGACATCTGTATTCCTAATTGGCATTCTTTAGGGCCATGCCAGCAGAATGGCAGTGCCAATAGAGTGACAGCCTTAGAAAAGACACGTTATCAGGTCTAGGTGACAGGAGACGATGAGGCATAGAAGTTCCTTTGTATGGATTACTATCCGTATGTTTGCTAATATAATGCTGGCGATTTTCAGTTTCAGGCACCTCCGAATGGCACCTTTTATCCATACTACATTTGCTTCTTTTAAAGCAGATCAGTTGATCTTAGGTGAATAAGTGGTATTGATGGTTATATGATCAGAAGACCCTTGGCAGAGATGCATACAAATAGTTAACAAGGTAATGGTAAGAAATGTTGACCTTGATTTGTTTAGCTAAGATGTAAAGATTTTTGAAGGTCAAAGGTGTCCTTGTGTAGTGTTTTGGAGTCTAACTGTGCCTGACCCTCTAACATTAAGCTGCTGTGGCCTGCAGTTTTGAAGAGTGAAGCAAACCAGGGGGAAAACGAGAAGGGGGAGAGAACAGGAAATGGAGTGAGGTGTTTCAGGAAGTTGTCAGGGGTTGACTGATTGATTCCAGATGGGAAGGGTCAGCCTTCGTGACCCAGGAAATACTCACTAGGGGAAAGAAGTTGGCTTGTGGAAGGGGAAGGCCTGGGAGTAAGATGATGTTGGAATGCGCATTCCACTTCCTTTGGTCCTAAAACGTTCAGAAATCTTAACTTCTCCAAATAGACGAATATCAGTGTTGTCACTGTTCATCAGTAAACAGTGAAGGAACTTAAATTTGAAGTTTTGACTGTACCAAATATATCTTCACCTGTATAATGTAGTTCATTCTTCCAGAAGTAAAGCAAATGTATGTAAAAGTCAGTATTTAAGTGTGTGTCTCTATGTATAGAAATAACCACCAAACAGGTCTGGTTTCCTGTTGTGGAGTTTATGAATTAAATCCATCACATTTTGAAAATTCAGTTGAATTGGCAGGCTCTTCCAGCTACCTCACCATCTGAGATATTTGGAATATTAAAACCTGGAACTTGCCTCATATCTATACGTACACATGCACACACACATACATTTGGACATAATTTAAAATCTTGTAATAAATTTTATGGACACTGACATAATTCAGGTTAATTCCCTAGCTGTCATGAGAGGCCAGCGTGAGCCAGCAAGAGATTAAAATTTATTTCTATTGTTAATAGAAAATAATGAAGTGCATCTGAACCATCAGGGTATGTCATTCGGGAAATGTTCACTTTGGAACTAAGTCTCACTCCACCCAAATGGACAATGATGAAATCAGCTGGCTTGTGAAAGCCCCATATTTTGTGGCAGGAATGTGTGGGGAGTATTAATGGACAGTATGACAAGGAGCTTGTGGAGTGAATTAAAGCAGCCTCAGAGAGAAGGCTCTTTACCTCCACGTAATCCTCAGACAGGGCCCAGGTTCCCCTTAGTGTGCCTAGGACAGCTCATTAAGAATTAATGCCCATGGCTGGGTGCGGTGGCTCATGCCTGTAATCCCAGCACTTTGGGAGGCTGAGGCGGGAGGATCACTTAAGGTAAGAAGCTCTAGACCAGCCTGGCCAACATGGTAAAACCCCAAAAATACAAAAATTAGCTGGGTGTGGTGGCAGGTACCTGTAATCTCAGCCACTCGGGAGGCTGAGGCAGGAGAATCGCTTGAACCTGGGAGGCAGAGGTTGTGGTAAGCTGAGATCAGGCCACTGCACTGCACTTCAGCCTGGGTGATAGAGCAAGACGCTGTCTCAAAAAAAAAAAAAAAAAAAAAAAAAAAATGGAAGAATTAAAGCCCAAAGCACCCTCTCCTTGTTTTCTGTTTTGTTTTTTCCAGAGATGACAGTTATGTCTTTGAAAATGCATTCACACACACAATTTATAAGAGTGGTTTGATTCTTTCTTCTCTCTCTTCTCCTATTATTTTCGGGGGGTAGGCAATACAATCTTCATGTTCATCTTAACCTTGCGACCATGAGGCTCTGCCTCTCCCTTCGACTGTAACATGACCTTGTGTTTTGCTGAGATCACTTTGATAAGAACGTGAGCACTTACGGGGAGTGATAGATGCCGCCATCTTAATGTTTGCCACTATGATAGGAACTTTCTGGAAGGAATTTCCCCAGATTCTAACATGTTAACATGGACACAATTGAAAACAGACACAGCGCTAGACAGGCTGTACCCCTGAATTGTGAGCAATTATATTGATAATTTTCTGAATGACAACTGAGGTTCCTTTAAGTTTATTCTTTGAATCTCTGGGCCCTGTCACATATTAGAAACACAGTGAATTATCTGTTGGGTTGGATGACTGACACTTATTCATGTAAAATTTTGCATATGTTACCACCATGTTCAAGATGTGACACTATATGAGATGATTTGTGGACTCATGGGTTTTAGGGATTTTCCCAAACCTATTATGCTAAAAATATAACTTAAAAAGATGTCATCAAAAAACTCTTCAGGGCAAAGAAAAAAATCAGAAGAGTATTGCTTTGCTGGTGGTGGGGGTAGGATGGACTGGGAGGGAACACAAGATGACTTTTTGGGAAGATGGAAATAGTCTACTTCTTGATCACAGTGTAAATTGGACAGCTAAGATTTGTGCATTTCAATGTATGTAAATTTTACCTACAAAAAAACCCAAACCTGTGATTATTATCATTGTTGAGTAGGGGGTTGGGAGTGGGTGGTGGTAAACAGTAGTTCCCCCGTCCACTTTGGAGGCTTCACTTTCTGTGGTTTCAGTTACCCAAGGTACAGTACAATAAGACATTTTGAGAGAAAAAAAGAGAAGCCACATTTATATACTTTTATTTCAATATCTTTTTATAATTGTTCTATTTCAAATATTATTGTCATTAATGTCTTACTGTGCCTAACTTATAAATTACACTTTATCATAGGTATGTATAGGAAAAAGCATAATATAGGGTTTGATATTCTCTGAGGTTTCAGACATCCACTGGGGTCTTAGAGCATAGACCTCTTGGATAAGGGGTCTACTGTAGCTGAGATGAGAATGGCGATATTTTGACAATTCTTGAAGCTGAATGGTAAGTACTGGGGATTCATTATGCTATCCTGTTTCTTTTGTTTGCTTGAAATTATTCATAATAAAAGGTTTTTAAAATGCTGCCTCATTCCTTCATATTCAGAGGTAAGGTAGGGCTGGGAGCTGTGGCTCACTTCGGTAATCCCAGCACTTTGGGCGGCCGAGGCAGGTGGATCACTTGAGGTCAGGAGTTCAAGACCAGCCTGGCCAACATGGTGAAACCCTGTCTCTACTGAAAATACAAAAATTAGCTGAGCATGGTGGCAGGCATCTGTAATCCCAGCTACTTGGGAAGCTGAGGCAGGAGAATTGTTTTAACCCTGGAGGTGGGGGTTGCAGTAAGCTAAGATGGTGCCACTGCACTCTAGCCTATGCAACAAAGTGAGACTCTATCTCAAAAAAAAAAAAAAATACGACAGGATCAAGCCCCCTGCCCTCCATTTAATAAGTAAGGAAGGACAATTACAAGTAGAATATCAACTGTTTTAATTTGGGAGTAGACAGGAAGAGTCATTTTTAAACACGACTCTTCATTTTGTACCTATTTAGTGCCCTTCCTCAAAAGGTCTACACATGTTTGTGAGTATGTATATAATAAGTTCTTTTTTTTTCTCAATAATAATGGCCATGCGTAACTGATGTGAACTGAGAAATAGACCCATGTCTAGGGTGGTTCGTCTTCTGGGTCAAGTGATTCGGTGGGAGCTCCACCCAGGTCCACTCCCTTCTGCTATGCTTGGCCAGCCTTTGCTGATATCCACCTCTTTGAGCTTCTCCCCCACCCCTGATCTGCAGTACATATGCTGGAGCTCGATTTGATACCAGTCTTTGTGCTACTTGTTTCCTGTGTTAACTATGATTCTCCAGCCAGAAAATAAACTCTTTTAGGTTAGGGACCATGCCTTATAACTGTTGGTACCTATTTCCTATCTGCCTCCTCCTAGGACCTCCCCCCGAGCTTAGACCATGGGAGAACCTCTGTGTGTGAGTAATGTCATCTGTCTTATGGTCTGGTCAAGCCCAGCATGGGCAAAGCAGTTAGGACGCAAACTCATCCCAGTTTGGCACACACCAAGCACTGTGCTGAATCCTTTATATGTATTACAGGTTGAGTATTCCTTATCCAAAATGCTTGCATCTAGAAGTGCTTCTGATTTCGGGTTTTGGAATATTT
The DNA here is from genome assembly GCF_000001405.40 of Homo sapiens. NCBI lineage: Eukaryota > Metazoa > Chordata > Mammalia > Primates > Hominidae > Homo > Homo sapiens. The sequence continues at coordinate 25,890,817 of NC_000008.11, read as the reverse complement.
GCATTCTGTACTTACTTACTGGTTGAGCATCCCTAATCTGAAAAATCCAAAATCCAAAATGATCCAATGAACATTTCCTTTAAGCATCATGTCAGTGCTCAGAAAGGTTTAGATTTTGGAGAATTTTGGATTTCAGATTCTTGGACTAGGGATGTGTGCCTATATCTCATTATACCTCATTTCAGCACTGTGAGATACACATTGTTATTTATATCTTACAGATAAGAAAAACTGAGATTAGAAAAGGTGAAGTAATTTGATCATGGTTGCAAGTTAGGGGACAGAAGCCTGGGATTTGAATTCAGCTCTCCCTGACTCCAAACCCATGTTCTGCCACTGTTCCACACCACCTCTCCCCTCACCCTCATTAGATGCTACACATCCTCTATTTTCAACACTGAATTATGGCAACCTTATCTTCTCAGCAAAAGTCGAGGCATCGCTGCCACCACTCTCTACTGGGCAGCAACACCACAGACAATTCACCAGCCAGCATCCCAATGCTGGGCATGATGTCAGGACCTGTCTGAAGTGCAAGAACCCATTCCTGAGCTTGAAGAAGTGACTTTCCAGCTGGCGTATAGATCTCAGCTTCCACATGGCACACCAGCTTTCTGTGGTGGAGGCTCCACTGGCGGTGGCGGTCCAGGTCTTTTGATAGAGAACCAGGTTTCTGGAACCAGCAGGCAGATGGTCATTTTCTCCACTTCATTACATGGGTGTGCTTTGAGCAAAGGTTCTTGACAATGCATGGATGAAGGGCAGCCACTTTTTCTGTAAAGTTTTGACATAATTACAGAAGGAGAAAACTCTGTTGAGTCCCAAGTTCTGTCCCATCTCCCCTTTGCCAAATGGAAGTGTGGCAAAACAGAATTTTGGTGCATTTGCTACTTCATGTGAAACTAATTCCACTGCACCCCCTTTCTCCTTTTTACTTTAAATATGCAGGTTGTGTTGTCAACAACGGTGAATGTGGATGGACACGTCCTGGCTGTTTCTGACAACATGTTTGTTCATAACAACTCCAAGCATGGACGGAGAGCAAGAAGACTCGATCCATCGGAAGGTAGGGCTGCCTGCGCTCAGCATAGCAGACACATGAAATTCTCCACGAATTTCCTTGTTCGAACTTCAAATTTATGTCTTGGAGTCAGAGCAGAGAAAGTACACAGAACAATGTGGGTTTTTTTTTTTTTAAACGAAGTTGTAAACACAGACTCCAGCCTGCTCCACTGTAAGGCCCACACGTCTACCAGCCCGTGCCAAGTCCTCATGCCTCCCACTCTCTTCCATCCTGTTCTGTGTTTTCCTTTTTGTGAGACGGGCATTTCAGGCAAACATAGGCCTATGACATCTTAGTTAAACAGGAACATTGCAGTGCCAGACATGTATGAATAAGTGTCACATGTGCCCTTAAACAGATTGTAGGCAAAACAAAACAATGCTCAGAATGAAACTGACACTAATTGATTTTTGTTTGCTTGGACAAGAAGAAATCATGGTCTGTTCTGGGTAGTTTTCCAAGTGCATTAAAGTAATTAGAAATACCGGTAACTGTTAAATTTCAAGTTGTCCAAAAAATTAAAGTATATCGATGAAGATAACTGACAAATCTAAGTAAATTCCATTTTAATTATTCCCCTTCTGTCTGCACTCCCCAACTCACTGGTATAGAAAGACCTTATAATACAGAATGTTGGTCAAACTAGGCTACTATTTTAGTGTGATGTTTTGTTATATACTACCACCCAACCCCCACCTCCCACCCTAACTCAGCCCTGAAAATGTATCTTGTATCATTGTAAACAGGAATTAATGAACTGAAAGAAAATGATTGAATCAGTAAAGAATTTGGAGTGGTGTTAATTCTCCCACAGTGGGCACTGAAAGGGGAGAAGAAAATCCCAGAGTTCAGGACTAGGAACCCATCCAGTTTCTTTTGACTGATTGGATGTGATTGACTGGCTGTTCAAAGGGGGCTCATGTTTTTGGAGTCCTGCCAAAGTTCTCCTCTACCTTTGACCCTGTCAACTTTGGAAATGGAGTGATGGATTGACTTTAGTTATGGCCTGAAAACCATATTGGGTTCCTGTTGGGATATAAAGTCCAGAGGCCTGGAGCATATGGAAGAAGTGGGGAAAATCCTTCCTACAAAGTTAGTAGAGTGATTAGAAATTGTCTCTTGATAGAGCTGAAAAAAGCCTTCAACTATGATAGATTTTGCTTTCTCCCCCTCTCTCTCTCTGGCCCATTAACAGGCCTTGTAAATCTTAACATCTTAGGGCAGAGGAGGTGGGGAGAGAAAGGGGATTTACACATTTCCAGTGTGATCAACTTATAAAAATATGGGCAAAAACAACAGAGTTTTTCAAACACCCTTTGCACAATTACCTAAGTGTTTTACTTTTTCATACATAATGGTCAACTCATTAGGCTTTAATGACTCGGTGAAAACCAACAGCCAGTTAGGGAATGATGGCAAGTCAACAAATCTCAGCTTGAACTTCTTGGAATGACCAGCAGCTTTCAAAAGCAGCCCATCCGCAGAATTCTAGGCTTCAACCAAATACGGGTGTCCAGCCCTTTGAATGCAAGGACTTTTTATTTGTGGTGTGTCCAATCCTTTGAAGGCAAGGATTTGTTTTCTTATCTGTGGTGGGGGATATCACAAAAATTATACATGGACCTTTTTTGTTTGTTGTTTGTTAGCTCATCAGTTATCGTTAGCATTAGTGTATTTTATACGTGGCCCAAGACAATTCTTCTTCCAATGTGGGCCTGGGAAGCCAAAAAGTTGGACACCCATGAAAGAACAAACCTGACTTTTTCTTTCCTGTCTTCTTAGCTACCCCCTGCATCAAAGCCATTAGCCCGAGTGAAGGCTGGACCACAGGAGGAGCCATGGTCATCATCATCGGGGACAACTTCTTTGATGGTCTCCAAGTGGTGTTTGGGACTATGCTTGTATGGAGCGAGGTAAGCAGAGGCAACAGGCTTACTCTGATTTCCTTTTGCCCAAAGATTGTTTTGATCTGGGAAACTAGCACAAACACCAAGGGTAAAAAAGCATAAAAGTCATAGTAAATCAGGCATGGGTTTCTTAAGAAGATAAGTATCCACTGCAGTATTATTTAAAATGGTGAAAACTTAGAAATCTAGAATTGTAAAGTGATGGAATGTCACTCCACCGTTAAAAAATGTTTTGAAAAAATTCGAATGATACAGGAAAAAGGATATGCTCACACTGTAATACTAAGCAGAAAAAAAACAAGGACAACACTGCCTATGGATGTAAAATCTAGTTATATAACACACATTTATACAAAGGTACTGGAAACATACCAGATGTTAATATTGATTGTCTTTATGATGTTAATTTTTAAAAAATATTTTTCTGTAATTTCAAAATGTTCTAAATTGGATGTGTTTGACTTTCATCATCATATAAAACATGACAAAAAGATAAGTGACAGTGTTAAGTTGGGGTTGGCACTTGCCAGATCAATATTTGAAATCACAAGCAGGATAGGAGTTCAGCAGAGGAAAGGATTCCAGGGGTGAGGGTGGGGTTGGCAGCAGGAGGTGGGAGGGACTTGGCCTGGGCTTGTAGGAAATAAAGGACCTACATTGGTTGAGTTGAGAGGAAATTCCAAGGTGGGGGTCAGAGAGAGAGAGACAGACAGAGAGAGAGAGAGAGAGACAGAGACATACACACAGAGAGAGGGACAGACAGACAGAGACAGACAGATACACAGAGACAGACAGAGACAGGACAGGGATGTTCAGAGTGCATTTGGAGCTAGGAGTACTCCAGTTAGAGTAGAGCAGAGAGAAAGAAGCCCCTGGGGAGCAATAGTGGGAGATGTTGTACACCTTATGTCCTTGGTGATGGCTTGTCTAATGGGTATTTTATTTCCCTGCCTGTTCATTCCTCAGCTAATAACCCCTCATGCCATCAGAGTACAGACTCCTCCCCGGCACATCCCAGGCGTGGTAGAGGTGACATTATCTTATAAATCTAAACAGTTCTGCAAAGGAGCCCCAGGAAGGTTCATTTACACAGGTAGGTGAGAAAACGATTCCAAGAGAGGCTGGCTTCTGGTTTGCCTTTGCGCTAGTTCCCAGTATCTGCACTTTGTAATCGTCCTGATTTTTCTAGGTCTTTTTACTAGTGTGGAAAGAGTGAGCTGAGTGATAGATGTTGAATGGTGATGTGAAGGTTCACTTCTCAATTAGTGTTTTACTTAAGCAACTTCTGCATGATCTGGGAGATCACAGCAGCTCATTTCAGGAACACATCTCTGAAAATTTAACTCTGTTGGAACCATGCTGTAACCATCTTTTATCCACATGGTCAGATTAAAAAATAGACAGTTATTGGCTGTAACTACATTTTCTTGAAAAGATTCAAGAGAGTTGCCTAGTGATGTTGGAGAGCAATTCAAAGTATTTTAAAACTTCAAGAAGGTAAACATCATATATTAGTCAATATTTGTTAAATTTCTACTTTGTATCAACTGCTTTTTCTAAGAGAAGGGTATGGATGACACGTAAGACATGATCCCTTCCCCACTTGGAAGTTTAGAAACTTTTGAAGGAGACAACGGTATATTGCAAAGAACAACTGGTGAATTCATAAATTTGAAATGTTTGGTAATTCCGATGAATGGAATATGAGTTTCAGGAAGAGAGGGCTTAGTGTGGACAAGAGTAATGGGGTGAGGTGCCAAGGAAGAGATGGAAATTGAAGACCATATTTACGGACAGGGAAAATTTGGATGGGCAAAGAGAGAAAGGGAGAATGTTCTCACTATGGGAATCCCATAGGCAAAGGCCACAGGGTGAGGTGAGCACATTCCTGCAGGACCAAAAGCTTGTCTGACAGCTGTGGCAATGCATTTTGTATTTAAACTAGAACTTACCCTACATGTGCTAGGCATGTGTATTAGTCCGTTTTCATGCTGCTGATAAAGACATACCCGAGACTGGGTAATTTTTAAAGAAAAAGAGTTTCAATGGACTCATAGTTCCAAGTGGCTGGGGAGGCCTCATATTCATGGCAGAAGGCGAAAGGCACATCTTACATGGTGACAGACGAGAGAATGAGAACCAAGTGAAGGGGAACCCACTATAAAATCATCAGATCTCGTGAGACTTACTCACTACCATGAGAACAGTATAGGAGAAACTGCCCTCATGATTCAACTATCTCCCACCAGGTCCCTCCCACAACACATGGGAATTATGGGAGCTACAATTCAAGATGAGATTTGGGTGGGGACACAGCCAAACCATATCAGCATGGGAGGGAAAGAAAGCATAAAACAGCTTAAAAACCTTATGTAGTACATACAGTAGTCAAATTCATAGAGATGGAAAGTCTAATGGTGGGTACCAAGGGTTAAGGGAGGAGAAATTGGGGATTCATTTAATGGGTCCAGAGATTCAGTTTTGCAAGACAAAAAGAGTTCTGGATATGGATGGTGATGATGGTTGTACAACAATGTGAACTACTTAGCCCAAATGAGCTGCACACTTAAAAATGATTAAGATGGTAAATTGTATGTTATGAGTATTTTACCACATTTTTTTAAAGTTAAAAAAAAAAGGAGCCTGGTAAGGGAGTTTAGACTTGACTTGTCAGAAAATAAGAAGGCATTGAGGGTTTCTGTGCAACGAAGAGTAACTCAAAGGTATTGTCTTCAAAAAAAGAAATGGTGTTAATATAAAGACTGAGTTAACTGAGGAACAACCAGAAGCAGGAAGATCAATGAGGTATTATACTTTGACAGAGAAAATAAAGAGTATAGAGAAAGAAATATATAAACCAAGAAAATATAGCAGGCATATTATAAATTTTTAATAATATTATTTTATAGATAGTGTAGTCTCTCATTTGCGCTCTGATTCCTACTCTTGTTAAAGTGTCAATGTCTGGCTAGCTATCAATTAGCAGTAGATGGAAAGAGGTAATTTTTGGGTCTATTTATTCAAAATTTAGCCTTTGAATTTTCTGTCCTGAGATAAGCACATCTCAGGTGTTATTTTCTGTGGTTCTATGGGAGATTCTATTGCAGTCACAATAAAAAAGTTACTGTTCCAGCTCCAAAGGGATATAGTTCATTCATTCATTCAAACTAGTATTTATGACCTGCCTGCCATGGGCTGGCACAGCTCTAAGCTCACGGGTATAGAAGGGAGGAAGGTAAAGTCCCCCAACTTCATAAAGCTTGTATTATAGAGGGGAAGACAGACAAGAGAGAAAATAAGTGATATAATTTCAGATAGTGAGAAGTAAGGGAAGGAGAGTGAGGGAGGGTTGGGCAGGCTGGTTAGGGAGGCCTCTCTGAAGAGGGGACATGGAGCGAAGACCTGAATCCCAGGATGGCGCCAGCTGTGGAGATCCATCCCCTCTTCTCTCCTTCTTTCTCCATCCTCCTCTCCTCTCCATCCACATTCCCTCCTCCATCGCAGGAGCTCCCTTGGGCTGGGTTTTCTGTTTGGTTCACTGGTGTTCACTGGAGCAGTGCCTGGCAGTCCATGAATCTGGGGGTGGGGGAGGTGGTTGTCCCAGGTAGAGGGTACAGCAAGATTACAAGTGGGAGGGAGCCTGGTGCTGTTGGGGAAGAGCAAGAATGCCAGTATGGCTGGAGTGGAGTCAGTGGGGAAGAGAGTGATGGGAGATGAGGTTGGAAAGTCAGGCAGGGCAAGGACTTTGGATGGGAAGACGTGGAAGATGTTGAGCAGAGGAGCAACCAGCATCTAGACAGGATTTAAAGCCACAGGACCAGAGGAGATCACCATGATATGGTGGAGAAGTCCAAATATGGTGCCTTGGGAACACCAGCATGCAGGATTAAAGATGACAGGAGGAACCTGGGAAGGATCCTGAGAAGGAGTGGTCAGGGTAAGAAGAAGCCAGAAGCGTGTGCTGTCCCTGAGGTCAGTTGGATAGCGGGTCTTGTTCCAGGACACTGTTTACATGTAGAGCTTCTGGTATCTCTGTTGTTTCAAAGACACCCCTGGATGTGGGTGATGGAGCTGGCCTATAAGGAGATGAGTAGGTATCATAACAAACACATTGCAGCCAATCCTGAACTCTCTATTGAAGTAAAGAACAATCTCAATCAGTAGCGCAATTGATGTAGACATTTGGAACCAGGTGTTGTGTACGTGTGTGTGCATGTGTAAAAGAGGTCCTCACCCTTGGCCACACTTTAAATTATCAGTGCCTAGGTCAAACCCCAGACCAATTAGATATGGATTTCTGAAGGTAGAAGTGTCACCCATTTATTTACTCAACAAACACGTGCTCTAAACACACAAAATCAATAATATCAGTACACCTCTATCAGCTTACAGTTCTAGAATGGGAGATGACAGAAGTTAAAAAAAAAAAAAAGGGAGATGGCTACAGTTACATTACAATAACTAGATTCAGCCCCTAAAATAAAAAAGGGTTATAGGGGCACTATGCAGGGAGTGACTAGCTTTGGGGAATCAGGGAAGGCTTCCCAGAGGAGGTAGCAATAGCTGACATTTTTGAAGCGAAATAGGAATTTGCCAGACAGAATGAGGAGGCTGTGGTTGACAGATCTTGGAAACACAGTACCTAGCAAAAGGGGAGCCTATACACCTGTGAAAATAACAGATGTTATGTTACATGTAAATTCAAATAATTTTAGAGATTAAGGGAATATGAAGATTAACTAGTCAAAGTCCTCCTTTTCCAGAAGAGAAAACTGAAACCTAAGCAGAAGTGATTTGCTAGTAATTGCCTGTTGAATTAAAGATGGCATTAGAACAAAGATGCAGGCCTCTGGCCATCCTGCCTGGTGTCTTTCTGATGCTCCTTTAGCAAGTCGTAAAATATCTCTGTTTTCTTCATGTGCTGAGACATTAACGACTTTTGCATGACGTGTGTATTTATTGAGCAGTGCACTCTGTGCTCAACATTGAGCTCTATGCTCAGGCTATTGGAGACAAGTCAAACCAGTGTCTCCCACCTTCCTGACATTACAATGCACTGACATAAACACTAACTGCTCATGCTCTGGAATTAGATACCTGGACTCATAGTGTGGCTTGCCTTCTGAATTGTTCTTGAATCTTGGGGAAGTGACTTAACCTCCTTTTCCCCCATCTATAAAATGGGCTACCTACAGAGCTGAGGACTAAATGATACAGTGCCTGGCAACTGTGGTGGGCTGGCAAAGGTTTAACAACTGGCTCTTCAGGAAGAAGCAGATTTTCTTTTTTAAATCATGGGTTTATACCATTTACTGATTTCCACGGTCAAATACTCTCACCATGGCAGATTTCAAGCTACCACTCAAGTAGCTCACAACGTTCCTGAAAACTTCACCACCTGCCTTCACAAGCTGGTACAGCCAGGTCTCTTCATGGAAAGCACCTGGGATAGAGAGTGGATAGAATGGCCCATATCTTATTAGTCAAAAAGTGGTTTATTATTTATATTATTCTTATTATTACTGAAATGGGAAAAGTCCCCTTGTTCCCCTCGCAGGGCATGCGACGGGGCTGTGGCTCGCTTCTTCAGTGCCTCACTGTTCAGACCTCTAGGGGAGCATGCAGACGGGCAGGCTGTGGGGCTCTGACCCCATAGCAGTGTCTAGGGGTAAATTTTACAGCTGAAGCCCCAGTGGGTGTGTGTTACAGGTGCTCTTTTAGTTTAGCCTTCCGTAGGCGGCTTGTGTTACTCAGCTCAATTAGACCCCTGCCTTATCACAAGGACAGAGGGCTTTCATATTCCAGGGTTCTTGCTTTGGTGTACCAGAAGAATTGGATCACACCTGGGCTTGGAGAATGAGTGCAAGGTTTTATCGAGAGGAGGTAGTTCTCAGCAGATAAGGGAGCCAGAAGGGAGATGGTTTTCCCCGGGCCTCTCGGCAGCCCAGGTTCTCCTCCAACTGCCCCAGCCACATTCTGTGTCGTTCTGCCGGTCAGTGGCCCGCCGGTGCCTGTCGGTGCGTTCCTCTGGATGTCCAGCCACCCAGGTGTTCCTCCGCTGATGTGTGTCTGCCTTCCAGGGTCTCGGGGTTTTTATAGGCACAGGATGGGGGCATGACAGGCCAGGGTGGTCTTGGGAAATGCAACATTTGGGCAGGTAAACAAAAATGCCTGTCCTAACTTAGGTCCATGGGCACAGGCCAAGGGGTGGAGCCCTAGCCAGGGACCAGGCCTTCCTCTACCCAGCACTTCCCTTCCCCACTTCCATATCATTTAAAGGTACCACGCCCTTCCCTTCCCAGCACTTCTGTGTCATTACCATTAGCCTTATCAGTATGGAGACTGACTTAAACAAGGAATTGCAAACCTGATGAGGACTAAAAGGAGTTGTTTAGGATGCTGGGAACATATGCCAGGGGAATTGAACCTCCTTAAACTGAGTTGATGGGGAGGATTTAGAATAGACAAAACAGTATGTGCAAAGACCCTGGGGTAGACAAGAACATGGGATATATTTTATGAACAGAGCAGAAGGAATGAGTTTAAGAGAGGCTGTGTTCAAGCTGCAAAGGTGGGCAGGGGCCAGGTCACATTAAGGCTTGTTTTTTTTCAGCTCTTCCTCAAGCGCCATGGGAAGCTTTGGGAATATTGCCACCATCAGATTTGCCTTTTAAAAGATCATTCTGGCTACAATGCAGAGGATGGCTTGGAAGCCAGGTTGGATGCAGGGAGGTCACTTGGAGGCCAGTGGGGTGGCCCAGGCCAGAAATGATGGTAGCTTGGAGCAGAGTGCTGGTGGTGGGGACAGGCAGAAGTGGATAAAATTTAGGAGGTAACATTGACACAACTTGATGATTGATTGGATGGGGTGAAGGTTGGGGAGGGGAAGGAGGGGACGACACTCATGTTTCAGAGTTGAAAAATTGGGTGGGTATAGTTTAGAAAGTGATTTTTTTTTAAGATATAACGTGCTAAGGGAGTTCAGAGGAAGGACAAAATACTTCCAGCTGGTGGAGAGGTGGGAAGATTTAATATTGTAAAGATGTCGATTAATGAATACATTTAACACAGTGCCAATCAAAATAGCAACAAAATGTTTGGGAAAACTTTACAAAAGTTCACCTGGGAAGGAAAGGTGCTAAAAGAGGATTTTGAAAAATGAGAGGCCCTTGCCCTGCCAGACATTAAAACCTATTTTAAGTTTCAATAATTAAAAGAATATGGGGCTTTGTAGGAACATATAGAAATGTCATGCAACAGAAGAGAACATTTAAAAAACAAACACTTTGCACACATTAAGGGTATAAATACTTAGGTATTAGTAGGTGAGGGAAGCCAGGTCAGGTCAACGCAGAAAAGATGGAATGCTTAACAAATGTGTTGGGCCAACTAGTTAGGCATTAAAAGAAAAAGTTAGATTTTAAATTTCATAGCATATAAACTAAACTGTATTCAAATTAAATATTTTTATTAAAAATGTAGACATTTCAGAAGATTACAGGTTTAAAGAATAATTATCATTTTGAGACTTGTGAACATTGAGGCCAAAGACAGGCACCATCAAGCAAAAGATGTGATTACGTAAAAGGAAAATGTTTGTGTGTCAATATGCCAGGCATTAAAGGGAAAAGGACAAACTGAGACCACATATTTGCTCTACGTGGCCTATTATCTTAAGTATAAAAAGACTTATTCCTTTATTCAGCAAAAATTTATTTTGTGCCTACTGTTTGTTAACTGCTATGTTATACATTGTGGAAAAAGAGGAGAACGTTAGGTATCTTAGAAATTGAAGAGGAAAAGACAAATATCCAAATAGAAAGCTAGCAATGAACATCAAGAGTTAAATTCAGGAAGGAAGACTAGTAAACAAAGAAACCTATTATAATAAAAAGTCCCAACTGCACTAATAAATAAATGCAAATTAAGGCAACAAGATCACCTTTTTTTCCCTATCAAGTTGACAGAGATTTTCTTTTAAACAAATGAAAATACTCAGGTTGGCAAGATTCAAAGACAATGGAGACTTTCTAAGATACTACTGCAGGATACTCTAGACAGGATTTAAAGCCATAGGACCAGATGAGATCGCCATGAAAGAGTGGAGATATGGCACCTTGGGAACACCAGCATGCAGGATTAAAGTTGACAGAAGGAACCTGGGAAGGAGTCTGAGAAGGAGTGGTCAGGGTAGGAGGAAACCAGGAGAGTGGGCTGTCCCTGAAGTCAGTTGGAGAGTGGGTCTTTTTCCAGGACACTTTCTGCATGTAGAGCTTCTGGTATCTCTAGTGTTTCAAAGACACCCCTGGACATGGGTGATGGAGCTATAAGGAGATGGGTAGGTGTCATAACTATCTAAGATACTACTGCAGGAATGTAAATTTGATAAGAGAACACCTGAAGATGTATGTGCCCTTTGACCCAGCAATTCTACTTCTAGAAATGTCTGCCTAGGAAATAATTGAGTTTGCTGGAAGACCGTTCATGGGAGTTTATTATAGTGAAAAATTGAAAATATCCTCATTGTACATTAGGGGATTCATTAAACAAATAATGGAACATCTTCTACACTTTTTTAGAGACATTAAAAATAATGCCATGGATGGATATTTATTTACATGAAAGGCATCTGTGATATGGGTTTTAAAGGAGCTTTAAAATAGTCTGCATGATATGACCCAATGTTTAGATATATGAAAAATGAGTAGTTTTACAAACAACCCTAGTAGGGTACAGAATCCTGCATGCCAAGGTATTAACAATGGTGGTTTCTCAGTGTTGTTGTTATTTAAATTTTTTTCATGTTGCTTACTTGTATCTAATAAAATTAAATAATTTAAAATTTAAAATTTAAAGAATAAAGTATGGCACAATATAGCATCACACGTTTAAATACTGAAACAGTGCACATTAGTAAACTTGATTTTTCAGGTACAAAGTATTTCCAGCCTGATAGTTGGTGGTGCTTCTTCCAGAAACTGCCTTTGAGAAGGAAGGGCCTTCGGGGGCAGTCGGAGTGAGGAGGGGAGGGACTCAGGAGTTTGTTCATTCACAAATAAAGAAGAAATGCTATCAAGGATGGCTGGATCATCCTTGTTCATTCACAAATAAAGAAGAAATGCTATCAAGGATAGCATCATCCAAAATTACAAATGCTATCAAGGATGGCTCAGGAGTCTGGCCACTTTCTAGAAAAACTTCCACCCCGAGGTTACTGAGCGAAGTACCACTTGGGTTGGTGGAGACAGGAAGCTGATGTCATCCATGGAGGGTTCTAGAGCCCACAGGAAATAGGTTGGTGGCCTCCTGTCTTTCCCATTGAATTGGCAGCTACTGACATGAAAAGCCAATTTCGTCTTCATCCACTATCAGTGGCTTCCACAGGCACCTGCTGATGGGCTGTTCCACCTCAGAGCTGAGTCCTCACTCTGGTCACCTGGAGAGCCATGGCCTCTTCCCTAGGAGGAGAAAGACAAAGCCCTCCTGTCTTTCCAGCCACCCTGAAGCACTGACCCACGCACTCTGGACGCCTGGAGTGCTTCACTGCAGGACAGTGCTCCTAGGCTGCTATAGGCCTAGACAAACCACTCACCTCCAATGGCAAGGTGGACAAAAAGTCATTCTGGTTCTGGAGGAAAAGGCAAAACTTGAAACCTAGAGGGTTTTAAAAGGTGCAGAGTGAGTGCTGTGAGCAGGACGGGTCCCGAGAGGAGGACCAGCCGGAAGCACTGCCTTTGGGGGCTGGCCGTGTGGTCCACTGCTTGTGTGTACTTTCATCCGGTCACTGACCTCTCTGAGCCTCATTTCCATCATCTGTAAAGCTCTGGTGCCAATTATGCTGTTACCCAAAGGTGTTTCCCTAATTTGGCTGATCATAAGAATTATGCTTGGCACCATTCCAGACAATGCCAAATCATGCTCTTCGGACAGGGTCTGGGAATCTGTATTTTAAACAAAGAAATGAGTTTGAGAAACCTGAGTTCTGCTCCTGAGGCTGTTGGAGAGGCTTTCTGGCCTATAAAGCACTCCACCCGTGGGAGGGTTCTTACGAGACTGGGTCCGTTCACCAGGAACACAATAGTAGTGTTTACTCTTATGTAGAACTTTCTAGAAGGAGAGTCCTGCGGGAGACTCCAGAGAACCTTTCCTCCTTCCACCCCTGTCCCACTGCACACACTCTGTGGTCCATAGTCCAACTGTTGACATTTTCTGTATCCAAGGATGCACCACCATGACAGAGCCAAGCCCATTATTAGGTGTACCTGGTTAATTAGCCAGACCCCCATGGTTGCCACTGCCAACCACAGCACAAACAACATCGGGGCTCTGAAAAATAACACATTTTCTTTGCACATGTGACTTTGCAGGTCAATTTTCCACCAACCGTGGTTTGCTAACGTGCAACTTGCTTCTGCGCAATTGAGAGAGCCACGTGAGAACAGGGCTCATTAGGGAAAGTCCAGTTGCCTCTTACTGGTTTGAGACCTGGAGGAGGTATGCTAGCCTAGGCGGAGAGGAGAGGAGAAGAGATCCTCTGTCTTCCGCGCAGACTTCCAGAGAGAACTGGCAATGCAGAAAAATAATCCTAGTAGGGGCACCCAACAGAACCACAGTGACTGGTTGTTCAGGGACTTCTTGGCTGTCTTGACTTCAGGTGGCAGTGAGTATGCAGGGAGAGGATATCAGAGCATGGTATTTAGGGGTGGAATTGTCATTGTCTCTAATTGTAAAATCTGCACCAACCACAGAATCCAGGGCAAAACACAGTGTGTGAGGACATGGGGGTAAATGAGCACAGCTTTTCACTATTGTTCCTGTGGTTCTTTGCAGAACCTGGACTACACATTAGACAGCTGGTTAAGAAGTCTTTTATAAGTTCTATCATAAGACAGAATAACAAGCAAAAATGACAGCAGTTCAGTAATCACATCTGTCATCTATTAAGCACGTAAGGCAAGGCTCTGTCCTACAGGCTCCGAGTATCACCACCTTTATCTGTGATGACAGTTCTATGAGGATCTCAACTTCATAGCTGAGATCCTGCTACTTAGAGAAATTAAGTCACTTGCCTAAGGTCACCAAGGTATGATGAATCCTAGATGTCTTATTCCAAAGTTCTGCTCTTAACACCTAACCTGTACTACTTCCCAGTACTGTACAGTTTATTACAAAACACGATACCAAGGCCATCTGTTTGGTCTTGTCTTGTTTTACTTGGCAGATGATGCCTTGGCTCTTGGGCTGTTACTCTGGAGAGGTGCACAGGAAATAGGCCGTGGCTGGTGAGCATGAAGGGGGTCTCAGAAGACGCCTTACCTGGGCCCTGGTTTTCAGATTGCAATATGGGAATATTTCTTGCTACTCTCCTGAGAGGGTCTGAGAATGTGTATTTTATTTTATTTTTTATTTTTATATTTTAAGTTTTATTTTACTTTAAGTTCTGGGATACACGTGCAGGACGTGCAGATTTGTTACATAGGTATACATGTGCCATGATGGTTTGCAGCACAGATCGACCCATCACCTAGCTATTAAGCCCTGCATGCATTAGCTATTTGTCCTGATGCTCTTCCTCTCCCTGCCCCCAACCCACCGACAGTGTGTGTTGTTCCCCTCCCTGTGTCCATGTGTTCTCATTGTTCAGCTCCCACTTATGAGTGAGAACATGCGGTGTTTGGTTTTGTGTTCCCATGTTAGTTCGCTGAGCATAATGGCTTCCAGCTTCATCCATGTCCCTGCAAATATGACATGCTCTCATTCCTTTTTATGGCTGCATAGTATTCCACAGTGTATATATACCACATTTTTATTATCCAGTCTATCATTGATGGGTATTTGGGTTGGTTCCAAGTCTTTGCTTTTGTGAACATGCTTCAACAAACATACGCGTGCATGTATCTTTATAATAGAATGATTTATATTCCTTTGGGTATATACCTAGTCATGGAATTCCTAAGTCAAATGGCAGTTCTGGTTCTAGATCCTTGAAGAATCACCACACTGTCTTCCACAGTGGTTGAACTAATTTAGGGAATGTATATTTTAAACAAAGAAATGAGTTTGTGAGGCCTAAGTTCTGCTTATGAGGCTGTTGCAGAGACTTTTTGGCTTATAAAGCACTCTACCCTTGGGAAGGTTCTTATGAGACTGGGTCCTTTCACTGTGAACACAATAGTAATGCTTGCTCTTAGGTGGAACTTTCTAGAAGACTCAAAAAGCAGGAGTTATGAAGGGGAGGCTCCAGTCAGTATGATGTGCTACACTCAGAGCCTGTGAAGTTCCTTGAATTCTTTAGAAATCATAGAAATTATCCTCTCTACAAATAACTGAAGTTGCAGGAGGCAAAGAAATATGAACTCCACATTTTTATTAAGCTTGAGAGAACCTGGCGCTGGGGCAGTCTGTTGTATAGAAGAGAGCTGATGACAGAGTGAAGAGGCAGGGATTTGCATTCCAACTTTCAGGAAAAGCAACTTTTCTTTGTGCCATTTTTCTAACCTAAAAATGAGGATATACTTACCCCATTAGAAAGATAAAATTACATACATATGCAAAGGTATTTATGTATATAAATATAAAAGCACAAGCACAATTCACTGTTGTAAGCATCTGGTGGGAGGATACATGCAGCTCTGGGGAGCGTCCTCCCTCTTTGCTGTTGGACCAGCACAGGGCTTCTTTGTCTGTCTTCTGGAAAATGTGGATTCATCTTGAAAGACCTACCACATCATGCCCTGAATATCTCGATCTAGATTAGAAATCAGGTTTTTGCAGGAGACAGAGAAGGCCAAGGGAGCCCAAGAACATGGCCTTTGCAGGAGAGGGACAGGGGGTCACAAGGAAGCAGGTATTAAAAGGTAGAAGCCAGGCACCATGGTTCCCCCCTGAAATTCCAGTACTTTGGGAGGCTGAGGCCAGAGGATCACTTGAGGCCAGGAGTTTGAGACCAACCCAGGCAAGATCCCATCTCCAAAAAAAAAAAAAAAAAAAAAAAGTTAGCCAGGCTGGTGGGGCATGGGCTTGTAGTCCCAGCTCTTGGGAGCCCAAGGTGGGAGAAACGCTTGAGCCCAGGAGATCGAGGCTGCAGTGAGCTATGATTGCACTACTGTACTCCAGCCTGGGCGACAGAGGGAAACCTTGTTTCTTAAATAAATAAATAAATAATTTTTTAAAAGAACCCAGAAGTTCTTGTAAGAAAAAAATAAATAAATAAAAAATAAAAGGTGGACCAAAGGAGCAGAAGAGATTGACTGTGTCCCAGCTGGCCCAGGTACATGCAGAGTAGGTGCTTGACAAGGTGTGCAAGAGAACTTAGAGGTCTACATAGACAACCTGCTAGTTGAGATGCACCAAGAAACCAGATAATTCATGCTAACTAACCCCCTCTCCCAGAATACTTCTTATCTTCTACTTTGGCAAAAAAACAATTTTTTTTTTCTGTTCATTATTTGGGAGAAAGTATTCATCGACAGGATTAAGGCAAGAACAGGCAGCAGCTGGGAGGAAAAATCAGAGGCCGAGGTTTTTCCACACACCCCCAAATCATACCCTGAACAGCCTCCTCCCCAAGGCTGTGTGTGAATTGTGGGGCCTGCCTTCATAAAGCTGTGCTGCACAGATGTGCAAACTGGATTTCAAATGTTAATAGCTCATCCACTTCGCATTTTTTTTCCCCATATAGCGTTATCCTGGAAAAAAAAATTCCCATTGAAGAAATGAATCTGATTTTTAGTTAAAAATACCCAATTCAGACATCAGAAACTGGCCCAAGTACAACTATTCCTTGTTCAAACTGGAGACAGGTTGAGTCAATAGCCCCCCTGGTAGCCTGCACTTTTACTGAAGTTGTCTCCACTCCCACCTCTTGTGAAATTCAGATACATCATTCAGCTGAGTCTGAGAAATGATGTCTCCGTTGTTAGCCCCAGAATAGGGGGCTGCTGTTTCACTAGAGACATCCCAGCCCCTTAATGGATTGGCACACTCGGCTATAATATTCTAAATACACATTACAGAGAGCAAGAGTGTATTTATAACTGCTCCATTGTGGCATTTAGATTTACCCTTGAAATTTATCTTTAATTTTTACAGTTGTCTCCTTAACCATGTATATTATTCCCTTCTTCAAACAATCTGTCTTGCTGCTGCAGTTTTTCTGGAAACCAAAGTGTAATTAAATATTAAATTAATATTTCATTTAAAATTAAATATCAGAGGCTTCAGTCTAATCTTTCACTTGTGCACTGTTGGTTCTCTCCTCGTATTCTTGTTCCTGTGTCCACAAAGGCAGGTACCGCCTCTTAATAATGTGTTCCTATATTATCTTTGTTCCTTTTTGTTTTTAAATTGGTGACACTGAACTTTTGCTACATTAAAACAAATGGATGTGGGGAGAGATTTCAATGTAGCCAAGGTTAAAGACAACTTAATTCAACAGCCTTGACTTCAGCTCCACCCTCTACTCCTCAGAGAAGAAAGCCACTGCTCCAAATCAGTGATAGCCTTAGAATCATAAAATGTAAGAGCTTGAAAGGGGTCTTAGAAGCCATTTACCCCAATCCTTTGTCTTCACAGAGAAATAAACCAAAGCCTCACCTGGCCAAGTGACCTGATGAAGGTTGTGTCATTTGTTAGTGTTGGGAACTAAGGCAGCTCCCAAGCTAGGACCAGCTTTATCCCATCACACCATCATATGCAATGAAAAACTTAGCATTTAAGTGTGAATTTAACGTAGCCTTTGCATGTTGGACACATGAGGAATAGGGCAGAAGGGAGACAAATAGACAAGGAAATTGGAAGGGGAAGGACGAGGGAGAGAGAAGGGAACCCAAATCCTAGCACATGGAAGACAGACTTTGTGGGAATGAACATGTGGGAAGAAAGTACTATGTAAGGAAAGAGGACAGAGACGTCCTAAAGTGGCACGAGGGCAGGAGCTCGTCTGTGTTATCTAAATTCCTCCCAAAGCCAGATTGTGTTTCATGCCTTCCTACGCTGTCAACAGAGAGTAATTCTCCTTGGCCAAAGCCACGTGGCAGGTATTGTTAAAGCATGTTTTCTCTTCCATTGCCAGTCAGTGTCTGTCTTCTGGTCTTGTGTTTATATGGCAGTCACATTATATAGATTTAAGGGTTTGTTGTTGTTGTTGTTGTTGTTGTTGTTGTTGTTTGCTTTCTTACAATGCAAAGAAAACCTTTCAGTGGTTTTCCTTATTCTTGAAGAAAGTTGGAATTTAGAGTTAGGACTGTAGTGATCCTCTAGTTCTGTGGGCTGTCACCCTTAGGAGACCATGGGCTGTGTGCACATCTGATGAAGTGAAGCTCCCTTTCTGCAGATAATGCACAGATGCACAAACACATGGCTAGGCTTAGAATTTCTACTTTTATTGGCCTCCTGATGACCATTTACAGATTCCATGGTAATCCTAGGATCCAAGGGAAGACTCACTGGTGAGTAAAGCTGCAACCGAGGCCAGCAGTGTGATCCGCCAACATCCCCAGAGTGGCAGCCAATTGAGAACTCAGATCTTGCCTCACTCATCATCATCTTCTCTCACATTTTTTTTAAAAAAAGCAACCAGGCCTTGATGTTGCCATCTTTGCAATCAGTGCTCCTGCTGGTCAAGAGCATAAATGACCTCCAGCCTGCAGTGTCAAGGCTGTAATTGTTAAGGGCTGAACAGGGTTCTAACAAAGAGCCCCCTTTCCATGTTAGCCAGTGTCCCCTTCATTTTTGTGAAACAGAAGTAGAAGTATAAGATGGGGTAAGCATTATCTGCTCCCTGTGCCTCCTCTTAAGGAAAGAAAATTAAAACCATATAGAATTTTATATCGCACTAATCCTTTGGGAAAATTAATATTGAGCACCAGCCAGCTTTTTTTTTTTTAAAGAGTGGTTCCCAGTAGATATTTTTAGTTAAATACTATTTACTTTAAAAAAGAAACCATTCACATATTGCTTATAGTTTATATTTATTTATTGGGTCCAAGATATATGTAAGTAATCTCATATATTATACCCGCAATCAAAATGAGAAATGGCACATGAGATCCAGGCTCTCAAGAGAAATATTATGAAATCTCAAGGTATTGATGAAAGTTTTTCAAGGCTGATCCAAATGGGATTTAGATTCTGTGGCAGTTGAAATGTGTATTATTAAACTCCTTAAGCAAACCCGAATGACTCCCAGTGGAGGATTAAGACATTCTATGTATAGCAAAGACGAAATTCTCATGTCTGAGTTTTCTCTCTTGAATTCCCTCTTGATTAGCTTCTGTAATATTTAACTTCATGCCATGCCATAATTATTTAATAAAAGGTAAATATAAATTATATTTCAGTGGGGCTATGACCTTTTACCTTAATGTTATATTACTAAAGAAAGACATAGATAAATAGAGCCTATAGATTGAAGCATATTTTTAATTTACTCTGTTTTTGCCTTGCCAGCACTTCTCTGTATCCCTGTCAGCCAAAAGGTTGGCAGAACTTCACAGCATCCCCGCACTCCATGTGGTAGGCAAGGTTGTAAATTAACACTGATGATGGCAGTTAATGGCCTGGTTGGCCCTTGGAGACAGTCTTGGTGCTGGTCTTGGGCACCTCATTAGCTAATTGAGCTTTGCTTGGCTCATACCAGGACTGAAAAGCCAGAGAACGCCCAGGGAAGTAGGGAGGGGGAGGGAGGAAGTTGGGATTCAAGGTGAAGCTGAATCTAAGAGACGCAAAAGCAACTGGTCAGTTGGGAAGTCAGTCTGGAACCAAAGAGTTGTCAAACCCGGCCATGTGTTAAAGGCTGAGGTCCCTCTTATGGTTTAGTGTTGGCTAAACAGAGCTGGAGTACTTTCAGCTTCATGCTTTCTACTTCCAATGTGCACTTGATTAAATGAAATTCTGTCGGTGTGTATGTGTGAGTGTGATTTTCCCTGTCTGTGTAGGTAACTGTGTTTTACTGTCCTCTCTCTCACTTGGATGCACACGAGATGTATCCCATAGTTTATGCCTATGAAGTCTGGCAGGGACCTGCCAAAAAACAACATAAAAATAGACAATTCTGCCTTATCTACTTATTCAGTGTAAAACATGAATTGCCAGCCCAGTGTAGTAAAGATACTCTGCCATGTCTAATTTGGGAGCTGGGGAGGGGAGGGCAGGCAAGAGAAACTAGACATGACCCTGTATCCTAGTGGTTTGCAATCTGGTTGGGAGAACAATGGGTGCAAATGCGTGATAAATTATATTTTAAAAAAACTCATCTCCATCCCACCTCTGTGCACTGATTAGAGCCCAGCTCCAGAAAATTCCTCTCTGAGCAGCAGGAAGGACTAAGGGATAAGGAAGGTG
This sequence comes from Homo sapiens, assembly GCF_000001405.40. Classification (NCBI taxonomy): domain Eukaryota; kingdom Metazoa; phylum Chordata; class Mammalia; order Primates; family Hominidae; genus Homo; species Homo sapiens. The sequence continues at coordinate 25,870,504 of NC_000008.11, read as the reverse complement.
GTGCTACCTGGCTGGACCCCCAAAAATGCTCTTGGGAGAGGCAGAGCACTTGCCAGGGTGGGGGACAGCCATGCAGATGGAAAGGGACAAAGGCAGAAATGGAGTCGGGGAGGGGTTATATTTTCTGCCTTATGGGTTATCTGTTTAGTTTGTATTTAGCACGTTGTGAGTGTACCCATATCAATAATTTTCCTGTTTTCTCTACGAAAATCTGCACTTTGGCTAACAAAATGGTGCATATTTCTAAAAAAAAAAAAAATTAGGCAATGATGAATTTTGAGAATTTCATCATCAAGTCTGTTTGCCCTGCAGCACCAGGCAGCTGTTTGTGTTTGCTAGTTGATTCCGCATGGGGTCTCCTTCTGGTCTCAGTGACAAAGTCAGGCAACACAGGCAGGACTTCATTCATGCTTTTGCATCTGTAGCTCTTGAAGCTGAGGAGGATGCCCATCATGCTCTTGCATCTGTAGCTCTTGAAGCTGAGGAGGATGCCCAGAGGGGGATGGAAGGATCATCATCTCTGGTTCTGCAGCAGGAAAGGTTAAGAGCACAGGCTTTGGAGTTAGAGAAGCAGGACACAGATCCCACCTTTACCACTTGGGACTGCATTGAAAATGGGGATAAAACCCACATTGTAGGGTTACAATCAGAATCGAACGAGCTAATGTGCCTAAAAGGCTTAGCAGAGTGCCCTTAACATAGTAAGGCTTCAGTACGTCCTAATGGTGGTAATAATGATTTTCACTATTGCATATTACCACCACTAAAAATCACATTATTTAAGAAAAAGTCTTCCCAAATTGCTGACATTATAAAGCTAAGTGGAAGAAAAAAGTTTACAGAATAATTCTACTTAAACATACGGCTATTCTTACATGTGTTTCTAGGTAAGATGGCCTTGTGAGTGCAAGTGTTTAATCGGCCCCCACCCCCAAAATATATTAGAGGATACTTTCAGGAAAACATAAAAATAAAGGAAATCTGGTAATAATGCTTGAAGCTAGGCTAAAGTCATTAGTATCCCAGAAATTTTGCATCATTGTGCTGGCATGTGCACACAGGGTCGTACTGGTGGACATGCGAATTCCAGCTGGCCTCCTCATTCCCCCTTAGGAAAGAGCAGCAGGGCAAGGAAGTGATGGGGGAGACACCAACAACCACCCTGAGGCTCCCCTGTCTCCAACTTGAGGAGTGAGAACCAGTGGCACAAGCAGAAAGTTGATCTTGAATGGGAGAGTGTACTTAACTATTCTATATCCAGAGCAGTTGTCATTTATGTGTGAGAAAGACAAAAAGATACTCTCTTATTTCAGTGGCCCAGACAGAATTTAACTCTTATTCTTATTGATAGCACCTGACTGCAGGAGAATTGAATCAATGAAGAATGCAAGATGGGAAAAGTTGTGCTATTGCAGGATTGGTGGTTGGCCGAGAAAGCAGTTAAATATAGAGTGTCTAAAAAATTCTTGTTAATATGGTGATGAGACTTAGTGGAAACATGAAAATTAGTTTCTAAAAATATAGAACATAGAAAATCTAAGAATAGTAAATCAGCTTGAAATGATAAACTGCCAACAAAAATGTATAAGTGGAGAGAAAGAGGTGGGAAGATAGAAGGCAAGCAAAATTCCTTATATATGGAGCGACTCAACACCTCAAATAATTAGGAAAAATAAAATATTTTCAGAGAAGTCTAAAGACACTTCTGTAAATTAAAATAGTATGTACAGACCAGGAGCTGTGACTCATGCCTATAGTCCCAGCAATTTGGGAGGCTAAGGCGGGCGGATTGCTTGAGCTCAGGAGTTCAAGATCAGCCTGGGCAAGATGGTGAAAACCCATCTCTACCAAAAATACAAAAATTAGGCATGTGGTGCATGTCTGTAGCCCAAGTTAGTCAGGAGGCTGAGGCAGGAGGATTGCTTGAGCCCAGGAGGTGGAGGTTGCAGTGAGCTGTGATCGTGCACTGCACTCCAGCCTGGGTGGCAGAACCAGACTTTGTGTCCCTGTCTCAACAACAACAACAAAAAGTGTGTATATCTCTCAAATCACTAGAAAAGTATATATATTTAAAACTATTAGAAATGAGAATGTGGGAAGACAAATTTATAGAAGCAAAAATGGATGTGTTAAAGTGATCAAAAAGATAGATGAAATAAGACATTAAAGCATTGCCCATAAAATGCAGACAAAACTAATATGTATTAATTCACAAAAATGCAATAAATTCCAAAAGGCACATACTGTGCAGGACACCTTTTAAAATCCAGGGCAGTTGGCTACAATAAGCAATTAACAGTTTAGTACTCAATTACCTAGAAATTTTAAGATACTCTTCCTGGAGCTAAAGGAAGTCAAAATTATAAATAGGACTAATCAGAAAATTACAACAAAATTGTGAAATACAGTAAGTTGTGGCAAAGATAAGTACTTAATGTTACACAACGAAATAAAATCCAGATAGGTTAAATAATTTAAATGTCTACATATATTTGTGTACATTTCAGTGGGCAGAGGGGGAGGGGAACTCTAGATCGGTTAGAAATTTTAAACAAATACAATATAGATTCTATGCTAAAACATTAACAATCTTGATGAAATGGATGATTTTTTCTAGAAAAAATACAATGATATTGAGAAACAATGAATTCAAGGTTTCTGATTGGCAGTCAATCATTTGGATGATGGTACAATTCACAGAAAATCTCATGAGCTTGGGTATCTTGGGTAGGGGGAATCTATGGACCATCTAAGTGGAATTTTCTAGCCAACAGTTGGATATTTAAAGCTGAATCTCAGGCCAGGTATCTAGTCTAGAGATCAAGATTTATGACGATTAGCATGTAGCTGCATGTGGAAATCATGGAGAATTGATGAAGTTGCCCAGGGGAACGTACAGCAAAGCTGAGGACTGCCTGGCAACCATCTTGAGGAGCATCATTTACAAGACAGGCAGAGAAAGAACAGTCCGCAAAGTAGTCTGACATGGCCAAAGAGGTAGGAAGGAAGCCGGGCAGTGTAAGTTCAGGAAGCCAGTGGGTGGGAGGGTTTCTAGAAGTGGAGAATATGAGCGGTCTCAAATGTTAACTCGGGGTTAAGAATGGAAAAGTTCCTGTTGGCTTGGCTAAAATGCTATTGGTGACCTTAGTGTGAGCAATGTTAACTAGGGTTCTTTCAAGTGTTTAGCAAGAGCTACTGTCCATGCTATGTAAGATTTATAGAGCATAGGATAAAATAAAGAAAACTTCTCAATATAGTTTTCAAAGCTCATATGAAATAAAAATCATTAGTTGGACAGAGCCATGCACACAATCCTAGTTATTAATATGGACACATAAATTCCTGACAGCAATAACAATAACTGATACCTGCGTGCTCACCAAGTGCCAGGCACTGTTCTTAGTAACTTGATTTAATCCTTGTGCCAGTTGTGTTAAGGAAATGTTAATCTGGTATTAATGGTTGAATCTGGTATTAATGGTTATATCTGAATTTAGATATATACCAAGAAAATGATACATTACTTCCATGAATTAATGTTTAATTTTGAAATATTAGAAAATATAAAATATAGGCCAGGCGCGGTAGCTCATGTCTGTAATCCCAGCGCTTTGGGAGGCCGAGATGGGTGGATCACTTGAGGTCAGGAGTTCGTGACCAGCGTGGCCAATATGGTGAAACCCCATCTCTACTAAAAATACAAAAATTAGCCAGGCATGGTGGTGCATGCCTGTAATTCCAGCTACTAGGGAGGCTGAGACAGGAGAATCGCTTGAACCTGGGAGGCAGAGGTTGCAGTGAGCCAAGATCATGCCATTGCACTCCAGCCGGGGTGACACAGCAAGACTTTGTCTCAAAAAAAAAAAAAATATATATATATATATAATATAATATAAACATTATATTATATTATATAAAAATTATTATATATATAAATTATATAATACATAAAAATTACATATAATATATATTATATATTTTTATATTATATATGTCCTATATATTATATATATTATATATTTTTATATTATATATCCTATATATTATATATATATATATATTATATATATAAATAAAAAATCTGGCCAAAAGAGAAAATTCATGTGACTGTGATTTTCTAAAACTCCAAGAAGTCCTGATAACCCTTATTGAACCCTTATTGAACCATGATAAATAATATCTATCTCAAATAGCCAACACCATATTTGGTGGTATAATATGTCATTCCCATTCAGAGAAAAACAAGAATATCCAACTTTATTGTCATTTTGGGGCATTGTTTGGGAAGTTTTAGCCAATACAAGAATAGGATTAAGAGAACTAAATGGGATTAATGCATCTATCAAAAGGAGACAAAATGATCACTGTAAGTAGATGATATGAATGTACAGGCCTAAGTAATAGAAAAAAAATAATGATATCTGTCAGGGGTTTTGGCTACAAAATAACAGTTACTTTCAGTTAAGATTTTTTTTTTTTTGAGACGGAGTCTTGCTCTGTCACCCAGGCTGGGGTGCAGCGGCGTGATCTTGGCTCACTGCAAGCTCCACCTCCTGGGTTCACGCCATTCTCCTGCCTCAGCCTCCCGAGTAGCTGGGACTACAGGCACCCGCCACCACGCCCGGCTAATTTTTTGTATTTTCAGTAGAGATGGGGTTTCACCGTGTTAGCCAGGATAGTCTCGATCTCCTGACCTCATGATCTGCCCGCCTCAGCCTCCCAAAGTGCTGGGATTACAGGCATGAGTCACTGCGCCTGGCCTGGTTAAGATCTTTTATAGGCCAGGTGCAGTGGCTCAGGTCTGTAATCCCAGCACTCTGGGAGGCCAAGGCGGACGATTGCTTGAGCCTAGGAGTTTGAGACCAGCCTGGGCAACAGGGTGAAACCCTGTCTCAAAAGAAAAAAGAAAAAGATATTTTATATGCCAAGCACCGTGCTGAGGACATTATAGAAATAGTTTTGATTTTGACAGCCAACCTATAAAATGGATTTTAAACAGCTCACGTTCACATACATTGTGGAGCTGGAATTCAGACCCTAGATCTACTCAACTCTAAAGCTGATTGTCTTCATCTGTATGCCATAGACTTCCTGCACAGATGTGTAAAACACAGAAGTGTTTCTAGACTCTAATAAAACTCTTGGACAATATGATTAATGAATAGCCATATTCACAGTAAAAACAAAAAGTGAAATACCAAAAAATTAAAATGGTAAACAAAAAATTTAGCACCTATATGATGAGCAGCACAGTTTACTGAGGGATCTAAAGAAGAAGGTGGAGTGTTGCTATTGCAAAGCCATCCATTTTCTCTCTAGCTGTAGGTTTAATGCAACTGAAATTTTTTTTGAAATTTCCCTAAGGTTAAACTGGAAAGAATAAATGGATAAGAATAATTGAGAAGGCCGGGTGCGGTGGCTCACACCTGTAATCCCAGCACTTTGTGAGGCCGAGGCAGGCGGATCACGAGGTCAGGAGTTCGGGACCAACCTGATCAACATGGTGAAACCCTGCCTCTACTAAAAATGCAAAAAAAAATTTAGCCAGGCATGGTGGCGCGCGCCTGTAAGCCCAGCTACTCAAGAGGCTGAAGCAGGAGAATCGCTTGAACCCGGGCAGTGGAGGTTGCTGTGAGCTGAGATTGCACCACTGCACTCCAGCCTGGGTGACAGAGTGAGACTCTGTCTCAAAAAAAAAAAAAAAATAGTTGAGAAAATGTAGTTTTAAAAGATTGTGTGTTTCTGGAAGGACACTTACCCTATCAAATATTAAATATGTATTACAACCTCAATAGGGTGACTTTTACCCAGAATAGATCAATAAAACAGAATATATGTATAGAAACCATTCAATAAATTGTGAAATACAGTTAAGTTGTGGCAAAGGTAAATTCTTAATGTTACATTACAAAGTAAAATCCAGATAAGTTAAATAATAAACATTCATATATGTATACATAGGTGTGTACATATACATTTGTGTGTGTGTGTGTGTGTGTGTGTTTGTGTGTATCTACCAGTTCTTGGAATAGAGGTGGTTTTTCTATACATAAAATACTTAAGGTCAAATTGGGATGTGATATTGCAACATGATACCACAGTATTAAAAATCTCAACATATAAAGTATTTTTACAAGTGAAAGAAGAGTGCAGAAAGTATTAACACGCAGTTTATAAAAGAAGAAATTAACATCAGCAAATATAAGAAAAAATTCTTCAACCTCACTGGTGAGTAAAAAAATGTAAGTTAAAATGAGCACACGCATTGCTGGAGGGAGAATAAACTCATACATTCTCCTGAGGAGTGATTTGACCGTATGTCTGAAAGGCCTGAAATATAAATCATAATTTTTGGTCCAGTAATTCCAATTCTTAGAATTTTCCAATTGAAATAATTAAAGTTATGCACAAAGGATAATTATTGCTCGATATTTATAATAGTGAGAAATTAGGATCACATTAATTGCCTGATATTAGGAAGCCATTTAAATAAATTATAGAACATGTCATAGAAAAATATGCAGGAATTTAAAATAATGTTATAAAAGAATAGTTAATGATCTTGGGGAAGTTTATGATATATTGTTAAGTGGATGAAAAGTAGGTTATGTAACAGTGTGAACGGTATGTCTCTGAATAATTTTAAGTATGTGTATAGGTTTCAATCTGGAAAGACATATGCAAAAAATGTTAATCCAGCTCATGTCTTAAGTGGGTTTATGGTAATTTTTTACTTCTATATTTAATGTTTGTAATAGTTTTTTACAAGAGGCATTGTTATGATAGAATAATAGCAACATATATATAAAAAATAAGATTAAAGAGGAAATAGACATTACTGTGTTTATTGCTGCATAACAGCAGTGCAGGTGATTATTTCATTCTTTGTATCTTTTTCTTTAATCATGTATTAATTTTAAAACCATGACATTTAAACAAGAAACTTTTAAAGAATAAATGAAAGGGAAGAAGGAGAAAGAATAAAAGCAGCATGCAGAAAACTCTTTAGAATAGTGGAAATGCTAAAGTATGCCATTCATTAATTCACTCATTCACTCACTCGTTTTATAATTACTGACACTAAGTGCCTTCTATGTGCCAGGCCCTGTCTTAACGGGAACATAGTGGTGAAATAAAATTTGTAGTATTCGTGGGGTGGGGGGCTGATAGTTACCAGACGTGGGTGTAATTAAATATAATTGAAAATTGTGGAAGCGTATTATGCATAAAGTGGGTTTTATGAGAATAAGCTCATAGAAGGTTTATATATGTATAAATATACATAAGAGACTGGTTAAGAAAAATATTTAGAAGAATATTTCATAGATATTTAGAAGAATAGACAGTGCAGTCCTACTTAAGAAAGAGATAAGAGAAAGGAAAATAATATAAAAGTAGTTTATTATCTTCATAAGAAATTGAGATATGGTTGCTTAATTTTTTATTTGATAGCAGAGAAGTTTATGTATACTTAAAGCAGAAATGATAATTATAATCTGAAATTTTGAAATGTTATTCTAATAGGAAACTATAAAAGTACTATAAATTCCAAATTTATATGTGAATTAACCAATGTCGATAGCAAAAACCCTAACTGATTACATCCATTATGCATCCAGAACCTTCTTATTACCTGTGGAAGAATTAATTAGAAGGTTTGCTTTATAGCCAGGATACCAACTCAGAAAGAGGACTTTTCTCTTTCAGCATTAAATGAACCCACCATAGACTATGGCTTCCAGAGACTGCAGAAGGTCATCCCTAGGCATCCTGGAGATCCTGAGAGATTAGCTAAGGTAATGTGCTTTGGAAATTGACATGTGAAGCCATTTGTGTAGAATTTCAGGAAACTTAGACAAATGCAGGCATTTACATCCCATTAAAATTAATTAGGCCTTGAAATTTGGCTAAGCTTTAGATACGAGATGCACATAAAATATCTGCTATGAAATATATTATGGTCTTATTTATTAATCTCTGAGGAAATATGAACATTTGAGCTGATTAAACAGATACACGACAGGAGTATTCAGTTTAAAAAACATGGCCAACTTTATGAAAATAAATAACTGCATAATTGGTTAAAAGTATAAGCTTCCACTCCTTTGTATTTAAATGTTTCTATTTAACCATAATTGCAAGGACTCATTAATCCACAATTAGTATTAATTATTGAGGGCCTACTATGTACGTAGGTATCTAATGAGGAGAAAAATGCTTCTGTATAAAATTTCTATGAAATACATCACTTTCAAGTGAACTTCCTTATGAAAATTACTTTATGAATTTGGCCCATGTTGTTAGCTTTCTTTAAAAAGTACATCAATTTATTAGTTGTCATTCAGCTGATGAGAAACTATTAAATTTTCACATTTATATTTGCACTTTAAACACACAAATTATAAAATGCCATATTCTCTTTTGCATACTGTGAATAAAATTTATGCACCAGAGTTGCTTCTACATCACACCTTTATTTTCCTCCTGGAAAAATCCCTAGCCCCACCATTAAATTAGATGATATCTGGAAAGTAGGTTAATAGCAATTTAAAAGGCTGTGTAAAACAGGAGGTGGAAAAGGCAAAATGAGAGGAAAGGGATTCGTGATTACTAATTCTCTGTGGTTAAAGTGTACAGGGGGAAATATTATTGAAAGAATTCATCTTTATTAGAATAAAATTTTGCAGCAGACGTTGCCAAGATAATTTCAGTACTCTGGACAACTCCTTGGCAAGCAGCTAAACTCAAATCCATCAATCATTTTAAGAATATTTGGTTAATTAGAGAACCAGATTTTTAAAACAGAATGGGCTGAAAGTAGCATTTAATAGAACTTCCATGACCTTAATAATTTTAATAAACTATACTCTCAATTGGGTTGTTTTTTGTTTTGGTAACACAATCATTTATAGAGCCATTTTATAGAGGTGAATTTCAGATAGATACGTATTTACAGAGAGATGTACATGTACAATTGTATTCTACCTGTCAAACCAAATATAGGACCTCTTGGCTAATTACTTACATTTTGGGAGGGATGTGTGGATTTCTCATTTTTGCCTATAATTTTCTTTTGTTTGCCATCTTGGATTTTGCCTTTGACAATATCCCATCCTCGCTTATTTTCCAGGAGATGCTGTTGAAAAGAGCTGCAGATCTAGTGGAAGCTCTTTATGGCACACCACACAATAACCAGGTGAGATACTGACATCCTATCCTTTATTGAGTTTTGCACTTTATGCTGGATAGAATGCTCACATTAACCTGTTGTTTTGTAGGACATCATTTTGAAGCGAGCCGCAGACATTGCTGAAGCTCTCTACAGCGTCCCCAGGAATCCCAGCCAGCTTCCAGCCCTCTCTAGCTCCCCAGCGCACAGTGGCATGATGGGAATCAACTCCTATGGCAGCCAGCTTGGGGTCAGCATCTCAGAGTCAACACAAGGAAATAATCAAGGTACCACCTTTCTTAGAGTCAAAATCCAAATATGTCTAATTTAAAAAGTTCTGCTGGAGTGGACAGAGTCAGAGGTTGGGTCATAATGGTCCAACAGAGTGTGTCCACAGATAGGCAATACAATCATAGATTGGGTTATTTCAAGATTATAGATGGTACTTTATTAGAGTTTGAGCTTCTTAGGTACCAGGTAGAATGTCTGGAAATATTTAAGGGGAAGATTGAGTATTACTACCAGGTTTGGTGGCTCACACCTGTAATCCCTGCACTTTGGGAGGCTGAGGCAGGTAGATTGCTTGAGCCCTGGAGTTTGAGACCAGCCTGGGCAACATGGTGAAAACCCATCTCTATAAAAAAATAGCCAGGTGTGGTGGGCAGATGTAGTCCCAACTACTTGGGAGGCTGAGGTGGGAGGATCACATGAGCCTGGGAAGTCGAGGCTGCAGTGAGCAGTGGGGTGCGCTGGCACACTGCAAATGAGCCGAGGCTGCCTGTGCAGTGTGACAGTGCACTCCAGCCTGGGCAACAGAGCGAGAACCTGTCTCAAAAAAAAAAAAAAAAGGATTGGGTATTATCAATTTAGAAGGGTTTGGGCTTATAGAAAATAGGTTTACAGGTATTAATTTAAAAGAAATTTATGCTTCTGTTATTGTGATTATCAGATTGAATACTGGAAAGAAACTGATTATTGCCATTATCATTTATGATACCCAAATTTCTCTTCCTGGTAGCCAAGAGTGAATGGCTTGGTTTTATTTGGTAACTTCTATTTTGTATTATTTCATATATATAACAACAAACAAATATAAAGACAACTGTGCTTTTACATGTGAAGCAGACCGTGTAAAGACATTTGCATTGAGATTGATTATTGAAGTGCTAAGTCGAAATCTGTCACGAATCATTTTTAAAAGGAGTAAATGTTCCTAATGAGGTCCTTAACAATGGGATAGTTTTTTCTAATTTTATTTGTTGGAAGAGAATTCCTCATTTTTTTTTTGCCCAGGGAGAGTTCTTACAAAAGAGTAGGTGAGCCGGGTGTGGTGGCTCACGCTTGTAATCCCAGCACTTCAGGAGGCTGAGGTGGGCAGATTGCTTGAGCTCAGGAGTTTGAGACCAGCCTGGGCAGCATGGTGAAACCCTGTGTCTACAAAAAATACAAAAATTAGCCAGGTGTGGTAGTGCTCATCTGTAGTCCCTGCTATTTGGGAGGTTGAGGTGGGAGGATAGATTGAGTCCAGGAGGTTGAAGCTGCAGTGAGCCATGACTGTGCCACTGTACTCCAGCCAGGGCAACAGAGTGAGATCTTGTCTCAAAAAAAAAAAAAGACTAGACAGGACATATTATTATTTTTGTTTCTGTAGACATGAGGCCCATAGAACAAATATCAAATTCTTTTTCATTTGGTGACAAATTTGGGTTGTTTCCTATATAGTTTTAGAGACAGTAATCCAAAGTGTTTTATTCCAGGACATATGATACGATGTTTCTGAGCTGTGGTTTCTCACTCCTTCCCCCGTCCCAGGCATAGACTGGGTCCCCCATGCTCACTGCTGATGCCCCAAAGTCCTAGGTCAGAGAATAGCACATTTTAGGGGAACTCATCCACACTTTTTGAATGAAATTGATCCCCACTTGCACCTAGGGTGTGGCAACAACTTGGAACTGACGTTTCTAAAACTGTGTTCCATAGAATACAAGTGGCCCCAGAGAGGTGAAGATACCGTTCCCCTCCAGGCCCCGCCAAAAGATGCTATGGCATGTTAAATTTGGCAAACACTAGGCTAGCAAAGTTAAACCAGTTTATTTATTCTCTAGGCCTTCTGTATATGAATCAAGAAATGGCTACAGTGCATAACATCTGCCCAGCCTAACTTGACCACAGAATGTTTTCTCAGTGACACCAATCATATCTCACTGGACTCCAGTGTCATATGAAATATGATTTGGGAGAGGGAACTCCACACTGCTATTAGCCATTCGCTCCTTGGTGTAAGCTGGAGGTGCTGAGTGCAGGTTTGAATGGAGTATCAAGGGCATGGCCTTACATAGATGGGGAAGAGAGAGAAAGGTATAAAAGGCTGAAGATGGGCTGGGCGCACTGGCTCACACCTGTAATCCCAGCACTTTGAGAGGCTGAGGCTGGTGGATCATGGGGTCAGGAGTTCAAGAGCAGCTTGGCCAACATGGTGAATTCCCGTCTCCACTAAAAGTACAAAAATTAGCCGGGCGCAATGGCAGGGTGCCTGTAATCCCAGCTACTCAGGAGGCTGAGGCAGAAGAATCACGTGAACCCGGGCAGCAGAGGTTGCAGTGAGCCAAGATCGTGCCACTGTACTCCAGCCTGAGCGACAGAGTAAGACTCTATCTCAAAAAAAAAAAAAAAAAAAAAAAAAAGCTAAAGATGGACTGCACACTTCCTACAACTGCCCGGGGCAGCTGGTGACATTCTGCAGTCTGGGGCCAATGAGGACCTGTGCTAGCCACATGTGGCCTGACTGTGCACGCCTGTTGATTTACCTGGGCTTTTTCTTTGTTGCCAAGGGTACATCCGCAACACAAGCAGCATCTCTCCGCGGGGATACTCTTCCAGCTCCACGCCTCAACAGTCTAATTACAGTACCTCCAGCAACAGTATGAATGGCTACAGCAATGTCCCCATGGCCAACTTGGGTGTTCCAGGTTCACCAGGATTTCTAAATGGCTCACCCACCGGCTCTCCTTATGGAAGTAAGTGACCTCTCCATCACTTGGCTCTCCATGCTTTTTTGTCTCTGGGTTTTACTATTGGGCCTTTTGGGAGAAAGTTGCATTTGTAAATCTTCCTAAGTTGTCGGGGAGCAGCCTAGTTTCCTGATTAAGCATCCTTCCTGCCTTTCGTTCTTTTCCCTTAGCTGGACTTTGGCTCACGTGGTTACTCAAGGCCTTTTGGGGAAAGAAAAGGATTGAAACAATTCCGTTTTTATAGAGAAAGAGCATGTGTGGCCTGTGTAAGTGGAAGCAAGGAATTAAGATTCCATTTCTGTTAACAATATGTGTGCTCTTAGGCACTTTCAGATGTAATATTTTATTTAATCTCCATAAGAACTTTTCGATAAGAACTTTTTCTTCATGTTATAGACAAGGAAGTTTGGCTTTGCTGCAGTTTTCTGACTTAATCAAGATCACATAGCTAGAATAGAGCAGGGTAATAATTTAGGCACAGTCCTGATGACTTTGAGTTATTTTGTGTATCACACCATGCTGCTTTTTGACTTTGCAACCTGGTTTTCCCCTCCTTTCAGTACCTCCAGAGAGGTGGAAGTTGACTGTGTGCAATCATGTGATATATTGAGACAGAACCTCTTCATCTTAATCTGTGGTCTAGCAGCAAAGTCCCTGCTCTGGGAAGTTGTGAAAACCCCATTTGGGTTGCTTTGGGAGGTATGCCGGGAAGTTACACAATGCTCCCAGGAGCCTGAGAGAGTGCATTTTTCAAACCTACCTAGGGAATATTTTAGGCCAGGGGACAAGCTGACATGGAGAGGCTGAAGTGATTGAGTAGAGTGTTCTCGAAATGCTGGGTCTTGTTGCAATTCTCTGCACCTTGCCCTCTTTTTACCCAGTGTGGTTCCCTTGTGCCAAGAGCAAGGACATGTCAAGGGCAGCATGCAGCCACGTCCACCATAGCTTCAGAATTGACATGTCACAGAAGCTGCCTTTCACAGTCTTTGGACTTTTGGTTCCCTGGGGAGACACACCTATGAGCTATTTCTGGATTATCAGTTCAATGCATACACTCTACACTACACGGTGAGATAAAGATATAGCACCAAGCAGCGAAGGGTAGTAGAGGTCAGTTCTTCTAGTGCAATGAAAATCTTCTTACTGCAAAGACAAGAGTTCTATGTTGTGTCTTGTCAGGTGGCCTAAGTTAATTAGATAACAGTCTAGAGAAATAAATGATTGCTTGATTTGTTTCTACCCCATAGTAGGTAGAAACAAATTCCCCCAAATTTTTGGAAATTCTTGTTCCAAAAAGTGTTTGGGGGAATTATTGCAGTCAAATAGATAGTATGAAAATATAAAACAGAGTCTAACAAGAAACTGAGCTAAAAGAAACAAATATGGTTCAGGAAATTAGAAAATGCCAGGGCCAGCATGAATATCATTTGGTCTATTCAAGGGAGTCATTTACTTTGCTCTGAGTTTACAAGAGGCTAAAGCAAAGAGAGAAACACTATTTGTTATAAGATTTTATGTCCACACATTATTTTTTAAAGTAGCTCAGAAGAAAGGTGGCTATTTCTGTTACTGAGATGTTGGAGAGGTCTTTCCCATGCTTCCTCCTGGAGGTGGTGTCTGGTGTGGTAAAGAGACCACATCTTTAACAACCCCTAAACATGATGCAGTGGCAAGAGATCCATTGTGTAAACAATGATATAACAGTGACAACAATAAGATGAATTAACAATTACATTCCACTTTACAGCTTACAAAGCATGTTGACATCTAGAGTCCAGTCAGAGCCTCACAACAACCTTGTGACATGGATACAATCATTTTTATCATTATCCGTTGTAAGAGATGAAGAGTTATTGAATGACTTAAGAGTTCATAGCCAATAAATAGTAAAAAAGGGACTAGAACACATCATCACACTCAGAATACCACGTTTTTAAATTATTAAGGAATATTTAATGTATTTATAGTGTAATATTAGGCTAAACCATAGGAAATTCCCTCTATTTGACCATTTTGATCTACAAAAGTGGCAATTTCATATCATTCAATCATAATCTATGTAGGTATGAATGAAGTTGAATCATAATAGTTGTTTTTGTACATAAAAATGATCAATTTTATAATACAGTATGTAGTGTGGTAGTGAAGAGGATGGAGAAGAAAGGAGAGGAAAAAAAGATGAATGAAAATGCACAGTTAGGTGTGAATTTCTTAATATTTCTTCCTAAATAATTCATTTGGTAGAGAGAAATCCTTCCCACTCCCACCAGTGACGACTTCCTTCTACTGTTCTTTCATGATCACCCAAACCCACTGCCACAAGAAAACTAATAACACCCCAAATCTTCAAATTACCCATTAAAATGAGATGGTAGACACAGAATAGGAAAAAGAGGAAGGCAACCTGCCCAACTGGGAGACAGAAAGAGAGACGGGAGAAAACCTCCTCCCTGTACCTATTGAATCTGGTGTGGTGGTTTGCACCTTCACTTTTGGAGGGAGGGTCTGAACGAGTTGCAGCCTAGGAATGAAATTCCAAACAGTGCATTCATTACAATCAAATTCACTTACTCCAAAAATACTGAATACCCAGTGGAGTTCATTACAATAGCACCTGACCTGTATTTCTAGCCAGCCAAGTCTTTACTTCTCTGGGAAATACAAAAAAAGAAAAGCCCGGGGGAAAACATTTTGTCAATTCAGTTGCTTGTGTCTGAAAACACAATTCTATGATTTTTTTTAAAATGCATCTGATGTGGCTGGACCATGCCACGGAGCAAATACTTGCCAGAGACACTAAGTAAGAAAGAGCCAAGCTTCTTAGTCAAGTTTGACTTGCATGACAGCCAACGTAGAGTATCAGAAACCCGCATCTTTACTGTTTTTGCTCTCGCACTACTTCAAAAATGGCCAAACAGATGTTTTTTCAATTTTACATACAAACTTCACTTCCTGGCAGTAGCAGTGTGCCAAGTTCCAGCTCAGTGCAAGTTTTTATGGCTGAATTCTAAACCCCTGACAATAGGGGATTATAATGAAATGCTGACAGACCCCTTAGCTCCAAAAAATGCACTGGCTTGATGCAAAGGAGGATATGTGCCCGGTGAGTTCCAGCTGAGACTATGCAAGCCAATCAATCCTCCTACAAAGAAAAGTGGTTTTTCCTTAACTCCCCATGTTCACAGAGATTTCTGGGCCAGACGTACTTTTCTTTACTTTGGCCTCTATCCATAGAGAGATAGATGTCCAGAGAAATTCTTGATTGGAAGTACATGCAATCAACTTTCCTAAAATGGTTCTCTCTGCAGTCCCAAAAGATTGTCTATTTAACAAGCCTGTAACACCCATAGGGACCACTTCTTCCAAAGCAGAATAGCCACCAAGCCTACGCAGAGTTTGGGACAGAATCCATACAGGCAGGAAGCCAACTTGTCCTCATAGATTCCTACATCATGTTCAGAGCCTTAGACCATGCTCTGGGGTTCAATTGTTTTATAGTTTCAAAAATAAATACTAAGACATTCTCTATTGTAAAATATTAAATTATTATTACAGAAAATGTAGAATGTATAAAAATAATTTTTAAAAGAAAGCGTACTCCCACCATAAGAATAACCTCTTTGAATTCTGATATATTTCTACTTCTTCAGAAAAGAAAAAAAAAGCCTATTAAAATAGTAGTATTCTCATTACAGACAACTTGAAAAGCACGTATAGGTAAAAAGGAGGAAAGAAAAATGGCACACTCTGTGTCTGTGCAGAGGTAACCATTGTTAATTTTTAAAGGATAGCCTTTCAGTCATGGATAGATACATTTTGAAAATTGCAGTGTCTGCTCTGATGCACAACTAATGAGATTCTGCCATAAGATCAATGAAAGAGAGGGTGGAAGGAAAGCAGTAAAATTACCAAAGTCACAGATATGAAGCTGGGCTGCATAAAATCCTTCAGTGATGCAGACCCAGGTCATAAGAATGGGGAACAGAGATATGAGGAGTGGTGTTTGCTTTCAAAAGTTGACTACAATCACCAAGTGTTTCCCAGGAATGTGAGGATTTATTCATCTCTTGCTTTTTTTTTTTTTTTGGAGGTGGGGGTTGGTATTAGAGTAATAGACAACTTTGTTTATAAGTAGTACAGCCTTAAATGAAAGAGGAAAGTTAAAATTATTTTTAAACACTATTATGTCTATTGCTAAGGATTGTATTATTTCTTCCCAAAGAAATCGAGATTTTCCATTTTTAAAATGTAATAGCCTTTACTGGTTTCTCCTACCATGTATTAAAAGTAATACAAGTTTGTTGTAGAAAACTTTGAAGATACGGACAAGTGAAAGCAATACATTTAAGGGTATTCATAATCCCATCAGCCAGAGATACCATTGCTAAAATTTTGGGCATATATCACATCCTTCTAGAGTTTTGCTATTTGTATTTTTAAAAATTAAAGGGGGCTTAGTATGTGTTATGTAATCTGTTTTTTTTTCATCTGAAGAGGTGTATATTTCCATGTGATTATTCTACAACGTTAGTTTTAATATTGGCATAGCCTTCTATTGTATAGGCTAAATATAATGTACCCTACTGTGGGACACTTAAGTTATTTTCCAATTTTTCATTATTATAAAAATGCCCTTGAACCTATTATTTTTGGCACAGTCGTGACTACCTCCTTGGGATTAATTTCTAGAGATTGAATTAGTGGGTCAAGGGATGTACACATTTTAAAATACTTTTATATATATTGCCAAAGACCCTCCAGAGAGGTTAATTCTTCCCTTAGAAAAGAAAGATTATTATATGTTTCCCCGCCCTGTTAAGTTTTTCTATTTAGTGAGTGGAAAATAAGATCTTTTTACCGTTTTAATTAGCATTTTATTATGAATCAGTTTGAGTGTTTCTATATGGATCTCTCTTGGTCATTTTTATTCCTGATTTTCTTTTTTTGTGTCCTTTGCTTATTTTTCTCTTGGGGCGTTTTTCTTTTTCCAATTAACTTATGAGCTATTGAGGATATGAACATATCTAAATAAGTATTACAAATATTTTTCTTAATCTGTCATTTGCCTTTTTGTGTTTGTTGCAGAAGTTTTTCATTATGTGGCAAATCTATCTTGTGAACCTCTAACCATCCTAACAGCTCTACTAGCACTTTTACAATTTTGCTTTTAAAAATGTCTTTAATCTACTTAGATTTATTTTGGTGTTTAGCAGGAGAAAGTACTCTAAACTTAGTCTTCAAATGGTTAGTGTATTTTTCCATGCATTTATTTTCCTACTAATATGAAATGTCACCTTTATTAAGTATTAATTCCCATCTATACCCAGGTCTGTTTCTGAACTCTATTTTGCTCTAAAGATTTGTCTGCCTATTTCTGTGCTAGCACAATGCTGATTTCACTGATGAAGATAAGTGCCTTCTTACTACTTAAAAAAAGTTTTTAAACAAAACTTCCTGTCTCTTACGGTGTTGTTTTATGAAACAGATAAACATAGTAATTGTGTTTGCCGAAATGCACAAATTAAAATTCCTTTCAGCATTTTTATTATAGTTGCATCGAATTTTAAATTCAGTTGAATGCATTTTGGCATTTTTACAAAATTGTTGTAAGAAATATTTAAAACGGGCATGTACTTGCTCAACTCTGCAACAATTCCTTCACGTCACTTAGTAAAGCTTGAGGTGTTTCCTCTCCCACTGCAAGGGAACCATTTTTGATCTAATGGGCCCTGCTTTCCGTTGAAATCTGTTATTAGAAAATAATTATCTGTACTAGTGAGTCATTTGCTGAATATAAATGGAATGGAGTGTGTGTGAATGCCTCATTCACATTGTAAAAACCTCTTCAATGATGATGTCTGAGAGGAGGTTCTGCTGTTGTAGACAGGGAAACCAAGGCGCCATTTGGGGGACCATGGTAGAATCAGGGCCTCCTAAGTCCCAGCTTTTCTTTGGCTTCTAATTCTGTACCGTAGAGAAAATGAAAAGTTGGGGATTTTTTGCTTTTGGATTTTTTCTATTTCACTAATGCCAAACCCAAGGCTAGAAGAGATTTTGCTCAGAACCATGAATAAGACCCACTCCTCATGCTTAACCCTGTGTCCTTATTATGTGAATTAGCCCAACAGTGTTTTTATTCATTTACATATTCAAGTATTACATGAGATTCTTCCAGAACTTTGTTCTCCTTTCCAATTTTTTTCTTTTTATCCATATATGAGGAAAGACAGATGTACTCAGATGCATAGCTCCTTAAATCAAGACTACTTTAAGGATAAGATGTTTTTAGAGAAAGCTCTTCTTTTGAAGTCTTTGGATTTTAGTTTGGCTATAAAAGACATCATATGGGAAGTATGCTATATAAGTGCTTTATACAGGCAATTGGGTGGACGTGGCCCAAAATATATTTTTATAGGGAAGGAGGGGAAATGAGGGTGGAGTTGTCCATGGACATCAGAACATTTGACCTTCAGTTCACCTTGTACTTGGTTGGTCAGTCATAAGTGTCGCCCTTGTCCTCACTTTCGAATTTACTTTGAAGGACAGGTGGTCCATTGAAAATACAAAGCAAGAAATAGCACTGCTGGGCTTGGTCATTAGGCTCCAACAACACTTTTGTCAAGTCATGTGACTTGGACAGTTCAGAATTCTGGGAATTATGCTAACACAAGTGCCTAAAACTATACTATAAGGTGCTATATTTAAGAGTTTTGCCCTTGTGTACTCTAGTTTACTCCTTTCTTAAGTTGAACATAGAAGATAAAATTATCATCTTGCATGATATAACTTGGTGGAGTATCTGACATTAAGAGGTGGGGTACTTCATTATGTAAATTGCTTTTATTTTTTCTTGGAAATTATAATGCTTGGCTTTTGTCTTCCCTTAAGTCATTTTAATGTTAATATCACTAATATTGGTGTTTTTTCTAAACATTATGTCAGGGGAGGCCGACTTGCAGCTATATTTCCCAAGAGCACTTGAAATTACGGGAGAGGAAGACGGTTTTCTGAATGTTAATACACTTTTACATTTAATGAGGAAGTGGCCCATAGAGATGGCACTCTCAGAGAAGATGTTAACCCTACAGACCAAACCCCTGGAGCCTTAGGAGTTATGGGGGAGGCACATAGCTCCCAAATAGGACTTTTTTTGTAGGGTGTGAAAGCGATTTCCATTGCTGGGTAGATTTGATGATTTTTCAGGCATGTTTGATCTCAGTCTTCTCTCTTGCCAAGCTTCTGCTTGTGAATGAAGACCTGTGCTAACATCACTTCCTGAAGCTGCCTTCCTGACTCTCCCAAGCACAAGTGCCCTTTGCTGTCTGCATCTCTTGGGCATTGGGTACCTTCCTCTAATAGCGTCATTACCATATTAGTTGTTTTATGTGTCTGTTCCTCCCACTGGACATGGTGGGAATGTTGTCACATTCAACTTTTTTTTTTTAATCCCTGCAATCTGGAACAATGCATGGAAATTAACAATTTCTCAATAAATGTGTGCCAAATGTGTGAACTGAAGGAAGATCTTAATTTCTAAATGAGGATTGTGCATTTGCTTTCCAGTCATGTCATCAAGTCCCACCGTTGGGTCTTCCAGCACATCCTCCATCCTCCCATTTTCCTCTTCAGTTTTTCCTGCTGTCAAACAGAAGAGTGCCTTTGCCCCTGTCATCAGGCCCCAAGGCTCCCCTTCACCTGCCTGCTCCAGCGGCAATGGAAATGGATTCAGAGGTAAGCAAGGGTTCTATTTTGGGGATACACAATGTACCATAGGGTTGGCAAAGTAAGAGCAAACAGCACATCATTGTATAGCTCCAGCCATTTACCTGCAAAGAGATGCTTTGCTGTTCTTATCATGGGACATGAATGGCTTCTACAGCTAGGCAAGTGCTCCATCTAAAAGCAAGATGGGGCCAGGCATGGTGGCTCATGCCTGTAATCCCAGCACTTCGGGAGGCCAAGGCAGGTGGATCACTTGGAGGTCAGGAGTTTGAGACCAGCCTGGCCAACATGGTAAAACCCTGTGTCTACTTAAAATACAAAAATTAGCTGGGTGTGTTTGTGGGTGCCTGTAATCCTAGCTACTCGAGAGGCTGAGGGAGAAGAATCGCTTGAACCTAGGAGGCAGAGGTTGCAGTAAGCTGAGATCGCGCCATTGCACTCCAGCCTGGGCAACAAGAGCAAAACTCCATCTCAAAAAATAATCAAATTTTTTTAAAAAGTAAGATCAGGGAAAACAGACATCAGCAAACTCTGCAGGTAATGGAATTAACCATGGTTAATACAACTGAGGAGTGTCTGGACTTCCCAGCCCTATGCTGTCCACAAGGCCATTCTGCTATCTCTCAGAAAATGCCCAGTCACCCCAGGGGATACCACATGGTGCTTTCTGCTTACCTAATCCGCTTGCCATCATGTCCTCTTGGCATACATGGACAGGAGCCAGCAGGAGCAACCAACAAGTTCTGAGAATTCTGGTTACATGCAAGTCAAATTGATAGCAGGTGCCTGATTAGGGGGTTGTGGAGAATAGAAAAGTCATAGTTTCTAAGAACAAAAGTTATCCATCAAACCCATTTTTGAGCAATGTTCTAAAATATAATATGGCATGACATAACACAAATGTGATGAGTATATGAAAAATCATCTCATTGTGGATGGAGGGCAGCAGACAGCAAAAGAGCACATTGGAAACTGCTGAGGACTGGGGCTCACTGGCAACCCACATTATTTTTAGGCTGCTCCTCTCATGTTCTTGACAAGAAAATATTTACAACAAGCAGGGTTGGGTAAAACTAAAAAGGGAAGAGGTTTCATTAACCCTCATGGATCAAAGGCTGTAAGGTCAGCAGTGCTTGATGGGGAACCTTGGATGGGCTGCATTGTCCTGGGGATGGCATCTGCCTGGTGGTTTGATGATAGAGTGTGGGTTCTTAATTCTTTTGGGACACGTGTGAGAGGTCAGTCTCCTCTTGTGGCTGAGCAGAGCTCTGGGAGGTACGTTAGGTTCCTGAGCCATCCCAACACTGGAGATGATGGTGTCTTCTGGAAGTCAAGTGACTCTACAGAGAAACTGTCAAAACCAGAATGGAAAACCCAGTACTCAGAAACATTGTTGAAAATTATTTTACTTCTCACTAGAGAAAGCAGCGGGGTCTATATACCACCCAATGTATGGGTAGTTGGAAACATCTGGAAACTTCATGGATTTTTTGGCAGGGATTTTCACCCAGATGTCTAATTCCTAGAGAAATAGGCTGAGCCTGTAGCTAAGTGTCTCCACTTGCCCATCTTTCATCAAAGACCAGTGGTTTCCATCCCATCCTTAGGGAATGTGCCCAGAGCTTTTTCCATGAGACAGGGAAATGAAAACGATTGCTGAATATTTACCGTACTTTCCTTCCTCTTCCCCATGACCTCTTCAGTGTTGATGTTTCCTCTTTTTAAGTTCTCTGGTTTTATTCATCGACCTTAACCCGAGTGGAGGCCCAGCAAGTCTTACTGGCAAAATGCAGATTGAGACAGACCAAGGAGGGGTGCAGGCTTTCCTCTGCATTGGACGGGAGGCAGACAGGATGGATGCAGCCCTTTCCTCATTCCTGGCCACTTAGCACATATGTTACTTAAAGGAAAAAAGGATACTTGACTTCCACTGATCACCCCTTCCCCACCTCCTCTCTCACGGGAAAGTGGAGCTGGTTGTCTCAGATCTTCTCTATTTTACCTGGCTCTGAGCCTACAATGGGGCCAGGACAAGTTTCTTACAGACTCCCAGGGCCTGTCATCCCCACCCCACTTCCTGCTGCATGCCCAAGACTCCCGTGCTGTTACTGAAGTCAGGTTTGAGCCAGCCCAAAGAGCTGGAAGGAAACCTTGCTTGGTCTTAGTAAGGTTCCCTGTGAGGGCAGCTGCAGCAGAAACAGAAGACCCTCTCCAGGGTCCCCAGCCACACAAAATTCTGGTCACCACCCCTCAGGATGCTCGGGCTGAGCAGCACATTCCTGATAGGTTTATAGGAGCAATGACTTGGTGAGTTGCATGTAGGCACAGGCTCTAGGCTCTAGCTTCATTTCTAGAGTCACTGTAAGGTCCCAAACCTCATTTGAATCCTTCAGTTCCCTCCACATTCCTCTGGTGATTTGAACCTTTAAAAGAAGAAGGGGCCAGGCGTGGTGGCACACACCTATAGTCCCAGATACTTGGGAGGCTGAGGCAGGAGGATCACTTGAGCCTAGCCTGTGCAACATAGCAAGACCTCATCTCTAAAAGATAAAAGTTTTTATAGGTTTTTTTTTAAAAGAAAATTTCATTAATTTTGGGGGTACAGGTGGTTTTTGATTACATGGATAAGTTCTCTAGTGGTGATTTGAGATTTCGGCGCACGAGTTACCTTAGCAGTATCCACTGTACCCCATATGTAGTCTCTCTAAAAGATAAAATGTTTGGAGTAGGTCGGGGAGGAAAAAAATAGAACTACCTGTCGATTTAGGGCAGTAGCCTAAAAAGAAATTGCAAAAAATCTATGAAAATATCAAGTGACGTGTGGAGAAATCCTTAAAGAGTATTAGCCACTGGAAGAGTGCTGGCCATGATGTCACCAGTCCTGTGCTGAGTTCTAGTTCAGCTCTTTCCGGGCCTTGTCAATCTGTGCATGCCATTATCTCAGAGCCTCAGTTTCCTAGTCTGTTAAATAGAAAATCGACAGCTATCCCCAAAGGTGGTTGTTGACTAATTTGTGTGAAGAACTAGGCAAGGTAACAGATATTTCCTACAGCCTGGCTGGGAGGAGGCGAGGGTTGACAAAGGATGCCCTCAGTGACCTTACCTTATGCTCTTCCTCGTTTTAGACCAGGTGCATGGAAGCTCAGTGTCCAACATTGTGAAGTTCCCTTGAGTACAGAGAGAGAGGAAACCAAGCTGACATTTAATGCACAGTCACTGAACAAAACAAACAAACAAAAAATCCTGGGATCTCAGACACCAGCTGGACAGGGAGCTCCATCTTTTTAGAGATACACAGTGGGAGGGTGACAATGTGGGCTGAGTGCCTGGGTGATCGCAGGCTGGGGAGGGGCCCTTCTCTAGACTTCATTGTCTGCAAAGGCATATGCTGCCCACACTCTTTGAGGCTTGCTAACTATCCTGAGCACTATAGGCAAGGTGCCGAACTGAGTGCCTTAAGAGAATTATCTCCAAGTCATGCCATTATCACCATTCTTAGTTAAGCAGTTTACCCAAGGCCACACAGGAAAAGTCTGATGACTTGAACCCAGACATGCAGATTCCAGAGCTTGTGCTCTGGCAGCCCACTGTGTCTTCAGGGACAATGAGAGTGAAATTCTTCTCTTTACCCTATACCCCCTACCCCCATACCTACTTTCCACCTGGTTCAAAGGGAGATTATTACTTTCTGTCTGTTGCCTATGGTTTCTACAAGCAAAAAGTCAGTTTCCACCTAGCAGAGATCAGGCCTACCCAGTCTGGATGTAGGACTAGGAGGAAGGGATATATCTCAAATCTGTTCTTTTCTGTCATTCAGGGGATCTTGATCTTTGAGCACCTCTGCTGTTACATGAGCCCCTTTGGTATCTCTCTGAGCACCCAGAAAAAGGAAGGGACTGAAGATTTTTCTTTTTGAGACAGGGTCTCACTCTGTCACACAGGTTGTAGTATAGTGGTGCAATCATGGCTCACTGCAGCCTTGACCTCCTGGGCTCAATAAGAGATTCTCTTACCTCAGCTTCCTGAGTAGCTAAGACTATAGGCATGTACCACCATGCTGGGCTGTTTTGTATTTTTTGTAGAGATGGGTTTTCATCATGTTGCTCAGGCTGGTCTTGAACTCCTGGGCTCAAGCGATCCTCCCACCTCAGCCTCCTAAACAGCTGGGATTACAGGTGTTAGCCACCGTGCCCAGCCAGGAGTTTGTGAGTCAGAATTCCACTGCCAGAGAGCTCCACATACAGCATGGTTCCACCTTCTACCTCATTTATCAGCTGCTTCCAGTTGATGAGTATAGATTGTTGAGATAATATTACACACTATGTGTCTGATTCATTTTCCAGCTCCCTCCAGGAAAAAAAAAATAAAATAAAAAAACCTCCTACACTCTGGGATAATTACTAGGGTTGCTATATCTCTAAGTCATCAGGGAGTGTCCAGAATTGAACCGCCTTTATTGAAAAGTTACATTGATTCAATATATAGTAATACAGGCAAAAATAATTAAGGCTTTGCTAGCTGTGTAAGACCTTAATCCAGATCTCACAAACATTCAATAAAGGCTATATGGGCAGGGAAATAGACAGCTGACAATTTTACCCGAGAGGACTAGCTGATGTGGAAAAAAGGGGCAGAGAGAGTAAGAGAGGAGAGAGAGATGGAAGGGTTGAGAAAAGCAGAGAGAATTTCAGCCATTTGCTTGGAAGCTTAGTAAGCAACACTCAGCAAAATGCTTCTATTATATTGAATAATTCCTTAGATGCATTGTAGATAGTAAAATGCAAAGGATCAAATTCTAGATATGATTTTAAAGGTTCTGATGCATGGAAACTATTCTGCCATTTTCTAAGAATGTGAAAATCCCACGGGCTTATCCTCTGAAAGCCAAGGCAGGAGGAATACATTTTGCTGTGGGATTTTTCCACATTGTGCTGGTGCTGCTTTATTTGCCACATCTAGGGAAACCCTGGGAAGTGATTCTGCCCAGACAGGCATTGTCCGAATCCTTTTGACCCGATGAAGGGAGAAAGAATTAGATTACTCCATTCATATAGGGTGATGAAGAGTAGGAATTGGAGGCTGAGTACAGTGGCTCATGCCTGTAATCCCAACATTTTGGGAGGCTGAGGTGGGTGGATCACCTGAGGCCAGGAGTTCAAGACCAGCCTGGCCAACATGGCGAAACCCCATTCAATACAAAAATTCACCAGGCATGGTGGCATGCACCTGTAGTCCCAGCTACTCAGGAGGCAGAGGCTGAGGCAGGAGAATCACTTGAACCCAGGAGGTTGCAGTGAGCTGAGATGGCCCCACTGCACTCCAGCCTGGGTGACAGAACAAGATTCCACCTCAACAAAGAAGAGTGGGAACTGAGGGACTAAATGAAGTCTTCTATTCCAGTGATCAGTGTTCATTTGCAATGAGCATCAGACATGAACAGTGAGCACCAAAGGAAGATGAGCTAATTAAAAAAAAAATGCACTCACCAAAGAAGTGAAGGATAGATAAAAAGCTTGATTTGTTATCAACGATGCCCTAGTAAATCAACAGGCTCAGCACCTGGAATTTCCTTTCCTGTTCCAACTAAGTGATTTGGAGCAGTATAATCTGGAAATTATCTTAGTTGAATAAAAAAATATGCATATATTACAGTTTAGTTTACATGTTTACATCTGTTGTCTCATTTATACAACCCATATAAAACAAAACATAACTCCTGGCCTCCCAGGCAAAACTTCATCAAGGTTTCCTTGTACTTCAGTGATTCCATAAGGCTTCAGTGCCTTTAATGGGCTGTCTGCTAGACCAAACCTGGAGAACAGGTCCTCATATCAGCTGAGGGCACCATCTCCTTGAATAGCATCAGACTCTATCATTCCCATCCCCTGCCCCTCATTCTGTGTCATAGCCTTGAACATAAAAAGTCCCCAAGTCTCATTCCTGTGCCACTCTTTCCTTGCAGCCATGACCGGACTTGTTGTACCCCCGATGTAAAGAAGAACTGCTTTCTTATAGCACAAAACTACTTACTCTGATGGACCAATAATGAAGAAAGCACTAGGAGCTCTTTTGGGGGTGTAGTGGTGCCCCCACATGAACATGATGGACACCCTTGGGTCTGCAAGGAGCCAGCATCTTACTTGGTCCCACGTCCTCCTATAGCTCTGATGGTGGCTACACAAACTGACCCTCTTGGGACAAGGACAAAAGATGTCATTGACGTAGTCAGTGCTAAGAGCAGAAATGCAATTCTTTGTTATGAACATTATGAAAACCACCTTCCTATGTTTGTAAAATATTTAAGAAAAAATTGGCAAACAATTAATGCTTAATATTTTGGATACTATTTGTTTTTCTTTGTAGGAAAAAAAAGTTGAAAGTTTCTATTTTCTATGAAGCCTTTCAGATACCAATTTAGTTTATGCAGAAAAAAATTGAACAAAACAGGGTACCAGCACGGAAGACTTTCTTAAAACGCAACCTGAATTGAATGATGAAATGTTGTATGTGTGTTTGCTTATAGCTTAATCTCTTTAAAAAATGAACAAAAAAAGGGAAAAATTTTAAAATGTTTTACAATTATTTAAATAAATAAATGTGTAACTTATTGTAAGTAGAGGTAGAAATTAAGACCTTTTTTTGGAAGAGAGAGGGATTTCTCTTCCTGATGTAAAATGAAAATGATGCAAACATGTAGTAACAAGTTTTAAAGGTGTGTGATTATTACTGCAGTTACTTACTAGATTCTTATCCCCTGTCCTGCACCCCCTCCTTTTCCATCACTTTATTGACCCAAGGGCAAGAACATGTAGATTCCCACAGAACACCCTAATGCAGAAACAGACACTCTAGCACATGCACAAATACTCCAACCCATCAATTCATTCCCAGCTCCGTCTGATTTCTAAATAGTCCACACTCTTGTGAATACTTTTTAAAATTCCTATTATTAGCTTTCAACGTTCTCCCCTGAGCAGTCCAGAGAATTCCCATGTTTGAGTCTGTCTCAGGCTTTCAGCATCCCAAGGAAAGAAGCACCTCACCTTCTAGCAGAGCCAAAACCACAGACTTTCTTAACCAAGGGACCCCTTGGGAATTCCTCCTCACCAGAACCCCACCACTCCCTCCGCTTTGGGTGCCTGGTTCAGTACAGAGGTACACAGCCCCATAGAACTTCAGCAACACGGTTTGGAGAAGATAACTCTGTTTGATGGACTCTTTAGAGTCAGTCTTAGAACATCCAAGTCCTTTCCTCTCCCTGTCAATTTCCCCTTTTATGGCATTAAACTCTCTTGAAAAACATAGCTATGCCACTCGACAGTTTCTAGTCAAGAATGAGACGGAATGTGGGAGAGGGATATTAAAAGCCCTAATCCCCTCTTCTGATGTTCGAAGAAAGGCAAGACCAGATTCTTGGGAGATCCAGAGATTAGGGGCATCTGCGTTCTATGCAGCACAGTTACCCAGCCCTTTGATGGGCTCTTCATCGTTTTGTGACTAGCTCTTAGAGGGGAAGAACCTTGCCTTAGCTGCTAACAGTGGTTGATTCTTGAAAGCTTATGTAATCCTAGAGACATATCCAGGCATATTGGGATTGCCAATAAAGATGTCACTTGTTTCCACGTTGGGGTTCTCCTTATTGACTCATGAGCACCACAATAGAGTCTATACACAGACTTAGTTTGGGGTTCTTGGTTGGGATTTCAGCATTAGAAATAGATGCAGCACTCATGGAAAAACATCATGAGTGCATCTGAGCCAATTTTAGATGATTTCATTAATTCTGCATACCTTCTCTTTGACCCATTGATGCAGGCCCACATCTATCCAGCCCCAACTGTCTTATTTGCCTTTAACCCATTCTGGAATTACCCAGTATGACTTATATTATTTCTATGCACATGAGAATCCAAGGTTTTAGAAACCTGGCATGCTTATAACTACTGCTGACAGTCCCTCATAGTCAGGGCTTAAAGCGCCAAAATACACGGAAACATAAGAGAAAAAGTCCCCCAGTGAGAAACCTGATTGATGGAAGGGGAAGAATGTGTGGAATATGAATGTTACCTTCCAAAAGTGAAGGCAGAGCAAAATTAAGCATGTTTAGCCCTGGATTTGAGCCAATCCAACATAAGGAAATTTTGTTTTTTTTAAGTAGCATTGCTTTTAGAACCTGTGAATTTTCCTTTTGCATGAAGATGAGTGCAGTACTGTCTTCAAAATGATTGTAGAATTTCTTGGTAGCTTTACACCGAAAAATGCGTGTAACTAAATACCAGACATCTTGACCATTCAGCTAGAACCCTGGCAGCAACAGAGCTATTTAATTGTACAAATGTGTGTAAGGATTATTTTTAGTGTACTAATAAATTAAAAACAAAGCTACCCTGTCCTCGTTAGTCATTGCTATTCAATCATTCCAGTCCCAAGTTATTTTTGTGCCACTTGGAATATGAGTATTTCTATTGGTAACTACAAACTCTATCCTGTGTTTGTAAGAGGAGCTGTGTAAGATTTTTTTCATTTAAAGGGACAATTTACTTCATTATTTATCTTTCTTTTGTTATAGCGTTGTAATTCTTCTCAGTTTTTCTTTGCACATTTCAATATGCATGGTTTAAAAACCATTAACTTCTCTACCTTTTGTACAGTAAGGTTTCATTTTCACACTGTATAGTTTCATTTTATTGTTTTGCTTTGTCAGTTATATACAGTATAAAGTTGCTATGCACAGAGCTTTTTGTAAAGACAGCTTTTTTGTTTACTGTTTTTAATGGTCTTACTTAAAGAATATCTTGTTTGTAAAATGAATATGTCTACTTCAGTTTTAAACTTTAAATTATCCTAACAAAAAAATAAAATTTTTGTACTGTAAAAATGAGTGGACCTTTGCTTTTTATTTTTTATTTTTTTGGAGTGGTAGTTTGGAATTTGTTCTTAATGTTGGCAATTTTCTCATAACTGCTGGTCCCTGAGTTCTATTTGAGGAAATCTTACTATAGATTTTGTTTACATGGAATGTGTACTAAGTTACTCCCTTAAAGGAGAGCATGACTTTTGTTCATTTTTCTGTATATATTCATCTATATATCCATCTGTTCAAATTCATTCATAAAAAAACCCCTCAAAACTGAAAGAATCCTGTTTGCTCTGTTGGATTTTGGCTATATAGTATTCCTGAGGTAGGTGGGCAGTCTCCCCTGATTTGAAATTGCTTGTTGAGCAAATGTTACATCTTGAGCCGTCAGACACTGGGTGAAGAATCGCAGGCTAGAACACAAAGACTTGATGTCTCTCCTTAAATCGTAGGAAAGGAGTGAGACGTGTACTCATGGAAGAAAATAATACGCAGACGATAGCTCACTCAGGAAGATAGAGAGGGTGCAGAAGCTCGGAGAAGACACCCAGACAGAGGATTGGAGCTGTCAGAGAGGGTTCCTTTGAGGGAGGCAGGGCTGGACCAGGGCTCCAAAGAGCAGCAGGAATTTTGCAGTAGAGGAGGTTAGTAGCGAGCAGTCCAGATGGGAAGGATAACATAAAGACATGCAAAGGGAAATTCACAAAGCACACTTAGGAGAACGGGATCCTACATGTGATTTTTCAACCAGAGTATTCACAAGTGTAATTAAAATTGGATTATTTCATTTCTCTCTAGGAGGGTACAGATATCTTCAAACCACACGCATTGCCCTCCTCACATAAGTGGATGCAATCCTGCTTCTAAACACTGAAAAAGTCACTGTGTTTTTGCTTTTCTCAATGAAAACTAGCTCTCTGCCTAGTAGGATATTCTCCCCTTTGATCTGTGCATAGCTGTTGCCTTCTCATCCTTCAGGCCGCAGTTTAAATATCACCTACTGAGGGAGGCCTCTGGTGACCACCTAAGATGCAGATTCCCCTTCTTATTCTCCGTAATTAAACTCTGTTTGTGCCCTTTTCACACTTTGCATTCATTTGTTTGTTTCCTGCTGGCTGTCTCCCTCCACTTTAGACAGAAAGCTCATAAGGACAGGGACCATATCGGTCTCAACCCCATAAGTGACCGAGGTTCTCAACATGCTTGTTGGATGAGTGAACCAGCAGACTCAGTTCGGACTCCCAGAGGTGGCCCTGCCTTGTCATGTGGGAGAGGCCACTGATTTGTTACAAACGACAGAAAATGGCATCACTGGCAGAATCCACTCCTTAGGGACTCTCTTGTCAGTCAACTAATCAAAAAAATTATGAAGTGTGTCTATAATGTAATGTGGCTGGATGTTTAACAGAGAAAACTCAAAATGGGAAGGAAATGAGGAGGAAGCAACCTCTGGCTGGTCGCCTGTTGGAGAGGTTGCTCAGCCCTGGAACTTATCCCATGTGGATTCTCTCACTCGGATGTGATTCTAGAACCAGAATCTGGATCTTTTAGAGAAATGTACATTCCATTCCTGCTCCAGGTAGGACAATGTTAACCACACACTTGAATCTCAAAGAGTCTTTGGTGCATTTACCAAATGGCAAGAAGTCCAGAGTGGCTGTTGGGCACTGAATGTGAGAGTGTTTAGATTTGAAACTTTAAGAATTAGGTGGGGACTATGTCCTAAAAGACTGTTCTCAATGCCAAAGACTTTAGACTTCATACACTGATCTATACTGCAGGTAATGGAACTCAAAGAAACTTACAGAATGACATGATCAACTTTAGACTTTAGATAAATCATAATAACTACAATGTGATGGATTGGAGAATGTAGATATTAGAAGCAAGGAGACCAATTAGGCAAAGACCAAAGACAGCTGATGAGCACCAGTGTTCTGGGCTATTGTTTATGACTGGTGTCCTTTCTAATTGCTCAGCATCTGTGTGGCACCAGTTGTGAAATGTTTTAAAATTGCTCCTGCAATTAAGATACTATTGAAATAGTCTAAACACAAATGACTCATATTTGAACAAGGCATGACAATAGAGATGGAAAGCGGAGGAAAGATTTTAGAGAACGTTTTACAGTTTGACAGGAGTTATCGACTAGTGAAGTGTTGGAATGAAGAGAATGAGGTGACTAGGATAAATCCCAGTTTGCCAGTTAGACAATCAGATTTCGGGATATCATTAACTGAAGTAGGGAGTGCAGAGGGGGGATATCTTGGGAAGGTTGGAAGGAAATTATTTTAAATTGGGACACACCTGGCACACATCCTCCTCTTCCTTCTTGGTTCACTGAAGGTTGTTTTCTAGCAGTTTAATCAAGAAGGACTTAGGAGAATTATGCTCCTTGGTTCATGCACACCAAAAAGAGATTATTTCTATTTGAGTGGCTATTGGTTAAGTATTAAATCTAAAATTGGGGGGGTTATACTTTGAGGATTCATAGGAGTTTTTGTTTATTTGCTGTGTTGCTGTGGCGATGTCTAAAGCCATGACTTTCTTCTCCTCTATTATTTTACTTATTTAAGCAAGGCAATCCTATAATTTTTTTGTGTAAGTCATGACACTTTTGAGAGTGAGGGAAACACAATACATAATTATGGCTGGAAAACAGATGCAAATTGAGACTAGCTCATGGTCTCTTTATTTACAAGTGACTTGATCTTTTTGTCTGTCAGCCCCAGAGGCTTTCTATGGGAAGCCAGTCCCTTTACCAGGATATAGCTGGATGTTGATTGTCCTGAGTCATTTTTTTCCCAGTGTTCCCTTTCAATGTGTAGATTCAAGTAGTCTTTTATTTCTGGAAACTTTAATTACGATGTTAAAATATATTCTCTGTTCCTTCATTCTGGTCCTTCTGGTCCCCTTTTCTGGTCTTTCTAAAGACACAAGTGAGACTCTCTAGTCTCCATCATTTGTGTCCGTCACATCCTCTCTAAATGCATGCTGTTTGCTTGCCTTTCTCACTCTTGTCTGCCTTTGTGTTCCTTCTAATTTCTCAGTGGCTTTTATTTTTTCTTTCACTATTTTCATGAGTTGTGCCAGGTTATATTTCATCGGTTTTATTGTGTTGCCCATTTTCATAGAACTGCTGCATCTCTGCATTGAGCTATTGTTTCATAGAAATATTGGTTTTTAAAATGATTAAGGCAATGAGCTTGATCAGAATTACCACCAGCTCCATGAGAACCTTTTTCTTTCTGGTGACTATCCATCAACTATCCATTGTTTTCCTTTCCTTTTTCTTTCCCCTCTCCCATAGTGTATGCATATATATCATATTCTGATACCTTTTTGACAGCATTTATCTTTGATTGAAGTGAATTTTTCCTGGACCAGCTATTTGCCAGAAGTTTGGGAGGGGAGGGTCAGGGCTATGTATTAGATAACAAAAATTCTTATTTCAGAATTCTTACGTGTGTACATGCATGTGTGTGTGTGTGTGTGTGTGTATGTGAGAGAGAGAGAGAGAGAGAGAGAGAGAGAGAGAGAGAGAGAGAGAGAGAGAGCGTGCGTGTTTTTTTTTTTTTTTGAGAAGGAGTCTTGTTCTGTCACCCAGGCTGGAGTGCAGTGGTGTGATCTCGGGCCACTGCAACCTCTACCTCCTGGGTTCAAGTGAGTCTCATGCCTCAGCCTCTCAGGTAGCTGGGATTACAGGCATGCATCACCACATCTGCCTAATTTTTATATTTTTTAATAGGGACAGGGTTTGCCATGTTGGCCAGGCTGGTCTCGAACTCCTGGCCTCAAGTGATCCTCCTCGGCCTCCCAGAGTGCTGAGATTATAGGTGTGAGCCACCGCACCTGCCAGACCACTCTTCCTTGCCAACTGGCCGCTTCTTACATCTATGGCTTGTTTGGGTGATTTCCTCATTCAGTTCTGCCTACTGAGCTTCATCTCTCTGCCAGATGAGGTCCAGAGATAACGTCTGCAGTCAGATTCCATGCTCATCCCAGTCGTTACAAACAAGAGGCTGCTGGTTTGGGCCTTCGAGATAGTCCTACTCTTTCCCCCCAGCTTTCTCTGACGTCAGCAGCTGAAGCAGCCTTTCTCAGTCTCTCCACATTCCTGTTTAATTTTCACAGCCATTGCCACCCCTTTCTCATACATTGTGATTTGGGGTAACCTGTTTTCCTAGTTTCATCAAAAAATAAATTCACGCCTCTCTTTCTCATTTCTCTATTTTCTTTTGAGTGATTCTGAGAGGGAACTGGTAGAAAGGTCATAGAATAGCACTTTAGTCTGGATGTCAGCCCCACGGTAATTCAAGAAAAAGGGACAACTACACAGCACCGTGAACTTCATTCTACCACCATGTGTCAAGCTTACCTCTGACTTCGTAGACTACCCTTGATAACCAGCTCTGCGGCCCAGCTCAGTGACACTTTCTCCATTGGATCCTTTCCATTGGATCACTTTCTCCATTGGATCCTGCCAAATACAGATAATAAAACACAGGCAATTTCCCAAATAACAAATAAAAGTGATCATCCAGCTGAAGTTTATTATGATGAATAATACACAGAAAGGAATTCATTGCCTGACTCTTGGAAATCTGTTGAAGGGCACACGAACTGTCACACCATTGGGAGTATTGAAGGAGATGGTTTTTTGGTTATTTCCCTAAAACTGAGCCCACCTTTTACAGCAAAACCCTATTTTCCATTCATTTCATGAACAGAAGACAGTGTCATAATGTGGAAATATCTAGGATTCAGAGATCTGGATTCAAATTCAAGTTCTACAATCCTTAGCTATGCAATCCTGAATAAATCACTGCATTATTCTTCTCAAGTGTAAAACAAGGACAAGGACAACTACACAGGCATATATGTATACGTAGATACATGCATATGTGTGTATACATATAACTACATGCATACACACAAATAGTTATTAGGATTAAATTTAAAAATATATGTACTTTAAAGACTGTAAGCTCAATGAAGTTTGAATGTATTTTTCTGGCTGTTTCATTCACTACTATATTCCTAGCACCTAGCATAGTATAATACTTGAGAAAAGCAGGCACTCCATAAAAAATTAACAATTTATTGAAAATGTAAAATACCTACATGTGTTAGAGGTTCATTAAATTCAGCAACAAGAACAGCTTCAACATGGACTTTTGGAGACACAGACTTGGATTTGAATCCCAGCTTTCCCACTTGCCAGTACCAGCACAGGAATGGAACAAGCAGTGACACAGTATTCTCTGGTTCATCATCTTTGAAAGAGCAGGACTTCAGCACCTGGTCCTGCCTTGGGGGTCAGTTAACATCGTCCTCTCAACAGCCCGGGTTGCTTATCTGATGGGTGCTAAAAAGGAAAGCAGTCAAGATACGGGTTTCACTCCAGTTCATTTGTGGACAAAAGAGTGACTAGCAATAGGACCATTATTTGGCCATGGATATACTTTGATCCAACAGTAAAAATTAGGTTAGAACAATGGGCCGCATACCCAGGAATTAGTTCCCAAGGTCTCAGTGTGCTTGGAAGTGAGTGGTACAGCCAGGAGAAACCATAGTCCCAGGTCTTTGTAAGTGATAATAGGAAAAAAAAAAAAAAAAAAAAAAAAGAGTAAAGGATGTGTCCTAACCGCCAGTCCATTTTCTTCCATTAAAATTTAACAAGAATTTTCTTATCAGAGATTAGAACATCTGGTATGTCATGGCTACTACTTTTGAGGACAAAGCAAACATTGTTTTCAATCCCAGATTTTCACAAGTCCAAGAGTTTGAACCCATGAAAAATTGCTCTTAAAACAAGAATGAGACCAAAATGACTTCTAATACAAAATCCAAATATTACCACTTTTGAACTGAGCAAGAGCAGAATAGTTGCATAGAACTCTAAGTGTCTCAAAGATTAGGGCTACATAAATTTGAAGTATTATGGTCATTAAACATTAATAATACTTGTTTATAATAATGATAATGACTAATACATTGGAAATGCTAAACTTCCACTCTTTGCCCTGTGGAGTAGCAGAATGAGTGTTAGCATTGGAAACCACCAGACATGAGTTCAAATCCTGCCTCCATCCCTCACTATAATTATCCTTACAAGCTGCAGTTTCACCATCTGTAAAAATGGTGATAAGAAGACCTTTATGCCAAGATTCTTTGCCTGCCAAGATTGTTGTGAGGTTTAAATACAATAATCAATGTCATAGTGGCAGACACAGTAAGTGTTTGGCTCTATATGTTTGTTTCTTTCCCCTTAGCCTGAGATAAAAATTAACATGTGTTTATCTGGAAAGCCACCCATCATTCTTTCCTTACAACTCCTCCCTGGCAGCACAGAAAAGAGGACTATTAATTAGCAGTGTTTGTGAAACACTTAGAAGATGAAAGTGCTGAGTGCAGAACAGCACCATTTACATCACAATACATGAGTTGGCTGCTCCTTCAAGTGGATCCACTTACAATGTAAGGCAGGCCTAATGGATGTGTTCGTGTCATTCAAAAATCAATGTGGGAGTCTCTGGAAAAGGCATGTGTCTGCCTGCTGTGCTATAGCCAGTCCAATGCAGTAGGAGGGCAATCCTGAAGAGGCAATTGATGGATAATGCTCTAACACAGTGATCCCTAACCTTTATGGCACCAAGGACCAGTTTTGTGGAAGGCAGTTTTTCCACGGACCAGAAGAGGGGGATGGTTTTGGATGATTCAAGCGCATTACACTTATTGTGCACTTTATTTCTATTATTATTACATTGTATTAATAGTATATAATGAAATAATTATACAACTCACCATAATATAGAATCAGTAGGAGCTCTGAGCTTGTTTCCCTGCAACCAGATGGTCCCATCTGGGGGTGATGGAGACAGGGACAGATCATCAGGCATTAGATTCTCATAAGGAACACCCAAACTAGATCCCTCACATTTGCAGTTCACAATAAGGTTTGTGCTCCTTTGAGAATCTAATGTTGTCGCTGATCTGACAGGAGACGGAGCTCAGGCAGCAATGCAAGAGATGGGAGCGGCTGTAAATACAGGTGAAGCTTTACTTGCTCACCTGCCGCTCACCTCCAGCTGTGTGGCCCTGTTCCTAACAGGCCATGGATTGGTACCAGTCCATGGCCTAGGGATTGGGGACCACTGCTCTAATAGCCATGGTAATGAGAAACCAGAAAGGAGGTCAAAACTTTATCTAATTGAAACCTACAAACAGCCCTAAATTCCCTTTAGCAACAACAAGGGTATCTGGTGGATTTTGGTTTCACATTGTCTTCTTTCCCTGGCAGATCTTAGAAGAAGAAAATCAATTCTACATAAATGGCAAAAGCAGTGTTCCCCAAGCTGGGGCTGACAGACCCCTGAGAAAAAAGCATTACGTGCTAGTGGAGGAGCTGGAAGTTGTGGATCTCCAACACTGATTTCCAATATTTGGTTCTCCTCTGCTCCTGATCACATGCGAAAATTACACTTTCCCATGTTGTTTCAGCAAAACATCATCCATCACTGTAAATTAATGTTGTTAATATTGAACTTACTGATTTTGTGGTTTTGATGGTTTTTACTTTGTGAATTATTTTTATTAAAACAAGCATATATAAAAGCATATGAATCGAATCTTAAATTTTAGCTTTGTGCAAATTTTAATATAATTCCAAATAATTTACAAATAATTTAAGAAACACCACAGCCTTTTAAAGGTTTAAAATTTTTTTTCTTAATTCTAAATTCTTAATTTGGAAATATATTACTCAAATTTGAGGATCACTGAACTGTGAGAATAGGAAAAGGGAGGAAAAGTCTTAGTAATCGACAAATTGGGTCATCATTCCTTGAATACTCAAGACTTGGCTGCATGTTGATTCCTGTATTCTGTAGTTCTGCACCAATAGAAGAAATCTCCATGTATTATTCTGGTATTTCACTTTTACCTCTGAATTATGTTCATATCCACAAATCCCAGCCAAGGGCCTATAGAATAATTGTCCCCACATGTAACATTTTCCTGGTGATGTTTTCCTTTCCTTGGTCCTATGAAATATAGAAATGTGTTTCTAATTATTAGCAGAACCACCTGGTAACTGCACTGTATCATCTCAATAATATGACTCATTTAGTATACACTTTGGTAGAACTCAGTCATGTTTGACGCCATCCAAGAAAAATTAGTTATGACAATAACCTCACATAACACAGGCTCACCTGTAACCAAGGTGATCATATTTTGTTAGCCAATAATAAGAAATTATGACTTGACAAGTATAAATATAGCTGAAATTGGAGTTGTCCTAGAAAATCCAGGACATACAGATTTCTATGGCATAAGGCACAAAAACCGCCTATGAAGCGATGCTGTGGTGTCTTCATTTTCTTATTTTTAAGAACTTAAAGCAACTGGTTCTTCTATCCATTGTCCTTATACCTGTATGTGTGGGCGGAGGCCCAAGAATCTATCACTTCATGGAATTCACTGAGTGTGCAGGAGGTGAGCAAAGAAATTAACTAGCTCTTCTGGGAAACTTACCTCTGCCTTTGCAGGGAAACTGAATAGAAATGTCTTCCTGTATAATAAGGTTTTTACAAAACTGACCCCTTCTTTAGACTCGGCAGGGTTGGCTTGTTGATGAGGGAAGAGGTTGTCCAGACGCCTAAGGAAACGCTTATGTGTCAGGCTAAATTTTTCTTCTATGTTGAATCATGGCCCAAGGCCCCCCAAGTTTGTGAGCCTGTGCTAATTTGCATGGATAGCTTCCCTACTCTTTCTTAATTCTTTGTTTTTGTTTTTACTGTTTTAAGTAGGAATGTCAGAGAGTGGAAGAAGAGATCAAATGAAGAGAGGGCATGGCATAGATTTGATCTTCCAACAGAGAACAGAAGAAAGGTTTCCTAGTATGGCAGTCCATTCTGGCATGGAACTGAGTACCATGGAAAGGTCAGTTAAGGAATTCTGAGAGGCCTTGGGCACAGGAAGGAACAGTCAAAGAGAAATCAGAAGT
This sequence comes from Homo sapiens, assembly GCF_000001405.40. Classification (NCBI taxonomy): domain Eukaryota; kingdom Metazoa; phylum Chordata; class Mammalia; order Primates; family Hominidae; genus Homo; species Homo sapiens. The sequence goes on along the minus strand of NC_000008.11, from coordinate 25,832,735 downwards.
AGCACCAAAATTCTAACCTGTAGGACATATTTTGATGTTGGGAGTGGTTGGGGGCTATAGGTTCATTAGAACACAGAAGACAAGATTGATGGCATCCACCCATGAGAAATGACAGCAGAAAGTGGAACTGCACCTTGTTGTTCATCAGAGCGGCAGAGGAGAAGGCGCCTGTGGCACAGGCAGCAGCTGGAGGAGGTGGGAAGGAGCTAAGAAGATGCAAAGCCTCAGGCAAAGTTCTCCAGGTCCCTCACAGAAGCACCAGGTTGCTTCTGCCTGTTGGAGGACTGTGTTGGCAAGAGAAAGACAAGAGGGATAGGCCTGGGAAGGATGCTTTCCCCAGCATGTTCCAACCTGGTTTTCCAAAAACCAATGACTCCAACAATGGTAACAAGGAAAACGACATAAACTACTTGAGTACTAACAGCCAAGCCAGATTGGCACACAAAACCAACATAGAGTACACAATTTAATAGTTGTAGTCTACTTAACTAAAGTTGTGCCACCACTATCCCAACCTAACTTTAGAACAGCTCCATCACCCCAAGGCCTTAAATGCTTTTTCCCTTGGATCTATCTTTCCATGTTTCTTTAAGAAGTGCCCTTTTTTAGCATCCTGTCTCAAGCATGGGTAGAAATGCCAGGTGAGCCTGCCTGTTTGTGCCAACCTCCATGCAGTAGAGACCTCCACAAGGTATCCTTTCCCACAGCAAGGCTTAGTCATGTGCATCGATGCTGTATGGGGCTCTTTTAAGCACATAGGGTAGCTTATGTCTGAAGCAGGCAGCTGGGCTGCAATGGAAGGACTTAGAATCAGAAGGGCTACTTTCAAATCTCAGTTGAACTCTTGATTGTGTCAGCTCTTGGCCTCTCTGAGACTCCATTCCTTATTCTGCAAAAATGGGTCAACTCTTCCTTATCTCGTGAGGTTAAAAATAAAATGGGGTGACTCTTGTGAACACAAGTAACACAGAGAAGGGATCAACACACATCAGTAGAATTCAATATTCTTGACTGTAAATGAAGAAATCAAAGTTTGTTAAAAAGTGATTGTTTTTCAATTCTACCACACAGATAAGTAATAAATAATCAGTAGACAATTATGGAAAAGTCTTACTAAAATGAGATTACGGTGGGGGCAGGGCCAAGATGGCCGACCAGAAGCAGCTACGTTCGGAGGCTCCCAGTGAAAAAAAAAAAACATAATAAGTGTGTGAATCCTTCACCAGCAACCAAGGTATCCATGTTTTCTCATCAAAATTGACTACGGGGCTCTCTCAACAAAAAAATTGACCACGGAGAGAAGGAACAACAGTGTGCTGCAGTGGCACACCTGAGAGCCACACGGGCAAGGGGAACCTCCTCCCCCAGCCAAGGGAGGTGGTAAGTGTGCTACCCTGCCAGGGAGACTATGCTTTTGCCATGGAACTGTGCAACCCATGGATCAGAAGATCCCATTCGCGAATCCACGCCACCAGGGTCTAGCGTCCCAACCACAGAATGCACAGATGCTTACAGCCTCTCAGCTTGAATCTGCTTAAGCCTAATGGAAATCCCTGGGGGAAGGGCGACCAGCATCAGCTATGGCTGCCTGCTGTCTAAGCCGGTTGAGCTCCTTGGGGGAGGGACAGCAGCCAGCACTATGACTCACAACTGCCTAACATGCTAAGCTCCCTGGGTGGGGGGAAGGGCGGCACCCATTTCTATAGCTCCAAGCTATGCTTTTCCCCTGCTGGAGCCAGGGAGACTGGACAGCTTGGCCCCAAGACTTGTCCCCACAGCCCAACACACCGGCTGTGGCAGTCAGCGGCCAGAGTGCCTCTTCAGACCTAACGCTGACCCATCTTTCCTCATTGGGTGGGGCTTCCTTGCAGGATTTCCAGTAACTCCAGCCAGAGGATCAGGGACAGAATTTGGATCTCCCTGGGCATGAGCCCCTAGTGGGAGAGGTGGCCACAGTCTCTGCGGACTAGCAGACTTAACCTCTCCTCCTGGTAGTTCTGAGGAATGCAGGCAACCTGGATGAGTGGGTTTCCCCACAGTGAAGCACACTCTCTCCACCAAGAAACAAAGTGCTTCATTAAATGGGTCCTGCTCCCCATGCCACCCAACTGGGTGAGACCCTCCAACAGGGGTTGTCAAACACCCTATATAGGAGAGATCCTACTGGCATCACGTTGGTGCCCCTCGAGGTCAGACGTCCCAGAAGAAAGAGCAAGCACCCATTTTTGCTCTTCTCCAGCCTCTGTGAATGACATCTCCAGGCATGGGAATGAATTGGGTAAATAGGGCCTAAAGTGAACCCCCAGCAAACTGCAGCAGCCTTACAGAAGAGGGACCTGACTACTGAAAGAAAAACAAACCAACAGAAGGCAACAACAAAAAAAAGGCCCCCACAAAAACCACATCCAAAGGTCAGCGGACTCAAAGACCAAAACTAGACAAACTCACGAAGATGAGAAAGAATCAACGAAAAACTGCTGAAAACCCAAAAGGCCAGAGTGCCTCTTTTCCTCCAAATGATCGAAACGTCTCTCCATCAAGGGTACAGAACTGGACAGAGGATCAGATGGATGAATTGACGGAAGTAGGCTTCAGAAGATGGGTAGTAACTACAATGAGCTAAAGGAGCATGTTCTAACCCAATGCAAAGAAGCTAAGAACCTTGATAAAAGGTTAGAGGAATTGCTAACTAAAATAACCAGTTTAGAAAGGAACATAAACAACCTGATGGAACTGAAAAACACAGCGCTAGAACTTTGTGAAGTATACACAAGTATCAACAGCCGAATTGACCAAGCAGAAGAAAGGATATCAGAGTTTGAAGACCACCTTACTGAAATAAGACATGCAGACAAGAATAGAGAAAAAAGAATGAAAAGGAATGAACAAAGCCTCCAAGAAATATGGGACTTCATAAAAAGACCGAACCTACAATTGATTTGAGTACGAGAAGGAGGTAGAGAGAATGGAAACAAGCTGGAAAACACACTGCAGGATATTATCCAGGAGAACTTCCCCAACCTAGCAAGACAGGCCAACATGCAAGTTCAGGGAATACAGAGAGCACCATTAAGATACTCCACGAGAAGATCAACCCCAAGATACATAATCATCAGGTTCTCCAAGGTTGAAATGAAGGAAAAACTCTTAAGGGCAGCCAGAGAGAAAGGCCAGGTCTCCTACAAAGGGAAGCCCATCAGACTAACAGCAGACCTCTCAGCAGAAACTCTACAAGCCAGAAGAGATTGGGGACCAATATTCAACTCAAGAATTTTCAACCCAGAATTTCATATCCAGCCAAACTAAGCTTCATATGCAAAGGAGAAATAAAATCCTTTCCAGACAAGCAAATACTGAGATATTTCATTACCAGTCCTGCCCTGCAAGAGCTCCTGAAGGAAGCACTAAATATGGAAAGGAAAAACTGGTACCAGCCACTGCAAAAACAGACCAAAATATAAAGACCAATGACATTATGAAGAAACTACATCAGCTAGTGTGCAAAATAACCAAATAGTATCATGAAGACAGGATCAAATTCACACATAACAATACTAACCTTAAATGTAAATAAATGTAAATAGGCTAAATGCCCCAATTAAAAGACACAGACTGGCAAATTGGATAAGGAACACCCATTGGTGTGCTGTATTCCAGAGACCCATATTATATGCAGAGACACACAGAGGCTCAAAATAAAGGAATGGAGAAAAATTTATCAAGCAAATGGAGAGCAAAAAAAAAGCAGGGGTTGCATCCTAGTCTCTAACAAAACAGACTACAAACCAGAAAAAAGGGCATTACATAATGGTAAAGGGAACAATTCAACAAGAAGAGCTATTATAAATATATATGCACCTAATACAGGAGTGCCCAGATTTGTAAAGAAAGTTCTTAGAGACCTACAAAGAGACTTAGACTCCCACACAATAATAGTGGGAGACTTTAACACCTCACTGTCAATATTAGACAGATCAATGAGACAGAAAATTAACAAGGATATTCAGGACTTGAACTCCGCTCTGGACCAAGGCAGACCTAATAGACATCTACAGAACTCTCTACCCCAAATCAACAGAATATACATTCTTCTCAGTGCCACATGGCACTTATTATAAAATCAACCGCATAATTGGAAGTAATACACTCCTCAACAAATGAAAAAGTACTGAAATCATAACAAACAGTCTCTTAGACCATAGTGCAATCAAATTAGAACTCAGGATTAAGAAACTCACTCAAAAGCACACAACTTCATGGAAATTGAACAACCTGCTCCTGAATGACTCCTGGGTAAAGAATGAAATTAAGGCTTAAATCAAGAAGTTCTTTGAAACCAATGAGAACGAAGAGACAATGTACCAGAATCTCTGGGACACAGCTAAAGTAGTGTTAAGAGGGAAATTTACGGCACTAAATTTCCACAGCGGAAAGCTAGAAAGATCTCAAATCAACACTCTAACATCACAATTAAAAGAGCTAGAGAGACAAGAGCAAACTAATCCAAAAGCTAGAAGACACGAAATAACTAAGATCAGAGAAAAATTGAAGGCGATGGAGACATTAAAAACACTCCAAAAAATCTACAAATCCAGGAGCTTAAAAAATTAGCAAAATAGGTAGACTGCTAGCTAGACTAATAAAGAAGAAGGAGAGAAAATCAAATAGACGCGACACCATAAACAATAATAAGGGGGATTATCACCACTGACAAAAATACAAACTACCATCAGAGAATACTATAAACACCTCTATGCAAATAAAGTGGAAAATCTAGAAGAAATGAATAAATTTCTGGATGCATACACCCTACCAAGACTACACCAGGAAGAAGTTGAATCCCTAAATAGACCAATAACAAGTTCTGAAATTGACAAAATAATTAATAGCCTACCAACCAAAAAAAGCCCAGGACCAGACAGATTCACAGCTGAATTCTACCAGAAATACAAAGAGGGGCTGGTACCATTCTTTCTGAAACTATTCCAAACAATTGAAAAGGAAGGACTCCTCCCTAACTCATTTCATGCAGCCAGAATCATCCTGATACCCAAACTGGGAAGAGACACAACAAAAAAAGAAAACTTCAGGCCAGTATCTCTGATGAACATCAATGCGAAAATCCTCAATAAAATACTGGCAAATCGAATCCAGCAGCACATCAAAAAACTTATCCAGCAAGATCAATTCGGCTGCATCCCTGGGATGCAAGGCTGGTTCAACATATGCAAATCAATAAACATAATCCATCACATAAACAGAACCAAAGACAAAAACCACATGATTATCTCAATAGAGGCAGAAAAGGCCTTTGACAAAAATTCAACATCCCTTCATGTTAAAAACTCTCAATAAACTAGGTATTGATGGAACATATCTCAAAATAATAAGAGCTTTTTATGACAAAACCACAGCCAATATCATATTGAATGGGCAAGAGCTGGAAGCATTCCCTTTGAAAACCAGTACAAGACAAAGATGCCCTCTCTCACCACTCCTATTCAACACAGTATTGGAAGTTCTGGCCAGGGCAATCAGGCAAGAGAAAGAAATAAAGTGTATTCAAATAGGAAGACAGGAAGTCAAGTTGTCTCTGATTGCAAATGACATGATTTTATATTTAGAAAACCCCATCATCTCAACCCAAAAACTCCTTAAACTGATAAGCAACTTCAGCAAAGTCTCAGGATACAAAATCAATGTGCAAAAATCACAAGCATTCCTTTATATCAACAATAAGCAAGCAGAGAGCCAAATCATGAATGAACTCCCATTCATAATTGCTACAAAGAGAATAAAATACTTAGGAATACAGCTAACAAGGGATGTGAAGGACCCCTTCAAGGAGAACTACAAACCACTGCTCAAGGAAATAAGAGAGGACACAAACAAATGGAAAAACATTCCATCCTCATGGATAGGAAGAATCAATATCATGAAAACGACCATACTGCCCAAAGTGTTTTATAGATTCAATGCTATTCCCATCAAACAAACTATTCTAATTCTTCACAGAATTAGAATAAAAAACTATTTTAAATTTCAAATGGAATCAAAGAAGGCCCTGTGTAGCCAAGACAATCCTAAGCAAAAAGAACAAAGCTGGAGGCATCATGCCACCTGACTTCAAACTATACTACAAGGCTACAGTAACCAAAACAGCATGGTACTGGTACTAAAACAGACATATAGGCCAGTGGAGCAGAACGGAGACCTCAGAAATAAGGCCACATATCTACAACCATCTGATCTTTGACAAACCTGACAAAAACAAGCAATGGGGAAAGGATTTCCTATTCAGTAAATGGTGCTGGGAAAACTGGCTAGCCATATGCAGAAAACTGAGACTGGACCCCTTTCCTTACACCTTATACAAAAATTAACTCAAGATGGATTAAAGACTTAACTATAAAATCCAAAGCCATAAAAACCCTTGAAGAAAACATAGGCAATACCATTCAGGACATAGGCATGGGCAAAAACTTCATGACAAAAACACCAAAAGCAACTGCAACAAAAGCCAAAATTGACAAATGGGATCTAATTAAACAAAAGAGCTTCTGCACTGCTTAAAAGGAACTATCATCAGAGTGAACAGGCAACCTACAGAATGGGAGAAAATTTTTGCAATCTACCCATCTGACAAAGGTCTAATATCCAGAATTTATAAGGGACTTAAACATATTTACAAGAAAAAAAACAATTCCATCAAAAAGTTGTCAAAGGATAGGAATACTACTAAAAAGAAGACATTTACACAGCCAACAAATATATGAAAAAAAGCTCAACATCACTGACCAGAGAAATGCAAATCAAAACCACCATGAGATACCATCTCATGCCAGTAAGAATGGTGATTATTAAAAAGTCATGAATCAATAGATGCTGGTGAGGCTGTGGAGAAATAGGAACGCTTTACACTGGTGGTGGGAATGTAAACTATTTCAACCATTGTGGAAGACAGTATGGTGATTCCTCAAGGATCTAGAACCAGAAATACCATTTGATCCAGCAATCCCATTACTGGGTATATACCCAAAGGAATATAAATCATTCTACCATAAAGACACATGCACATGTATGTTTATTGCGGCATTATTTACAATAGCAAAGACATGGAACCAACACAAATGCCCATCAATGATAGACTGGATAAAGAAAATGTGGTACATATACACCATGGAATACTATGCAGCCATTAAAAATGAGATCATGTCCTTTGCAGGGACATGGATGAAGCTGGAAGCCATCATCCTCAGTAAACTAACACAAGAACAGAAAACGAAACACCACATGTTCTCACTCATAAGTGGGAATTGAACATTGAGACTACATGGACGCAGAGAAGGGAGCAACACACACCTGGGCCTGTTGGGGGATGGGGGCGAGGGGAGGGAACTTAGAGTATGGGTCAATAGGTACAGCAAACCACCATGGCACATGTATACCTATATAACAAACCTGCACATTCTGCACATGTATCCCATTTTGTTAGAGGAAATAAAGGAAAAAAATGAGATTAGAAGAGCTGAAGAATTAGACTAGAGGTGTCTAGTTCCTTTTGTACTGATGACCTTAATGGTAAAAAAGAAACACAGAAAGATAAATCCAAAGGAAAAAGTGTTTAAGGCTTCAGGGTGATGGGACTGTTCTAAAATTAGATTGCGATGATGGTGGCACAATTTTAAATAAAAAGATTACCCTTAATAATCTGGGTGGGCCTCACCCAATCAGTTAAAGGTCTTCGGAGCAAAATCTGAGGTCTCCAAGAAAAGAAATTCTATCTCAAGACTGTAACATCTCCTCCTGCCTGAGTTTTCAGCCTGCTGGCCTGCCCTACAAATTTCAGACCCCACAATTTTGTGAGCTAATTCCTTTACAAAACTGAATATTTTCTTCCCTCTCTCTCTCTCTCTCCCCCCACACACACAAACACACAATTCATTATGTTTCTCTGGAGAGTCCTTACAAATATATATATTTAAAACAAGTGAATTTTATTGTATGTAAATTACATATCAATTTTTTAAACACTAGATACTATATGATTCTATTTATATAAAATTCTAGAAACTGCAAACTGATCTATAATGGGCTTGGGGAAACTTTTGAGGGTGAAGAATATATTCCCGATCTTGATTATGGTGATGGTTTCATGGGTGTTTACATAAGCCCAAACTTACCAACGTGTACACTTTACATAGGTGCAGATTATTATAGTTGATTCTACCTTAATAAGTGTTATCTTCAACAGACACAGAAAGACAAAGCCAAAGGGGAAACTGTCTGAGCCTCAGTACAGATGTGGCCTATGTTGCCTCCATGGTTCCTCTTCCTCCTGCCCCCACCCTGGTGTCCTTAGGCTGCCCAAAGATCGGCAGATGGAAAGGAACACCCTGCCCCCAGTGGACACAGGCCCACCCTCGAGGACTCTGGGGGCATCCTGTTCCTCCTCTACTTCAGGTGAAGATGCCGGCAAGAAACTGTTTCCTGGACACACAGTGAGCCCGTGCATCACTGGAGACAAAGTCGGAAAACAGTGAAAGTCCAGTCTTCTATCAGCAGAAAGAACACTGATAGAGACAGTGTTGTGGTGTCCTTGCTTGCGAGCACCCGGGAATCAATTTATCTTGGAACCAATATTTTGTCCTAAAGGAGTGGGACACAGAGCATCTGTCCTCTCCCTATAGCACAAGCACAGCTGGTCAGAGAACACAAGCTTCCAGTGTCAACCAACATGTAAAACTATAGGGTCAAGAGTCAACAGAAAGAGCTGTTTCCCTCTGAGAGACCGGTAAGCAGAAAGAATTTCTTAGCACAGGGATGCCAACCATGCTTCTCTAAGAACTCAGGCAGGAAGCTTCTGCTCACACAGAACCTTGAGCAAGTCTGTCCATCAGCAAAGGCTTGGGAAAAGCACCCAGGTATGTCCCAGGATAGATAAGGAGGACAACACAGACGCACAGCGGAGAAGAGGTGAGTGTACAAAAAAGCTGTGGTCCAGGTGAGCATGAAGACCAGCTTGTTATGTGCACTTGCTAAGAGTCTTGGGGAAGAGGAAGTGTGATGTCATGTCAGGAGCCACCACAAGGATTTATTCAGGGCCATGGACCAAGAGTCTGCTCCACTGAGTGGCTTCAGCCATTCTTAGCTATACTTTTCTCATCTATATAATGTTTGGGAGTATAAGACCACTCAAGATGTTTCTATAGCTACCACAGAATTATTTCAGACAAGGTTCTGGTGCCCAGAGTTAGCCAAGAAGAGAGGCTGGCCAGGTTCCCAGGGCCAACCTGGCACTCTGTGGGCAGGTCATGGTCTTGTACCCTGATTCCTTCCATCAGAGCTGGCAGCAATGTTAATGGCACTCCAAGAATTCACAAACCTGGGGATTACTGGAGCTTCCAGGTTACCTGGAGATGACGGTTTTTTTGAGGCTAAAACTACAGAAATTTATTTTCTCATAGTTCCGGTGCCTGGAAGTTCAAGATCAAGGTGTCAGTAGAGTTAGTTTCTTCTGAGGCCTCTCTCCTTGACTTGCAGACAGCCGCCGCTTCACTCTATCCTCACGTGGTCTTCCCTCGTGCCATCTCAGTCCTACCTGGGGATGATTTAAGTTCCTGGCTACAGAGGAGGGTGTTGAGTTTGTGTGTGTAAAAGAGATAGTGCCAGATGTAGGAAACAGAGAACCCTAGGACTGTGGGGCTGAGAGGTGACAGAAACACAAAATTCACCTTAAGAAAAAAAAAAAAAAAAGCTGAGATTCACATTCAAGTGACTTAGTTCATGGGCTTTTTGACCATGGAACAATGGCTTGGTTTTTCTGAGCTCATTCTATCATCTGTAAAATGGGCCTAAGGAACTAGCTCATGGCATTGCTGTAAGACTGAAATAATAATGTCACAGTGCCTGTGAACATGCTTTATTTTTTAATTTGTACAAATGTATGGGGTACAAGGGCAATTTTGTTGCGTGCATAGATTTTGTAGTGATCAAGACAGGGCTTTTGGGGTATCTATCACCAGAATAATGTACATTGTACCCACTAATCAATTTCTCATCATTCTGCCCCCTTCATCCCCTCACCCTTCTCTGTCTCCGTTATCTTATCATACCACTCTCTACAGCCATATGAATGCACTTCATAAGCGGCAAGGCCAGCACACAAGTGCGCAGATGAGTGGACGGCTCGACATTGCTTGGAGAGCCTCACTATGCATGGAAGAGGCAGGTTTATCAACACTCGGCTACAACATGGCCCCTCCTGGGGAACAGGCATGAGCCAGGGGCTGTGGGAGCTGGAAGGACAGACTCAGCCCTGCCTAGGAAGGGCTGAGAAATTAACAGTCGCAGCACTGAGTACACTACTGCTGTTCATGAAAACCATGGGCCTGTGCATTTTAATTCATAAAAAGACAATAGGATTCAGATTTTATAATTTTCTATTTTAAAAAAAGAAATCAGTAAGTGCAAGGAGCCTCCCACACTTAGCCTCTAATGCTCCTACCAAGCCCGTAATCGGCTGTTGCTATCCACATTTTACCAGCAACTGAGGCTGAGACAAATTAGGGTTGTCGGCAGAAGTCCCAGAGCCGGGTGGTGACACAGCCAGAATCTAGCCCTGCCACCAATGCTCTTGTTTCCCACTGTAATTTTAAAATAACATAAGCAAGATGTTATAGTTTTTGAATTTAAACATCTTTTAAAATAAGATTATTGTTTTTCTGTGCTAGATTCAAACTGAGCTTTGGAAATGAAGAATTGAGAGAACTTGGAAAGGTTTGGGAAGGACATGGCCAAAATGAGCAACAGCTTGGGGGAGAAAAAAGACACCTTTTCCTGCTGGAGGAAAAATGGAAGAAATTATTCACTGGATGGCACGTTCCAACGAGGCCAGGGGCTGCATCTTCCATCCTCCCTCAGTGGCCTCCTCCTCTTTCTTTCTGCTCCCCAGCTGGGAACACAGTGTATTCTTCTCAGTCTGTTGCTCATTTTAGTCTGAAAAGGAAAAAGCCAAGGGAGTGGAACCAATGACAACCTCCAAGAATCCTGCATGAGGAATCAGAGGAAAGTGGAGATGAAAAGAGGTTTCACGCTCCACAATATCAGAACAAGAAGAAAAATTCTAGAATGCACTTGAAAAATAACTGTCTTTGTCTGAAACAGGTGTGAGACACTTGAACATGCTACCAAAAATGCGAAGCCTCTTTCTTTGGAGACCTCAAAAAGAAGGCTCAGGCTCCAACATTTTGAAAGGGTAGATTGCACCCCTATAGTCCCGGGGCGACATCTCAATGTAACTGAAAAGCCAGTGACGCCTGTGACTTTGCTGATGTCAAAAGGCTAATTCCAACATGACTTCACGAGCTAAAACGGCTTCTCCATCCATGGCAAGTTTTGCGAGCACCCCGAGGATTCCAGCGACGTGGTTAAGCCGCCGGGAAGACCACGAAGAGCTTTTCCAATATCATCCGAGGCTTTGTGGGAGAGCGAATGTCGAGCCCGTAATAGATGCTTTCTGATCCTCCTCACACTGCATCTGGCTCTCCTAAGTATTGGTCCTATTACGTTTTTAAAAATAGCTCAGAAGTAATTTGAGTGCTGAACTGGCTACAGGATAAAAAAACCCCACCTGAATACATTCTAACTTCTTCCTATCAGCCAGAGACCAAGAACCACAGTCGCAGTTTCCTCGGAGCTAATTTTCAGCATTAGGGTTTATCAGAACCTAAATTCTGTTCTAATAAACGATGGAACAGCAGCCACTCTTTCAGCCACTTATTTGGGCAACCAGGGAATTGGCAGACGAGTTAAAAATTTTCATTGGTGACAACACACAGCTGTTGAGGTGCAAAGATCTGAGACTCTAATCAGACCAGGTTATATACGTAGCACTGTCTCATTATCTCTGCTTGTGGGATAGGGTTCACAGGCAGCTGGGGCTGTACGGGGGTGTCAACAGAATAGCTAATGGCAAGTTGACACACAGAGATATCAACTTGCAAGAGACAAAGTGGGTAACCCTATGCCCCCATCCAACCTTGAAGAAGAACACAGAGTAGGAGTAGCCCCTGCCTACAACTCTCCTTGCGTAAGGCAATAGCCATAATAAACGTGACCCCTTTTTTGGATTTATGAAAAATGGTTAAAAATGACACACCCAGGGCCTCCTGTTGGCCTCCATTTCAATGTCCTCTCAGGAACTTCATATTCTTCCCAACATTTTGAGAAAAGTTGTGATGTTGTCAATAAAGCAAGAAACGCACAGAGTGAGAATTATCTTGAGTGCCCAGCGCAGAACAGGAAGTCAAGAAGTGGGAGCTATTCACACTATGACTACACTGCAGTGAGCAGTGTCATTTTAAATTCTCATTTGCAAAGGAGATGACGGTTATCTTAGAACTAATACAAGTAACAACAAGAATTGACCAAACTAAGGAATGATAAGCAATTTACAAAGTATTTTTACATCCATTATCTGCTTAACCTTTAAATACAGCTGCGTATGATGGGAGTAGTGGTGGGGCTTATTATTCAGACTTTAAAGATGAGCGTTACTGGGGGCTCTATAGAGTAAACAAACTAATATGCTTGTTCTTGCCCAAGTTCAGAACCTACCACAGGGTAGAACAGGAGTCAGGCAAATGAAGAGGAAAATGCTGACTTTATTACTAATACACGTTATTGGGGAGCATGGCTGAGGTATGCCATGAGCCTGTTAACATTCCCTACCCAACCCACTCCCCACAGGCACACACGACACACACTAGTGTAGACCCTGGGGTGGCCGTCCAAGTGAAAGTTTGGGACCACAGCAGATGCATTAACTAAAACTAGAAGACAGGAGGGATGAGAGCAAATCCCTCATGCTGACAGTCTTTTGATGGATGAACTCTACCCAACAGATCACATATGCCAAAGGCTACAACTCCCTCCTTCTCATGGGGATGTGAGGGATAGGGGCCAGGGCGCCAGGAGTGTTACTCATGAAGGCATACGGAAAGGATAAAAAGTGATTTCTCTTAAAGCATCCCAGTTCTTTGTTCTCCTAGCCAACTGGGTTTAACCATTAAGCTTATGGTCACCCAAGGTTGTGGCTATTTTCTCTGGGGGAGCTCTCTGTCCTAACAGTGCCACTCCCATCTTTCTGAGGCCAGTCCCCTCACACTAGCCACAGTTCCTTTGGAGAATCCTTCTGGGATTGAAGGTGGACAGTTGAGAAATGACTCTCAGAAGACTCTGGATGGATCCAAAGAGCATATTAATTTAACTAACGTAAGGGCAAATTCACTTCCTAGTCTTTTTCTCACTCCCTGCCGCCAAAATGTTCAGCTACATTGTCTAATATAATGTTTTTTGGAGGTTCTGCAATGTAATTAAATAACAATATAAAATACTCAATAATTGAATTCCGGCAACACAGAGGAGACCAAATTTGAATACAAACTCCCTTTCATCTGGAAATTCCAAGTGAGATCTTGAAGTCCAAAAATCAAATCTTCTTCTAAGGAAAGTCCAAAGTTTAGGTTCCAAAGAATTAAAGCCCAAAGTTAAATTTCCTTAATGTACAATTAAAATTCCAAAGAACGTCAAGTCCAACACAAATTTTTATTTTTTTTCCCATGACTTGATATGCAAAAAAGTGTTCAAAATTTCATTTCATTTCCAATTTTTTTTTTTTTTTGAGATGCAGTCTCACTCTGTTGGCTGAAGTGCGATGGCGTGATCTTGGCTCACTACAACCTCTGCCTCCCGAGTTCAAGCAATTCTTGTGCCTCAGCCTCCTGAGTAGCTGGGATTACAGGTGCCCGCCACCACGCCTGGGTAATTTTTGTATTTTTAATAGACAGGGTTTCACCATGTTGGCCAGGCAGGTCTTAAACTCCTGACCCCAAGTGATCCATCCACCTAGGCCTCCAAAAGTGCTGGGATTACAGGTGTGAGCCACCATGCCCAGCCCAATTTCCAGTTCTGATGAGTCTCTACCAGAGGGCCTGGGTCTGATGTCTGTAGCAGCCCCAGCCTGGGCTGCCTTCTGTGGGAATGGGTGTGGCTCCTTCATGACCTCTCATGAGCCACATTTTTTAAAGAGTTCAAAGAGTTAATAGGACACATCAGATTATTATAGCCTCAGTCTCATATTCCACATAATTCAGAACCACAAGTAATCCCCAGCCATCAGAACAGGTTTTTGAGCAGACTGTTTTTTCAGAATCCAGTAATGAGTATTGTCAGAGGGCCTGCAATATTTGAAGGAAGGAGAAAGATCTATGGGGTAAGCCACAATTTGGGTCCTGATATCTAAAATTTCGGTCAGTGCTGACATATTTAACAAACTGAGAACCAAATTTGGGATGAATTCTTGAATGTGCCAACAAGCCATGTGAATCCAACCACATTTTTCACCCTTCCAGACAAGATGCAAAGCAACAGGAAGGGGAACAGCACCAGGATACCTGAGCCCACCCTGCCAGCCCAAGGCAGGCATGACACCTCTACGCTCTGTAGATCATGCGCTGTCTATGCCATTTACACTCTTGGCATGCAGTCCTGGCTAAGATCCACATTGCTGCAAGCACACTTCTGCTTACTGATGCTTAAAGACAACAATGCCGCACTGTGCCTGGTTAGTTCCAGGCAAAGCTTATGGTAGCCATCATGAAGTGGGTTTAACTAAGACCCCAACAGCCTGTTTGCTCACTGTAGCAGTTAGAGTTTGCTAAAGTCCACGTTTGTTTAAAACTGCCTAAAAACAGCCATTTTTTTTTCTCATGAACAAAGCTGCCGTGAGTGGGGTGACCACATCAATGCATTGCTTAAAACTAGGAGACTTTGGAGAGTGAAAAGGGAAGAGATGAATAAATATGATGTGACAAAAAGCATTAACTGTCCTGGGCAAATTGTGCTGCCTGGTTGGTAGACCCATAAGCTGCAGGTGACACAAGGTGAAAGTCCTATTTCTCCATGGAAGCCCCTTAATGTGGGAGACATGAAGAATGGGTAGTAGGGGTCTTCCCCAAAGGAAACTGGGGCTACCAGAGTCAAATGACTTGCCTGGAATTATCACATTTATAAGCGATGCCACCAGTGATGGAACTCCAGTCTTCTGCTTCCAAAGCCATGGTTCTTTCAATATATCCCAAGCACATATTATCCCCTTTGGATTCTTCTTCCAACTCCCCACCAGCCATTTCTGCTACAATTTGAACACCTTTCTTCCCCTTATTTATCTTTGGCTTTTGAAAAATAATGTGTATTTTTCTACTACATAACTAATAAATGTTCACTGTAGAAAATTTGGAAATTGTAGAAAAGCATAAAGAAAAAAAAAATTGGAATCTTACCATTAAGAAATAAGTCTTGTTAACTTTTTGAGATAGAGTCTTGCTCTGTTGCCCAGGCTGGAGTGTAGGTGTGCAATCTTGGCTCACTGCAGCCTACGCCTCCCAGGTTCAAGTGATTCTCCTGCCTCAGCCTCCTGAGTAGCTGGGATCACAGGTGCCCACCACCATGCCCAGCTAATTTTTGTATTTTTAGTAGAGACGAAGTTTTGCCATGTTGGTCAGGTTGGTCTCGAACTCCTGACTTCAAGTGATCCTCCTACCTGGGCCTCCCAAAGTGCTCGGATTACAGGCATGAGCCACCGCACCTGGCCATTGTTAATATTTTAATGTCTATTCTGCAGATATTTGTGTGTGTGTGTCTATATGTGCATGTATTTTGTATATAACGCACCTCCCTTTTCTTCCTCTCCCTCCTTCAAGCAAATAATAGGTAGTGTCTCATTGCCTCAGGGATGAAATAATACCAGGCAAAAAGCAGAAAATAAGGAGAGTTTGGTTTCCAAAAATTCAAACTAATCAAAGATATTGTCTTTGTCATCTGAGGCAAATAACAATTTTTCTCTTCTTTCCAATATTTATACTTCATGTTTCTTTTTGTTGACTTATTGTTGACTAAGAGTGCCAGGAAAATATTAAAAAGTAGTAATAATGATGGCAAGCTCATATGGTGAGGTCTGATTTTAATGTCCAGGTTTCCCCATTGAACATGATATTGGCCAATTTGACATAAATATTCTTAATCTGGTTAAGGAAGTCTTCTATTCTTTGTGGCTAGCAGGTATCTTTTTAAATTTTTTTATTAAAAGTCAGGAATGATATTGAAACTTGCCAAATGTATTTTGGCATCTAGTAAGAATCATGATTCATTCTCCTTTGATTTTATAGAGATGATGAATTATATCAATAGATTTTTTCACCATCAAGCTATTTTTACATTCCTGATTATGCTGTATTATTTGTTTAAATAAGCTGCTAGATATGATTTGCTAGTCAAAAGTAAGATTGGTTTATATTTTTCATTTTTCAAAGTACCAAGCTTGTGTTCTTGAGAGACCTGCAGAATCATAAGATAAATTGGAATAATTTTGTTATTTTCAAGCTTACATAACAGGAGAGAATTATTTTTCTTGAAAAAAATGTAAAGCTTGCTCAGAAAAACTTCTGGGCTAGGAGCCCTTTTGGAGATAATTTACTGACAGCTGTTTCCTTTTTACCCATTTTTATTGAATAATTAAGAATTTTTATTTTATCCTGTGTCAATATTATCACTTTAAACTTTTCTGCATAAATTGAAATTTTAAAATTGAATAGCGTAGAATTATATATGGTCCGTATTGTTTTTGTCTTGTGGTCTAATTTATTAATATCATGCTTTTTTGTTAGGCTTTTAGTAATTTGGTACCAATTTATACTTCCCACTAGCAGTGTGTGAGTGGTCCCATTTCTTCACATCCTTGCCAGCATTTGGTCTTGTCACTATTTTTTAAATTTAGTCATTGTGATTGGTATGTAGTGATAGTCATTTTGGTTCTAATTTGCATTTCCCCAATTGCTAGTGAGGTTGAATATCTTTTCAGGTGCTTATTTGCCATCTTCAGTGAAATATCTCATGTTTTTAGCTCATTTTCTTTCTTTTTTCTTTGCTTTTTTTTTTTTTTTTTTTTGAGACGGAGTCTCTCTGTCGCCCAGGCTGGAGTGCAGTGGCGCGATCTCGGCTCACTGTAAGCTCCAACTCCCAGGTTCACGCCATTCTCCTGCCTCAGCCTCACTACAGGCACCTGCCACCACGCCCTGCTTTTTTTTTTTTTTTTTTTTTTTTGTATTTTTACTAAAGACGGGGTTTCACTGTGTTAGCCAGGATGGTCTCAATCCCCTGACCTCATGATCGGCCCGCCTCCACCCCCCAAAGTGCTGGGAATACAGGCGTGAGCCACCCGCGCCTGGCCTTAGCTCATTTTCTAATTGGAGTTTTGGGTTTATTTATTTTATTTTCTTTTTACTTTTGAGTTTTGAGAGTTCTGTATGTATTCAAAATAGTAGTTCTTTGTTGGATATGTGGTTTGCAATATTTCTTTCCAGTGGGTAGCTTGTCTTTTCATCCTTTTAACAGGATCTTTAGCAGAACAAATTTTTAAATTTTAATAAGGTCAATTTATCCATTTTCCCTTTTACAGATTATACTTTTGGTATCAAGAACCCTTCGCCTAACCCTAGATCCTGAAGATTTTCTCCTAAGTTTTCTTCTGAAACTTGTAAAGTTTTATGTTTTGTCTTTAAATCTGTGATCCATTTTGAGTTAATTTTTATGAAAGCATGAGGTTTAGGACTAGGGTCATTTTTTTTCTATATATATCTATTTGAAATGTCTTTGGAAGAGGTGACATTTCAAATTTTGGTAAAGTCTCATTTGTCAATCTTTTAAATTTTATGAATAGTACTTTATGCATCCTAAGAAATATTTTTGTACCACAATGTTTAAAATTTTTTATTAAAAGTCAGGAATGATATTGAAAATTATCAAATGTATCCTAGTTATCAAATGTATCCAATGCTGTAATGATTTTT
Source organism: Homo sapiens (assembly GCF_000001405.40). Classification (NCBI taxonomy): domain Eukaryota; kingdom Metazoa; phylum Chordata; class Mammalia; order Primates; family Hominidae; genus Homo; species Homo sapiens. The sequence goes on along the minus strand of NC_000008.11, from coordinate 25,814,826 downwards.
TCATTTTATTCTGGAACTTTTGAAGTTTTAGATTTTATGTTTAAATTATGATTTCAAGTGACTTTCTTTTGGATTCAAATATGGATGGAACTACTCCTCCTTCCCTTCGTCCTCCTTTTTTCTTATAAAGATATTCATTATTCCAGCACAGCTTATTAAAAAGAATATTCTTTTCTCATTGAGTTACCTTGGCACATTTTTCAAAACCAATTGAGAATATATTTGGTGTGGGCCTATTTCTTTTTTCTTTTCTTTCAATTATCTATATATGTACCTTCATGACAATACCACACTGGTCTTAGCTTTATAGTAAGTCTTGAAATCAGTCTTCCAACTTTGTCCTTTTTCAAAATTGTTTTGGCTACTTTAAAACTTTGCATTTATATACACATTTTAGAATTAACTCATCAATTCTATCAAAACACCTTCTGAGATTTGGATTGTGTTGAATCTATAGAATAATTTGAGAAAATGAGCATTTTGATAAACATTGTATATCCCTAACTTATTTAAATACTTTAAAAACTTTCTCAGTAATGTTTTGCAGTTTTCAGAAACTCTTAATTACATGATCATTTGATGGTGTCCTACAAGTCACTTAGTTCTGTCCACTTTTTTCAGTTTTTTCTATGTTTCAGTTTGAAGAGTTTCTATTGCTCTGTCTTCAAGGTCACTGATACTTTCTTGTACTGTGTATATAATATGATACTGAGGCTCAGTTAATGTTTTCATTTCAGATCACACATTTTCAAGTTCTAAAATTGATCATTTTAACATCTTCCTTTCCCTATTTGTTCATGATTTCCTCTAAATCCTTCAACATATTTAGAATAGCGGTTTTAAAGTTGTTTTTTTTTTGCAAATCTCATTATCTCTATAATGTGTGATCTCTTTCTGCTGACTGATCTTTCTCCTGGTTATCGATCATATAGTCCTGCTTCTGTGTATGTCTAGTAATTTTCTACTGGATCCTGGATACCTTGAATATAACATTGCCAAGTGTTTGAATTTTGTTGTCTTTCTTTAGAGTATTGGTTTTTGTTTTGAAAGACAGTTAAATGACTTGCTGATTAGTGTAATCCTTTGTGGATTTCCTTAAGCTCTGTAAGGGAAAATCTAGAATAGTCTTGATTCTAGAGTATATTTAGTCCTATCACTAAGATGTGACCTTTATGGGATCTCTACTGAATGTTCAGGTGTTCAATGCCTCTCTACTTTGGATGGCTAGAACTTGAATCTCTCTCAAGGTCTTTGTGAGCTCTGCCAATTGTTCATTTTTACGGCTCTCCGGTAGTAGATTTTGTGTGGCCTCGTGGACTTGCACCCTATATATGTGTGGCTTAATATTCAGCATCAGACTCAAAAAAGCCCTGATACAGATTTCTGGATATATCTCTCTGTGTCTCTGTCTCCGTCTGTCACTACCTCTCTTTCTCCAGCTTATGTCCAATAGTCTCTCACAACTCTTAGCCACCTTAGACCATCTAAACATCAGTCTGTTTCCTCAACTCATCAACTTGCTATGTTCTGCTTGGATTCCTCCATCCTGCACTAAAAAGTGCCTCTAGACAGAAAGCCACAGCAATTGTGGGCTTGCCACTTTTGTTTCCTTTCTCTCATTGTGATAGTCCTTCTGTGCTTGTTTCTAATGTCTAAAAAAGAGATATTTCATATATTTTTGTCTAGTTTTCTTGTTGTTAAAGGAGGAAGAACTAGCCTGGTACCAGTCATTCCATCTTGGCTGAAACTTTTTACAGCTTTTAATTTTGATTTTCAATTTGCGGTTGTTTGTGTGTATGTATGTGTTTCTTCTTATTCTTATATACCACTCTTTTTATTTAATTTCAGACTAACCCTTTAGTAGGATTTTTTCTAAATTATTTATATATTGTTTCATTGAGACTGACTTTTTATGAAGTTTTGAGATTATAATGAAGATACCATGTAAAATTTGTTTTTATTTAGAAAATCCTTCTTTCAACATGACATGCTCTTTCAATGACTCTTGGGCTCTATGTCCTTAATCTCTGTGTTTGCAGAACATTTTTATAGACCCATGTAGTCATTTCCTGGTCACTCATCCATGAGCAGGAAGGAATCTCTCCCCTTCTAGTTTCTGCTGGCTTTGCTGGTTGTCACCATCCATCTGGATGCTAAGATATCCCTTTCCTGGGTATTAAGCGGAAAGGCTGGTCGACGATATTTTGCCATCTTTCATTTAGTGTCACTCTGTTCATCTGGGATTAGGTATCTTGGTTATCATACATGAAAGTGGAGACTATTTCTGCATAATGTAATGTATTTGTAGTTCTTACTTTGTAAGAAGTATAAAATACTGCGAGTCCCATAATACATTTTTTTTCCCTACAGATTGCTAAGGTTTAGCTTGATTTTTTTTATTGATTTTCAATTTTAAACGAATGGTTTTTTTCTTGAAGTAATATTTTAACATGATTAAAAATTCAAAATAGTCCAAAGGGTAAAATGAAAAATTTCCTCCTGACAACTGTCCATAGCCATCTAATTTCCTTCCTTGGAGGCAATCAATATTACCAATTTCTTGTGTTTTTTCCCAGAAGTAGTCTATATGTTACAAATTTTAATATATATTTTAATATATATTATATATTTTAATGTAAATATTTTATTTGGCCATTCCTCTACTTATTGACATTTAAGTTGTTTCTATTTTTCTACTATTAATATAATATTTAATAAATGTGTCATTTTGCACATATGAGTATATTTGTAGGATAAGTTCCCAGAAGTGGGTGAATGCATTTGTGCATTTGTAATTTTCAGGTCTTGCCAGATTACCTTCTATAAAGAGAATGTCCAACTGCTCTAATTTGCTGAAGACATTGTCTCAACATAGTTAATAATAACAACACCTTTTCTCTTAAAAGTGTCTGGTTTGGATAAAGTATATGGTTGCCCCTCTCTACAGAGGTTGTGCCAGTTTATACTCTCACCCTGAGCCTGGTTTTTAATACTCATTTATATGCTGACATCTCTCAAATTTCTATTTCTTCTTCTGAGGTTGAGACAGCTGCTGACTTGGATATTTCCCAGAAAGCTCAATTTAACATGTCCAACATAAAGTTTGGAATTCTCCCCCAAAACCTTCCAACCTGAGTTTTTTGCATCAACAAATTACAATGCTGTACACCCATCTGTTCAAGCCAGAAAGCAGGGCTCCTCTACTTTCCTCCACTTTCTTCACTAGCCAAGTAACCATAGTAAGCCCTTGTCCTCCTCAGCCTTAGTCTTCTCACCGGCAAAACTGGAACAGTATTACCTGCCTCATGGTGGGTTCATGGAGATTAAAGGAGGTAACAGAGGTGAAAGCAACCCCTTTCATTTTCTGGCATATATAAGGAATCAAAAATATTAGTTCTTTCTCCTTTTGATCTTCAAAATACTGCCCCCTGTGGATCCATGATCTTTTATACCACATGATTGGAATACATGTGATTTTGGGGAATGAGTTGTACTAAATGCCTTTGATGAGGCCCTTTGCAGAAAACAGAGTTTATTTCTGTAACATCTACACTGTAGACTTTCTTCAAAGCCCCCAAAGCCAGCCCGAATACTGAAGAATAAACTACACACTTGTTTGAAGTGAAATTATCTGTAATGCTATCAAAAGTCAGAACGGTGACCATCATATCTTAGTTACTTCTTTTCAAACATCTTCCTGGTCAAACAGTGCTGTATTGAGTCACTTTTCAAAATGACTTACTCATCTCTAACCTTTAATTTTAGGAGTCTTGGGAATTATTGAATAATAGGATTTTAGCTTTTTGTTTTGTGCATGTATCTTTTAAGAACATCAACTTTGGAACAGGACTGCTGCAATGTACTGGGAAGAGCATCTGGTCTTGGAGCCATGATACTAGGGTTGAAATAATAATTAGAACTCTTCTGAGCAGGATGACTGTATTAGTCTGTTTTTACACTGCTGATAAAGACATACCTGAGACCCGGCAATTTATACAGGACAAAGATTTAATGGACTTGCAGTTCCACGTGGCTGGGGAGGCTTCACAATCATGGCATAAGGCAACGGGGAGCAAAGTCATCTCTTAAATGGATGGTGGCAGGCAAAGAAAGAGCTTGTGCAGGGGAACTCCTTTTAGTAAAACCATCAAATATCATGAGACTTATTCACTGTCACAAGAACAGCATGGGAAAGACCTGACCCCATGATTTAATCACCTGCTACCAGGTCTCTCCCACAACACGTGGGAATTCAAGATGATATTTGGGTGGGGACAGAACCAAACCATATCAGTGACTTTAAGTAAAAAGTGTGAGTCTGTGAGATTTGGTGTCCTCATTCTTTGTTAGACGCTATTGTGAATATTATCTCATTTTATCCCTATAAAGTTGTTTGGAAGATGAGTTTCCATGAAAAAATTAAAAAGGTGTGTGAAAATACCAAGCACCTATCAGGATTTATTCCAAGAGTCATCAAACCTCTGATTCATATGAGCAAAAAAAATTGTAGTTGTCAACCATGATATTTCTGTATGAGAAATACAAAAGCTGAAATTGAAACTCAGTAAAGACTGTCCAGGACAAAAGGTGACCTGTTCTCGGAGCTTTTCCATGGAACTAAAAGGAACGAATATTCTTTCCTAGTACAGTTGAGAAAAGTAAGGTCTCATGAGTTCACTGACCAGCCCTGGGTTACAGAGCTTATTGGTAGTAGAGTCTAGACTGGAATTCATTGAAACTCTGGATGCAAATCCTGTGTGCTTCTTCGAGAAGGCCTCTTGCTCACAGAAATTATCTTGACTCACAAACTATAAGCAATCTCTCCACTGCACCTCCTGATATCTCCCAGCTCCCATGCTAGAATTTTAGGTAAAAGTTGATCCAAAACAGAAAGTGTTGAAAGTGTTGAAAAGGGGAGGAAGCAGTGAAAACGGTGTTGCCATTTATGAAATCTGTCTCAGGGGCCTGGTGGAAGCTACTTCGGAACAGATCAAGAAGTGAAATGCCAGGGCAGAAATCCACACGCTTCTTTCTCTCCCCTAAAAGAAGAGCAGGCTGGGAGCAGTGGCTCACCCCTGTAATCACAGCACTTTGGGAGGCCAAGGCAGGCAGGTCACTTTGAGGTCAGGAGTTTGAGACTAGGCTGGCCAACAAAGTGAAACCCCATCTCTACTAAAAATACAAAAAAAAATTTAGCTGAGCATAGTGGCGTGTGCCTGTAAATCTCAGCTACTTGGGAGGCTGAGGAGGGAAGATCTCTTGAGCCCAGGAAGTGGAGGTTGCAGTGAGCCAAGATCATCCACTGCACTCCAGCCTGGACAACAGAGTGAGACCCTGTCTTAATCAATGAATAAAAATAAAAATAAATATAAAAATAAAATAAAGAAGAGCAGACCTGAAGGCAACAGTAGACTGTCTACTGGGCCATCTTATTATCTTACTTTCAGCTCATGGCTTATTCCTAAAACCAGTGGAAATGGAGAATGTGTGGACAGGGAGAATCAAAAGAGCTGCTGCTGATGCAACCCCATTCCCTATCCCCAACCCCTTCCCCTCACTGTGGCCAACAGGCTGCTCCATCTTCCTCCATCAGGTGATGAGGAAACCGTGAGCCGGCTCCTTGGGATGACTCCTTGGAATAGGCATCTGCAGCCAGCCCACCCTTCAGGATGGAGCCACCCACTGGAAAGGGCTGAATGACAAAAGCAAGAGAGAGAGCAACAGAGGACAGAGAAGTGACAAGGGTCAAAGGCACTGTGGGCAGTCCTTGTACTTCTCCCTTTCCACTGAAATCCTAAACAAAATCCCCCAGTGGCCATCCTCAGGATGCCATGGTAATGCTCAGACCACTCTGGCTTTAGTCCTTGCATTTATATAACATGGAAAATTGATTGTCCTCTCATTTCCCTCCCCTGCCCAGGTGGGACCCTCAAAGGAACAGGGATGCCCTGAGTTCTCTGAGTACTTCCCGTTGCACATGGATAAGAAATACAGAGGTGAGTACCTCTCAAAAAATTCGAAAATGTGGCCTAACACAGGTTTATTGATTGATTGATTGAGATGGAGCCTCTCTCTGTTGCCCAGGCTGGAGTGCAATGGCATAATCTCGGCTCACTGCAACCTCTGCCTCCCAGGTTGAAGCTATCTTCATGCCTCAGTCTCCCGAATAGCTGGGATTACAGGCATGCGCCACCATGCCCGGCTAATTTTTGTATTTTTGTGGTAGAGATGGGGTTTCACTATGTTAGCCAGGCTGGTCTCGAACTCATGACCTCAAGGGATCCACCCACCTCAGCCTCCCAAAATGCCGGGATTACAGGCATGAGACACCGCCCCCGCCCTGACACAGGTTTTTATTCTCATGAACATATTTGGAGAAAAGTCTTGCAGAGGCTTAATAATTGCAGGAGACTTAGTTAGGAATTTAACAAATCACCTTTGCAGTGAAGACTAGAACTATGTGAAATCTGCACCATCCTGGAAAATGTAGGCCATATGGTCACCGTAGGTATAGGTGACAGGCTACACAAGAAAGCACTTTATAGATTTGCCAATCTGCCACCTAATTTTAATCAAACACTTGGGTGATATTGAAGGGGAAAGGCTTTCCCATGTAATGGTAATCATAACAACATGCAATATCTTGGATAGCTCTCTAAAAATTTCAAAGTGCTTTTGCATAAATTATCTCATTTGATCCAATCCATATGTGTAACAACAATCACACATACCGAGGCAGAAATGTCAGGACTGATAAAGTTCAAATTCTCCCACATCCAACGCACCGCCCCAGCCAGGCCCTGTTTTCCTCACATACGTGCTTTCAGTAAACAGAGGAAGCTGACCCAGGGCTATGGGGAGGGGAGAGGTCAGGAGGACCTCTCACACTCTCCCACCGTCTGGGGAGCTTCTCCAGTTTCAGGTCACCAGGCCGGGGTCCCAGGGACCAGCATCTGCTGCTCTGTCTCCTCACTTTACCCCATCCCCTCCATTCTAGCAAGCAGTAGGCCAGTGGCCAGGGCACCATGATGGTATACAGGGGCCTGGTGCTGTTTCTTGAAGGTTGGAACTAAACCAGGGCAGCGTCTCTGAGGCCATGAGGCTGGCTCAGCTAGGGAAGAAGAAATAACCCATAAACCTGAACCAGTGAGGGCCAGGGACAGGGAGCCAGGGGCTGCTGGAGAGGAATGCAATCAGCTTCAAGTTTGTGGAGCTATTTCATACAGAAAGTAAGGTGAGCGATTAGAAAGATGCAGGGAAATTAAGTGGGCATGAGGCTTTGAACAAGTTTAGGGAATGAGGGAGACATTCTAATGTAGTCCAGCTGAGGAGGGCAGGATGGGTTGACCCCTTAATGGGCACAGGGCTTGTGGGATACAACAGAGTCCCCAGCTGGTTAGGTGTGCAGGTAGATGTGGAATTCTGGTGTTTATTCACCAGGCTGATGGATTTAGAAGTTACCAGAGCTGAAAGGACTTTAGAAATATTTTGTTTACTGCTTCCCATGGCCTCTAACACCATGTCTATACACACAGTATCTAAACTCACACCTCTAACCAAGATTTCTCTTCTGATCACCATGTCTATGTGTCGACATTTGACTCATCACTTGAAGTTTCCAGGACAATTCCAATTTCACATGCTGATAAGGAATTCTTAGTTCCTCCACCCTCACCTATGCCTCTTTTCGTTTTTTGTTGTTTTTTTTTTTCTTTTTGAGACAGAGTCTCGGTCTGTTGCCCAGGCTGGAGTGCAGTGGCACCATCTTGGCTCACTGCAAGATCCGCCTCCTGGGTTCACGTCATTCTCCTGCCTCAGCCTCCCGAGTAGCCGGGACTACAGGCGCCCGCCACAGTGCCCGGCTACTTTTTTGTATTTTCAGTAGAGACGGGGTTTCACCGTGTTAGCCAGGATGGTCTTGATCTCCTGACCTCGTGATCCGCCTGCCTTGGCCTCCCAAAGTGCTGGGAGTACAGGCGTGAGCCACTGCACCCGGCCGATCCCCTTTCGTTTTTTAATTTCAGTAAATATTACCACATTAGTCCATTCTCACACTGCTATAAAGATACTCCCTGAGACTGAGTAATTTATAAAGGAAAGAAGTTTAATTGACTCACAGTTCTGCTTGGCTGGGGAGGCCTCAGGAAACTTACAATCATGGGAGAAGGTGAAGGGAAGCAAGGCACATCTTCCCATGGTGACAGGAGAGAGAGCACGTGCAGGGGAAACTGCCACTTATCAACCGTAAGGACTCCCTCACTATCACAAGAACAGCATGGGGGAAACCGCCCCCATGATCCAATCACCTCCCACCAGGTCCCTCCCTCAACACGTGGGGTTTGCAATTCGAGATGAGATTTGGGTGGGGACACAGAGCCAAACCATATCAATTACCTATGGAAATTGAAAGTTATCCTTGAAGCCTCCTTTTCCCTGCCTCCACAAAATTACTCATCATCAAGGTGTGTCAATTCGATCCCAATACATATCCCAAGTCTGTCCTTTCTCCATTTTCTTGGCCAGTCATCAAGACAAGCCGCTGTCATCCTCCCATCTAAGCTGATGGACCGCTGAGTTATCTTCCTTTTCCAATTCTCACCCCATCATACCTGTCTCCCACAGACTAGCTTGAGTTGCTTTTTTAAAGTGTAAATTGGATCATATCTCTTTCCCTCTCAAAATCTTCGAAGGCTTCGCATTGCACTTAGAATAAAATCTAAAATCCATATCATTCCAAAGTATGGAAAATCTGTTACTGCCCCACCTCTCCATCCTCATCCTATGTCATTTTCTGTCACTGCACAAACTCCAGCTAGACAGGCTTTTCATGTCTCAAACACTACAAGCTTTTTCTACCTCAAGCCCTTTGCATAAGTGGCTTCTTTTGCCCTAAAAATAATTTTCTCCACTCTTTGTCTGATTAACTCCAACTTATGCTCTACTTATCAGCAAAAATACCACTTCTTCACAGAGGCCTTCTCTAAACCTCATAACCTAAATTATACCCCTGTATCAGTTAGGGTTATTTGGCTGCAAGCACAGAACCAACTGGTTAACCCAAGAAGAAAGGAAATTAATTGGAACAATTTGAGGTCATGGAGAGATTCAAAGGGAAAGCTAAAAATAGGCTCAAGAGGACAGGAACTGAGATCCAGGGATCCAAATGACAAGAATTGACAGTCTGTCTGTAGCACTTTGATAGCAGTGAATCAGATCCAACTTTTTTGTGTCTTTGTGTTGTTCCAGTTAAGGTTACGGTCCAAGGAGAGAATCTAATTGGTCTTAATCATACCACATGCCCATGTCTGATGAGAGTGGGGTGAGGTGGAGAGGAACCTTAAATGACAGCCCCACAAAAACTACAGACAATGAAGGAGAGTCATTTCCCTAAGGCAATATGGGCAGTTTTAGCAGAAGGGGGAACGAGTGCTGGATGCAAAATTAGTGGGTTGTCCCATTGCATGCTCTCACTGTACTACCTACACTTCCCTTACAGCACGGGTCACCATTTATAATTATGCAGTACAGCCAGCACTGAGTAAATGCTCATTTCTCCTTTTCCTCTACATTTTCCAGCCTTTTATGCAGCAAAGAAGCAGCCCTGTGACCAATTTTAGCCATGGAATGTAGGAAAAATTATGTATGCCCCTTCTAGATCTAGTCTCTAAAGCCCCCACAAGATCCTTGACTGGCTCTTCTGTCCACACAGCTGGAAACTAAGGAGCTCAGAATAACAGAAAGATTCCACACCATGGATGGACCCTTGAGTCACCATTTGGAAAGAGCTGCCTAGGGTGTGAGCAAGAAATACAATTTTATTGTAGTGAACTCCAGATATTTCTGGGGTTGTGTTTTTACAGCAGCTAACAAGCATTTCCCTGACTGTTGCAGACATTTGAGTATTTGTTGCTTAATGTCTTTATCCTTCAAAAGATGATAAACTTCATGAAGTCATATTCCTAGCACCTGAGGTAGTTGCATTCAATAAATATTTGTTTGATAAGTAAATTTTCTTATCCAACTTTTCTCTGCTTTTATTTTTAATAGAGAAATAAAATGAGGCTGAGAGAGTTAAAGAGATTTTATCCACATTGTCTCTGCCTAGACGATGGGCTTACCACTGAGCAGGGAGTTCATAGGTAGGAAATCTTAGGCCATTTCTTCAAGTTCGTGTCACAAGATCCACTAGAACTTGTTTCTGCACATCATGGGGACATTAGGCATGTGACTGAAATCTAACAGCAGGTTACCTGTGACACTGCAATTGCTTCAGTCATTTCTTTGTCTTTAAAATGCCATATAATTGCTAATGTAATTAGTAATGTATACAGAGGAGGCTTGTGCAATTACTGAGTCCTAAGATCAAGTAATTAATGTTCTGTCAACAAAACAGCAACTGTTTCATTAACAACTGCTTGGATCTGGAAACGAGATAATCAGATGCAGACGGACCAACCTCAACATGATCAACTAAAATGTCAACCTCACAACAGTAAACACAATGTGACTTTCAGACTCTCTCCTCCTAGTTCAAACAAATACATAGTTGGATGGACAGACGGAGGATTGGTGGGTGGGTGGGTAGGTAGGTAGGTAGGTGGGTAGGTAGATAGATATGATAGATATGATAGAGATAGATGATAGAAATAGATATAGATAAGTTAGAGATTGATAGATGATGGATTTAGATTAGATATAAATTAGATGATAGAGATAGATTCATAGATGATAGAGATAGATAGAGATAATAGGTACAGACATAGAAAACAGATGACTGATTGATTGACAGAGATGACACAGGCAAAACTAAATTGCTTAGTTCTTTCTCTAACCTCAAAGACAATGACAGCCTCATGCTTAAATAACACAGGAAACTAAATTCTGAAAGTCAGGAAGCATACACGGATTCTAGCTAACAGGATGCCTCTATGTTTTCCTAAGATGACCTTATAAAGAGCATTTAATCTGACTGGGATGCAATCTTCTCATCTGGAAAACAAAGTGACAATCTGAACTTGTGCACTGCAGTGTGAAAAGTGAGGGTAAGACAGAAATAGCTAAGGTCAGGCCTCCTTGAGTATCTTTGCTTTTGCTGTGATAATGCTGTATAATAAGCACCCTCCCCTCATCCCTCCCTACCTGCTCACCCACTGAAAATCTCTCAATAGCAAACCTATATCCTTGCCCTTGAGTCTGTAGATCAGCCCTTCAGCAGCACTACTCCAGGCTAGGTCCAGCACTGTGTTGTGTCTTTCCATTTTAGGCCCTAGGAAGCTGGAGCCTGTTCTCATGGTGAAGGGAAGGAGCACAGCTCTGGTCAGGAGTGGTACTTTAACATCTGCTCCCATTTCATTGGCCAAGCATGTTACATTGCCACACTCATGGATGGTGTGGGGAAGAGCACTCCTTCCCTGGTGCCAGGAAGCAGAGGAGGGTGAATGTTTCAACAATAATGCCCCAATGGGCCAGGTACAGTGGCTCACACCTATAATCCCAGCACTTTGGGAAACCAAGGTGGGTGGATCACTTGAGGTCAGGAGTTCGAGATCAGCATGGCCAACATGGTGAAACCCCATCTCTATAAAAAATACTAAAATCCAGAGGAGCTTTTAAACACAGATCCTAAAACCCACATAATTCAAGAAATGCCTTTGGAAGCACCCCAACTGGAAGAAAGGTGAAGAGGTAGTTTGGTCTTCACAGTACACATTCTTTGGGCTGCCCAAAATCTGAAAACTATTCTTACCAGAAGGCAGAGAAGTTTGCAGGGGTTCCCTTTCCTTTCACTCATCCTTATAACTCTATGGAAGCCAAATTTGGTCCCATTTCACATCTTAGGGGAGGTTAGAGATTGTATGTGGTACAGGGAGGGCAAGGTCTGGGGTGAGGTTCACTATGGAGATGCCGGTGGCCACAGGCATGATGTCTGGGGATATGATTCTCATGAGACTGTTCCCATGGCACGTCTTTGGCTGTTTTTCACTTCCCTTATCTCCGTAAAGTCTGTGCTCCAGTTTTCCAATCAATTCCAGAAAACTCTTTCTGCCTTTAAAAAATTACAAAAATACAAAAATTAGCTGGACTTGGTGGTGGGTGCCTGTAGTCCCAGCTACTTGAGAGGCTGAGATAGGAGAGTTGCTTGAACCTGGGAAGTGGAGGTTGCAGTGAGCCGAGATCGCATCACTGCAGCCCAGCCTAGACAACAGTGAGACTCCATCTCAAAACATAAATAATAATGCCCCAATGAGTGAGAAATCACTTTCAGCTTTTCAGTTTGTATCATATGTCGTGAGCTCCCTGTTTTCAGAGAAAAGCGTCCAAATGGGCCAAAATCTTTTATTATTATTATGATTCCTTTTTAAAATTCTGCCATGGTTGCCTGGAAAAGATGGTGTGATATTTGGAACAACAGACAGAGCACTAAACTGGGAGTCAGGAGACCTCTGTCCTACTTCAGTTTTACCATTTGACCTTAAGCAAGTCACTTCACCACTCTGGGCCGCAGCTTCTTCACTATTAAAGTAGGAGGGCTTGAACGAGTGATGATCAAAGTGCATTGTAAACCATAAAATTCTAATCTATGGTAGATTACCTATTAGAGTCAATATTTAACAGTGTCTGTGGTATGATGTGATAGTCAACTAATACTTGTCTATTAGAGAACTCATCAGCGCAAAGGCAGCAGATGTCAAAGGAATCCTGCTCTACCGGAGAAACGTCTATTGGTACCTTTCAGGGTATCCCACCCACACCCAGCATCAGTGGAAGAATCATCGAGTCTCCTTCACTGCCATATAAATAGAGCCCTGCCTCACACGGTAGAGCTGCCTGTGCAAGAAGCAGCTCCACAGCAAATCAGCTCGGAGCACCTGCCTTGAGGCCTCTAATTCTGGAATCATATTTGAAACCTTTTTCTCTTTCCATGGGTGTCATCATGAAACAGAAAAGTTCCTCTGTCCCCCTCACAGGGCTCACAATGTGATGGGGATATGGATCACTTCTTCAGTGCCCTGCTGCTCAAAACCCCTAGGGAGAACAGGGGCATCACACTGCCCTTATACAAAATAAGCCGTCTCCTCACCCACATATCCTAGCACACTTTCACCCAACACAGGATGGTGCTTCAAGGTTTCTGTCTGTTTGGTGATAAAGTCATTCTGGTCATTCCTAACTTTCGAGTGTAGAGGCAGCTACAACTTACTGACATTGATAACTTGATAACTTGCTCATTATAAGTCCTTTTATGTGCTTTTCCTTACCAAAGACTTGGGATGAAAAACTATTAGGGCAGGATCAACGGCTATTGAATGTGTTTCCCCTGAGGCTCCGCATACACAATTGCATCCTCAGCCCTATTCAACACCGGGCAGGACACAAAATATAAAGGGCCAACTTCATTGGCTATTATCCAGTGAACAAGCATCTGTCCACAGTTCTAAGCACTATCCATCCTGACTTGCAACATGCAATCCAGCGAGGGATCAGATAAAAAACATTGTAATAACATACTTATATACAGCTTGTATTGCAGTATCCAGAGGCATGCCACGTGGGAGTGCAGAGGGAGAAACATTCATAGATCCTTGGCTGATCCTCACTAGATAATAAGCTTCATGCGAGCAGACACGCATATTCATGTTGTTGTTCACCATCTATCCCCTAATCCTGGGAAATAGGACGAATTCAACAAAGATGTGTTAAATAAATGCATGGATGAATATATTTTACAAATGAGGAAATGAAGGCCCAAGAAGGAAAGTGACTCGACTTGACCAACATCCCAGGGCTAGCTAGAGAAATCTGAACTGGGATCTCCAAACACCTAATCCAATGCATATCACAGTAGATCAACCACCAAACCTTCAGGAAAATTTTCCAAGAACCTTGGGCTCACTGCTTCATAACTAGGCTGGATAAACTTATAACAACATGCATCCTGGCATTGGACATGGCTGACTGTATAATTAGCTTATTTCGTACCCATATGGAGCAGCTCAGCTCCTGTGCCTCAGTGGGGAATTCCTCGTATGTTGCTAGGGTCGCCTTCTGGGATTACATCTTCAGGGGTGTGCAGGAGGAGGAGTCGGCTGTGCTGATAAATGAATCAGAGAGACAGGAGGAGAGCTGGCAGAGTCCCCCAGGTGAGATGGATGGGGGCTGGATTGTGCTCAGGGCTGCTCTCTTCCCTTGGCCTCTTCTCCCTCTGACCTGAGGTGGACCCAGTGGGAAAATAGTGCCTGCTTCTCCAGGACTTATTGCTTAGTCATAAATCTCCATCTCGGGGCTTTGTATGGGAAGCGGGGGGGTGGGGGGGGGTTGGGCATTGGAGAGGGGAGACCAGGTGAGGGAGGGAGACTGAGCAGAAGGAATATGGGAGGAGGAAAGAAAAAGAGACAAAGATATCTGATAAAAGTTGAAGGGTCAGCAAAACCTCTTTAACTCAGGTTTCATAAGTTGAGAAATATTTTATCACCCTTGCGAGTCAAACCTCTGAAAATCAATAGGGCTTGAGAGTTGCATATATTGATCTGAATGCCCGAGATGTATTGAAATATTCATGGCTGGATGTATGTGTTCAGAGAAGATGCTGGGGGTGGGGCCTGGTGCAGAGAGAGGGAGATGGGTAGGTAGATTTCTAAGTAAAAGCCAGTCTCCTTTTCATTAAAAATAGATTAATTCTATTAGTTGGACTAAAACCTTACACTTAAAAGGAAATGAGCTTGTTTGTCAGACAAATAAGCCACTGGCAAACCCAGGAAAAAAAAACATTTATTTATTGCTATTTAATAGCAGAAGAGCCAGGGAGAGTTGATAAAATTAGCACAGTATCCCCAAGCGGGGGAGCAAGGGCTGCTTTGTTTGCAAAGCCAATTTGGACACCGCAGCTTTGATCTTCACTTTGAGCATTTGAGCAGGCATGTTAGTATCACTCATTTCACAGGAGAATTGGGATTCAAGTTTCCCCAACAATCTAAAAAGCAGTACATTAGAAGGGGATTGTCTGCCTGTAGTCTCAGAGTCTCAATACCCTTGATACTAATTTGATGTGATGCATTTCACCAGATGTGTCTACCTGAACGATATCTGATGCCCAGGAGACTGTGGTCCTGCCTGAGAGTATTAGACTTGGATTTTTTTCCCCTTTTGAAAATGATTGGATGAAGGCATCCATAATTTAAAATCTGCATATAGATATGACATATGTTACAAATATTTGAGAAAATTCATGCAAGGAATTGAACAACAACAACATATGGAAAACCAGTTCCAAATAACAAGGCAGAATTAAAAATAATCTGTTACCTGTAACCACCCTCCTCTTACATTCCAGAGCAACTGACAGAGATGGTGAGAAACCTGTCTCTTGAAAAAAACTCAAGCCCAACAAGGCATCCCTCTGTGGAGCAAGCCTGTGGGAGTCTGAAGAGAACGTCAGGTTGGTTTACATTCCAACAGGGCTCATCATTTCCACATTATTCAGGTGTAAGAATGATCCTAAAGAAAAGGCAGCAGGCGTGGAATTGGATGGATGGGCGTATCAGTAAACCACAATGTAAGTTTGGGGAACCTAAGCCATTCTGAGCAGCTCCTGCCCACTTTATGGGTGGACAGCGAGTGCTAATGGCTCTCTGGGTTTAGTGAAATTCAATTAAATTGAAACATTTAAAAAATATCTACAATGTAGCCAGCCCTGGCTTGCACAGGCAGCTATTTCCAGAGGTGGTGGGGCTGGCTCAACCCTCTGATCCCTTCCCACTGTTTCTCCCCATTTTCCCCTCTCTGACTTTCACAACATCCATAGCTGCAGCAGACAAGAGAGAGATGCAGAGCGCCCTCTTCTCAGAGCTTCTGGGAGGGTCTTTTCTGATGGGAGAAATCAAAAGTCTGCCAGAGAGTCGAGGATGGCTGTAATTCTGCTGTTTCTTTCAGTGAACGCCGCCATCCATCACTGCTGCATCACCTTCATACGGTATTTACAGAGTGCTTTATAATCCCCTCCTCGTTACTCCTTCCAGAGCAGGTTAGCATTTTTATTGTTATTCCCATTTAATAGATGCAGGAAGAATAGCACAGAGACCCTTTCCCAGGGTCTCACAGGAAGAGCAGGGATTGAGTTCAGATCCCTAAATCCCTACTCGGTTGCTAAACTAATGCACGCTTCCCTCTCCACATCCCTGCCCCCGCTTCTACATGCAGAAGAACCAGGAGGGCTCTATGAAGCCCTATGACTGGAATACTTCCTCTTTTCCAAGCGAGATCCACTGTGTTTATTAGAGGCAGACAAGGTGTTCCAGAAACATTCTCACAGATAAATTTCCAAGGTATCAACGATCTGTCCCCAGGGGTTGGCAGTGCCACCTGGAGATAATAGCTTCTCTTACTGCCCTTCTCTTGCCTTCCCTTCTGGCTGCGGTTAAGGACCAGGATACCTTTGCCAGAAAGGATGGGGGTAGGGCTGAAAATGCTCTAAGTTCAACAAGTGGGTTTTGCATCTTTTCCATCACCTAACGAAAGCTTTGGAGATGGAGGAGTTTGAACAAAACCATGGTTTGGTCTAAACCTTTGCAACAGACTTCTAACTGTGGCCCCATCTTCCTTGCCTACAGGCTGCACTTCTTCCAATCTGTCATCCTTGTTCCTGTTTCAGTGGTTATTGGTCCTGTGATCCCATAGACATAGCCCTGCTCAACTTAAAATCTTTCACTGATCTCTCCTACTGCTAGTGGGGGATTTTAAATTTAGGAAACATACATAATGGGTACCAGAGGGTCTACAGCACTTCCTGAAGTTCAATGTAAAATGTAAAAATATATGTGTGTGCATCACTGTACATTTTTTTCCAGAGAAAAGGACCACAAATTCTACTCTACTCTATGTTCCAGAAAAGGTTAAGAATTACTTGTGTACTGCACAAAGCTTAAGCTTCTTATTGTGGCATTTGGGGCCCTCGTAACCCAGCCTCTCCTTGTTTGAGCTCATATCTCAGTCTCATGCTCCTTCTCTTCACTTCCTGGAGCAAACCATGAGCCTCCAGGCTGGCACACGAGCTTCTCCCTCCTCCTGCAATGCCCTCCCATCCTTCTGTTCCTCCTCTGGGAGGTGGTTCAAAGTCCCCTCCTGTGTCTCCCTCGAAGCCCCAGAGCATTCCTTGCTTCCCTCCTTGGCAGCTCTGGTCACGCCATGTTTTACTAGTTTATTTGACTATCTCCCTGTTCAACCATGAGATCCTGGAAGGTGGGGACTGTGTTTATTATTTTGTTTCGGAATCCCTAGTCCTTCATGTATTTCCCTAAATAGATATTCAGCACATATTTAAAAACCCATAATAACATAAGTGGTGTCCAAAAAATTCAGTCATGTACCATGGAGTCTCTCATTAGCCCAAGGTTAATGAAATGACAGGTAGACTCTGCCCATGTCACCTGGAGGCACTCCAGGAGGGGTCTGGCTATGCAGTCCACATCTTTTCTGGTCTGAGCTGTGGTTTGGTGCCACCTGATGGTTCATTCACTCTGGGCTTAAATGTAGATTGAGACAATTCTGCATCTGTAGACCCTGAAATTTCTAGAATAGAGGAAATGATTCCAAGAATCTCCCAATGAGTTGGTGTCTGTTTCATTGCCCCATATGGATAGTTTGGGCTGGGAGAACACTGGGTTCTAGGCATCCACCTTCCACCATCAATGTGCGGTTGCTTACTCTGTGACCTTCCCCAAGAAGGTAATACTTCAACCTTACTTGACACTATGAGCTTGGGACAGGACATGAGTGAATCACTCACGCTGTGAAAGCTAAATTTGTGTATGCTATAGAGGTATTTGCGGAAAGCATAAAAGATTTGAGGAAGCAGCTTAAAGTCTCGTTTTTCTCATTTTCCTAAGCCATATCTTTTTTTTTTTTTTTTTTTTTTTGAGACAGAGTCTCGCTCTGTTGCCCAGGCTGGAGTGCAGTGGCGCAATCTCGGTTCACTGCAAGCTCCGCCTCCCGGGTTCATGCCATTCTCCTGCCTCAGCCTCCCGAGCAGCTGGGACTACAGGCGCCTGCCACCACGCCCAGCTAATTTTTTTGTATTTTTTTTAGTAGAGACGGGGTTTCACTGTGTTAGCCAGGATGGTCTCAATCTCCTGACCTCATGATCCACCCACCTCTGCCTCCCAAAGTGCTGGGATTACAGGCGTGAGCCACCGTGCCCGGCCCATATCTTCTTAATGAGAACATACAGAGGCAGGGGAACAATCACATTAGTCCCTGACTCTGAGCATTCACACGCCCCTCCGTGATATCACTGGGACCTCAGCCTCGTGGGATACACATTCTCACAGACACCTGCCCAGAAACCAGGCTCATGCCTCACACATCATGTCTCATTCCTAAAACCTGAAGCCTCTGGTTTGAGGATTCCTAAAGCAAGGATGATCTAGGTGTGGGGAAATTATTTACCTACTCTATGTACTGCCCCAGGAATGTTGTATGCACTCATTCACTTAATCCACACAAAAAACCCCGTGAGTTAAATACTGTAATTCCTATTCAGTCGATGACAAAACAGAGGCTCAGAAACATTAAATAACGTGTCCTGTGTCAAGGGTCAATGGTCAAGATGTGCATGTAGACTGGTCTGGTTCCAAAGCCCATGTTCTTTCCACTGTAGAGACAGCACAGGATAGGGCTGGACAGCCTGGGCTCTGGAGTTAGGTTGTGTGGGTAGAATAGACTCCACCACCCACTAGTTATGTGACCTTGGGCATATTTCCTAACTGCTTGGTGACTCCATTTCCTGAGTAAAATGAGGGAAATATTAGTACCTACCTCAAAGTGTTATAGGAAGAAATAAGTGACATACTTGGAACACCCTATCAAGGCTTAGGATTGTATTGATACAATATTTTCTAAACAAAAATTTGGACAAATAGTCTGACAAATAAAAATACATTTAGGGCTTCAGCTAGGTGATAGCCTAGAATATTGGCCTCCATCATGACTCTAAAAATTATGACCACACCTCTAGTTTAGACACCAGTGATTGGCACTTTCCTTCCACTTGTGGCACATTTCATATATTCACTTTTTAAGCCACATAAAAGCATCAGGATAATAACTTGAAGATTTCTTCCCCCCCTACAATAACCTCCAAATCCCTTTCCTCATCAGTATGCTGGTAGGCACATCTATTTAATATGGATTCTTTCTCATTTCTCCTCCCAGTGCTTCTCCTCCACGCTCGGACTGATTATTCTGTGTTTTCATTAAGAACATTTTCCATTTGCCAGCCCAAAAAAACAACTCCTCAATGTGATGGCATCATTTCCTACAGAGAGAATCCCTCCCACTTGTGGCCAATCGCAAGGCCAGATTCAAACAAGAATTAACTTCCAACCTCTTTTCCTCAAACACAAATGGCAAGGTCAAAAGCTAACCCTAGAGACAGCCGCCTGCCCACTTCTGCATGTAAATTCCAAAGATCTTTATAGTGTCTAGCTGGAGAATTTCCCCTCTGTTTTTGTTTTATTCCTCTCATGCTCTAGTTCAATAAAAATAATTCTAGCAGCTGAATAAATGTCTCTTGGATGTCTTGCAAGGATGCCATTGGAGGCTGGGTCTGGGAAAGCATGGTGTGATGACTGGTTTTATTAGGATGTATTATTTTGGTATAGAGAGGTCTAAAACTTATCTAATAGACTTTTATTAAGTATCAACAATGAGCCATGGATTAGAATAGGGTGTGAGTAAGGCTAGGTCTATGCCTTTGAGAAGCTCAAATGGAGACATTCAGGGGTAAGTAGATATTTTCAATGACCTTGAAGAGCACTGCGTGAGATATAGAGACTGAAAGCTGTAGGAGACAAAAGAGAGCCACTCACCATGCCAGGAAAAGAAGAATGGTTTCACAAAAGAGGCAGTCTTTTTTGACAAGCTGATCTGGAAACACAAGCAGAAGTTTGCTGTAGTAGATGTAGGGCACACTGGTGGGGGCGGGGTAGGGAACAGAGCAAATGCAGGAACAGCGAAAGTCTAATTACACTAAGAATATAGAATAAACTATATTTATGTAAACAAGATGGTTGAGTTTTCTTTGGGAAGACTATGGAGTTCCAACACTGAGACATAATCGTAAAACAGAAGAAGATCATTTCTTTAAATGAGAGTAATGGACCAGATTAGTGTTGCTCCGGGGTAAGTTATAGACAGACTTTTAATGGGAAAATTTTTTGGCAGATCCATAATGTTGACTTAACACATTTTTATGTTTTGTACAAATATAAAACTGGGTATAACTTCTTATAAGTATCGAACAGCTATAAAGTCTTTTCACTAAGTGAATAGAAAATAGAAATGAAACTCAAAAGATAATAAAATGCATTAATTTAAAATAACAAATAATGTTGTTTGGCAGAAACTAAGCTGCTATTCCCAACATGAATAGAGCATTGAAGGCTATACCCCGATTACTTTCAGATTTGGTATGGCTACACATCTGTGTGTTATGCGATCACTAACTTCTCCATGACTCTTCTCTTTTAAAATTACTGCAAACTTTCAAACATGTAGCACACCTGATAATATTTAATCTTAACTTTACAAAATGTGTAATTTATCTATTAAACCTGATTCTTTCAGTCATCTGTTACAGGACATCATTTTCATGACATCGAAGTGTTTATTAATTTAAAAACTTTAGAAACAAACAGCATAGCCTATGAAAGTGTCTCTTAATGGAAAATTATCAATGGAAAGTAAGTCTGGCAAAGAATTTAGTGTGAGTACAAAGAGGACCAGGTTGGAAGCCATCATGGTGACATCAGGTCCTGTTAACCTACTCGCAGTCAGACAAGCCAAAGTACAAGTTCCCTTTGGGTGATCCCTTCGACCAACATAAACACAGTCCCAGAATCACATGGCCCCAGGTCCTCATTCAGAGGTCCTCAATATTATAATACAATACTCATCAACAAAATGAGAATATAGAATTTAAAATTTCACAAAGAACTTGTAGACTCTTAAGATTATGTTTGTAGACCCCAAGAGTTGACTGAACCCAGTTAAAGGAAAGCTGGACCAAATAATCTTTTTTTTATTATTATTATTATACTTTAAGTTTTAGGGTACATGTACACATTGTGCAGGTTAGTTACATATGTATACATGTGCCATGCTGGTGTGCTGCACCCACTAACTCGTCATCTAGCATTAGGTATATCTCCCAATGCTATCCCTCCCGCCTCCCCCAACCCCACAACAGTCCCCAGAGTGTGATGTTCCCCTTCCTGTGTCCATGTGTTCTCATTGTTCATTTCCCACCTATGAGTGAGAATATGCGGTGTTTGGTTTTTTGTTCTTGCGATAGTTTACTGAGAATGATGATTTCCAATTTCATCCATGTCCCTACAAAGGACACGAACTCATCATTTTTTATGGCTGCATAGTATTCCATGGTGTATATGTGCCACATTTTCTTAATCCAGTCTATCATTGTTGGACATTTGGGTTGGTTCCAAGTCTTTGCTATCGTGAATAATGCCGCAATAAACATACGTGTGCATGTGTCTTTATAGCAGCATGATTTATAGTCCTTTGGGTATATACCCAGTAATGAGATGGCTGGGTCAAATGGTATTTCCAGTTCTAGATCCCTGAGGAATCGCCACACTGACTTCCACAATGGTTGAACCCAACTCTGAAGTTCTCCCATTATTCCAAAGGTTGGAAATGAAAAAAACAAACCCAGACAACTGAGTCTTGATGAAAACCATCAGGTTATCCAAATTTGTCTCCTCTGCTCCCCTCCTCTCTTTCATGCCCATATCTTGCTCATTCCCCCAAAAGCCCAAAATTCTGTTCTCATAAAAATCTGCTCTTGCGAAAAAATAAGATCTTGGCCCCCCATTTCTGAGTGCAGATTTAATCATCATCACTTCTTCCAAAGATAATGCACATTAAGCTTGAGCTCTGGATTTAAGAGTTTCTTTTTTCCCTTTTATTTTTAAGCCCCCATGCAGGCATTTTGTATATAAAGAAATAAGTACAGGGGAAAAATGTTTGGTGGGGGAAAAAAGGGAGGCTCGGGGACATACCAGGGAGGTGGCAAGCCCTGGGGACATTTCAACCCTGAACATCTGGACCCTGAGTCACATGAGTGATGACAGCAAAAGTTGCACAATTATAAACTGGGCAGATTTGAAAATTGATCCTGAATCAGACAACCACTAATTTTCCTGGTCTCCTCTGGCAATCATTTTTTCAAACTGTTCAGGGCTTTAAAATATGAAAATAATGAACCTGTGGCAACTCCTCTCCCTTCCTCTCTTCACTCCATCAGTTTCCCACCCCCTCTTTGTAGAAATCTTCTTGTTGGCTATCTATATTCAAATTACACTTTTCAAGCTGTTTTCTCAATAAGTTCAAGAGGAGTTGATTTCCCCCCACAATTGCTGCTAAACTATAATTGCCTGCTATATCTTTTGCCCCCTTTTTGAATAAGTGGTGTTAGATTTGCCACTTTGGCTAATCCTCAGGAATCTGACCTGTCATTACACAAACTTCTAAAAATATCAGCTTGCACTTCACAGTTTCCGTTTTGGTTTTAAGTAATTCCTCTCCAATGTGTTTTATTTGAACCTGCTAACCTGCTTTGAAGAAAAAAAATTGCTAGCTGGCATTGCCTATCATCTGCTGTGTTCCTTCTCAAAAGGCTTCAAATGAGAATACTGGTCTCTGGGTAGGTGAATTTTTATGAGAAGAATGAAATAAAGGAAAAACTTATTGACACACACATTTCCCTTTGGTCTCCTACAGTCTCAGCAGAGAACACATTTCTTCTCTATCTTCTCTCAGCGAAGGCACTCTGAAGGGCCACAATAATAGAATCCAGCATTCAGCACCTATCAATCAAACACCTGCTAAGTGCCAAAAGCTGCATGAATTGTGGGTGATGAGAAAAGTTGTCTAATGAGGAGGCTAAGGGATATTCTTGGTTGTTTAGGGGTAGGTGGGAATGAAAGTGCTGAAAATAGGGATCTGAAATCATGCTGGGCAAGTAGAAGGACATCTCTTATGTGAAAATAACAGACTAATTTTGCTGTCCATAGTGGGGAGTAAGGCATGCCTTTTCCAATTGTGAATTTGCTTCTGTGAGAACAGGGTCATAACTGGAGGAGGAAGGCTACATGAGACAAAAGTTGGCCATCTCCCTTCTGCATATATACTACTCATGGTTCTCCATAGCCTTTTCCTGGTCACTACTATGATAGGGCAGGAAATGGGAATACCTCCATTCTGTCCTGAAGAAGCTCACTGAGGGACCCCCAGCCTAGACTCTGCTTCTTCAAGAGCACAATGAGGGCCAGGCTTCAGCCCTGTAAGACAAGTCCCCCTGTATATTAATACACTACACCTCTGCTGAGCTCCACATCTGCCAGAACTGGGCTCTAAATATGCATGTGGGACCCTCAGACCCCCTTGGCCTGGTTTAAGTTCACACTGTAGGCTCTGGGCTGCCTTGATGAGTGGGACCACTGTGCCTCTGTGACCCATGCCATGCCTGAAGACACTGCTACATCTCACCGAGTGTCCTCATTCAACATTCAGGGTCAGCCCTCAGAGCCCAGCCCTGGTGGCCAAAGTTCCCAACCTGTTGGCCTTGCCTTTGCTGCCTCCTTCTCCAGGTCCATCTTTTTCAGTGAACGTGCCCAGGTTTGGTTTTCCACATGATGGAAGGGGTCCAGTGCTTTTCTATTTTATGTTCAGTTCAATAAAGGGTTTCTGATGCACTCACTTTGGGAAGGGAAAAATGTTTCTAAATATCTCAACATGGACAAGGACTGAACAGCCTGAATATAAAAATATGGTGAATAATTGACATTACAACCAATTTTACAGAAATATGGATTATCAGAGAGTACTATAAACTGTTGTATACCAACAAAATGGATAATGTATCTTAAATGGACAAATTCCTAGAAACATCCAACCCAGAAAGACCGAATCATGAAGAAAAAAAAATATGAATAAACCTATAGCCAGGAAAGAGATTGAATCAGTAACCAAAAACCTCCCAAAAAAGAAAAGACCAGGACTAAATGGCTTCATTGATGAATTCTACTAGGCATTTAAAGAAGAATTAACACCAACCCTCCTCAAACTCTTCCAAAGAGGAGGAAACACTTTCAAACCCATTCCATGAACCCAATATTACACTGATACCAAAGCCAGACAAAGACCATCCAAAAAGAGGAAACAACAGAACAATATTCCTAAATATTGATGCAAAAATTCTCAACAAAATACGAGTGAACAGAATTCAACACTACATTAAAAGTATTATATACAATAAGCAAGTGAGATTTATTCCTAGAATGCAAGGATGGTTCAACACACAAAAATCAACCCATGTAATATACCACATTAACAAAATGAAGCAAAAAAAAAAGCCATGATTATCTCAATTGATGCAGACAAAGCATTTGATGAAATTCAATACCCTTTTATGATAAAAACACTCAACAACCAGAAATAGAGGAAAACTACTTCAACATAATAAAGATCATATATCAAAAGTCCACAGTTAACATTATACCCAATGGTGAAACCCTGTAAGTTTTCCTTCTAAGAATGGGAACAAGGCAAGTATGCTCATTTTTGCCACTTCAACTAAACATAATACTAGAAGCCCTAGTCCAAGCAATTAGGCAAGAAGATGAAATTAAAAACATCAAAATTGGAAAGAAATAAGTAAAATTATTTCTATTCTCAGACAAAGTGATCCTATACATAGAAAACAATAAGGATTCCATACTAAAACAAAACAACAATAAAATCTGTTAATAAATTCAGTAAAGTTGTAGAATTAAGTCAGCATCAGCCCACAAAACTCAGCGTGTTTCTATACACTAACAATGAACAATCTGGAAAGGAAATCAGGGAAACAATTCCATTTACAATATCATCAAAAATAGTAAAACACTTAGGAATAAATTGAACCAAGAAAGAGAAAGACTTGTTAAGTAGAAAGTATAAAACATTTGTGAAAAAATTAAAGGCACAAATAAATGGAAAGATACTGTGTGTTCATGAACTGCAAGACTTAATATTGTTAAGGCATCAATACTACCCAAAGAGAGCTATAGATTCAATGCAATCTCTATCAAAATTTCTGCATTATTTGCAGAAATAGAAAGATCCATTCTAAAGTTCATATAGAATCTCAAGAGATCCTGAATAGCCAAACAATCTTGAAAAAGAAGAACAAAGTTGGAAGTCTCATACTTCCTGATTTCGAATTTTATTATAAAGCTATAGAAATCAAAACAGTTTGGTACTGGCATAAAGACAAACATATAGAAAAAACGGAATAGAATAGACAGCTCAGAAATAAACCCTCCTATATCTGATCAAATGATTTTCAACAAGGTTGCCCAGACCACTTAATACAGGGAAATAACATTTTCAACAAATGGTGTTGGGAAAACTGGATACCCACATGCAAAAGAATGAAGTTGGAAACTTTGCCTTATGCCATATATAAAAATTAATTCAAATGGGTCAAAGACCTAAGTGTAAGAGCTAAAACTATAAAACTCTTAGAATAAAACAAAAGGAATAGTTTTATGACATTGGATTTGGCAATGACTTCTTGGATATGATATTAGAAGCAAAGGCCAATAAAAGAAAAAATAGATAAGTTGGACTACATCAAAATAAAAAACCTCTGTGCATCAAAGGATACAATCAACTGAGTGACTGAGAGAAATGGAATGGGAGAAAATATTTGCAAATCATGTCTGATAAGGGGTTTATATACAGAATACATACCCAACTCATAACCTCAACAATAAAGACAACAATAGCAAAAGCACAGTGAGATATCACCTCACACTCATCAAGATGGCCCTGATTAAAAAAAAAAAAAAACCAACAACAACAGAAAATAACATGTTGGTGGATAAACTGAAACCCTTGTGCACTGTTGGTGGGGATGTAAAATGACAAAGGAGTCCTGCTTCTTGCATCTCATCTGGGTGAGTGCTGTGCTGAGGGACCCATGAGTCTTCTCTGGAGCTGTCTGATTAGTGGATCATGGACTTTTCTTACTCAAGAGAGTTGTATCTGGGCTCCCTAAAGTTGAGGGCATATGAAAATATATGGAGTGCTGTCTGCTTTTTGTCCTGAGATTTTTAAGGCAGTAAGTTCTTGCGAGCCATCAGTGCATGAAGGCAATGTGGTGTTGTATGCCCAGGAAGAACATGGGGCAAATTCCTCCTCTTCCTAGTTTTCAGAGGGCCTTGGAGAGTGAGGAAGGGCACGGAGTGGTACCTGTGTCTCCAGGTGAAGAACATTCCCCACCCCCCAAAAAATGTTGCTGTTCACCAACACAGAGACCACAGTTTCAGCAGAAGCCCATCACAGGAGACAGAGTAGGGTGAGGTAAGGGACCCCACTCCATGTGGCTGAGGGCAGGCACTTCTGCTCCCTCCATCCTCCTCCCATCCTCAGCTTCAGACGAAATGTAACAAATGCATTTCTGGGACATTCAAACACAGTATTTGAGAGCATAATGCAGGGAAAAAATAGAATCATTTTTCTGTCTCTCCTTGGGGGGTTGAATTTACATAGTGCACCAGTTACCCTAAGATGCACAGGGTACTATGGGACTCATTGGAAGGTGACTTGGGGGCTTTGAGGGGATTGGATGGAAGGCATTGTAGGCAGATGGTGACTGAGCTCCAGGAGGACTTGGCTCAGGCCATCTGGATGGGTCTATCAAATGACCATTTTTGTTTCTGTTCATCTGAACCCTCTTTGTTCAGACCCTGATGCCTTGAGCTGGTGGGTTGGGAGCTGGACATATGGGTTGCACCCCTCATTCTCTCTGCATGGGACTTCTCTATACCCTGTGCTGAGGCATAAAGCTGATCATCCCCACCCCACGACCGTGGCTCCTTAGTCTTAAGCACTCTGCAGTAAGCAGAATTTTCCCCTCTCACAATTTCTCTCTGTTGGTTCCTTGCCATGTCCCAGAAACCAGGGTTACACAGGAGTCATAACCCCTCCATACCCTCTCCTCTCTTCCAGCCCAAGCTAATTTTCTTCACTATGTTCACGAATACACATAAATCTTAACTCTTGAACCAGTAAAAGGGGCTCTCTTAAAATGCTTGTGGATCCTTTTCAGCTCTTGGGACATGCACATATATAATAAAATATAGCGTCTTGTGATAATTGACCAAATTATTTATTGCAACTGGGGAGAGTGTGAGCTCATTTGAATGAGATCTCGAAGGATAGTAGTAGCAGTCATCATAGCAGTAGTAATAGTAATACTGATAGCTCTTCTTTATTGAGAGCTTAAATGTGGCAGTCATGGTGCTAAGTATTTTCAATATATCACCTCTTATTTCTCAGAACAATTCGCTCCCTAACAGACACACCTAGGCAAATGACTACCAGGTATTTGTTCACAACACTCACATATATTCTTTCCTAGCCTAATATTAAGTATTTTTAGTAACCTCTTTTTATTGATGGGGAAATTTAGACTTAAAGTGACTGAATAACTTGGCCAGATTATCCAATTGAATTAAGTGACTTCTCTTCAATTACAAGGCATTCATGTATCACAGCATTTTGGCTGAAAAATGAAGTAATTTATGTCCTAAAATTTAAATTTTACCATCTAAACCCCAAATTTAATAGCATTAATTGAGGAAGACATTTTCACTTATTTGCATAACCAAAAATCCTACAAAGTTTTCTAACAGATTCTCTGGGAAATGAATTTGCAACCCTTTGCTTTAATTTTGAATGAACATACAGTAGAATGCATGTGTCTTATCAATCTGCATTATTCTTATAATTTTTTAAGCATCCATGTGTATTAAATCTTTTTTCAGGAATGGTCTGATAAGAAAAAAGTAAGAAATAACAATGGGCTTTACAAATTCCTATTTAGTCACAGTGTTCTAAAACTGAGAGTGTATTGTTCACTAGAGTAACTGAAAAGAAAAACAGATATTGTTATAATCTAGCTTGTGTACAGGGAGTTTTAGAAAGTTTTAAACTCTGACTCTTTATTTTTCGCGCATTTTCACATCTCAATCAAGATCGTTGTGCCAATCAAATAAAATTGAGATTGAGAATATCTGCCCTGCTATGTTATAGTGTGATTGGGTAATCACAATGGACATTTTTTTAGTGCTTACTATGTGCAATGTATATATCTTAAATTCATTTGATACTCAAAAAATCCTTTGAGGTAAGTACTATTGTTATTTCCATTTCACAAAGAAGAAAATTGAAGTTCTAAAAGGTTAATTTGAGCTATGTAATTGATGGAGGCAAGATTGAAACCCAGGTAGGCTGGCTCCCCAGCCGAGGTTTCTAACCACTTCACCATAAAATATGATAGTATGTATTTTAAAAGTTAAGTTTTCATCCAATCAGAGGATCAAACGTTAGTTTAAGTCCCTTTCTTTATACCCAAAGGGGTTAAACATCTTTGTGATCAAATATTGCCTCATTGGAACTTGGTAACCACTAAATACGGGTTCCAAAGGCCCTCTGAAAAGTTAAAAGTATTGCACAAATGTTACTATTACTAATTTTATTGACTTGAAATACCATGTTTTTAACAGTCCCTGAATAGATGATATTGATACTCCAAATTCAGGACTGAGTTTAGATTGTCCAAATGGCATTCAGCATGAAGTTCTTTTGGAATGCCTTTCATTATTTCTCCAAATGTTTCCAAAACTGAAAATCTTAGACTCTGTGATGTCAGTCAGAAAGATGATGTTAGAAGAGAAAAAAAGGTTTTATAATTATTTCTACCCAAAACAATAATTCTCTGCCAAATTACCTATCATTCTAGATTGAGGTTATTATGAAGTTTGGCTCTTCCTCAAATCAAATACGTCCTTCAAGAATGAAGACTCACTATTGATGGCATGCAAAGGAATGTAGCAAGTCCCCCAAGACCATTTCCAAACATGAGCTCCAGCAGTGTGCTCAGTGTTAGGATCAAGATGGTACCAGTATACAGCTTGCTTCAGTAAGTACCTTGAAGTATTCATACAGAAGTGTTATCCTTCTGGCATGTTTTCTTAAAAAAGAATTCATAGTACTTACATTGCTCATATATTTTCCCCCAAGTAGCCCCATTCTATGTTAATATTTCAGAGTGGTGCCATCTTCTTGCACAGAACTTCAAACAATTAACAGAGAATGCTATATAGGACTCAGAGTCAGAGCAGCAGGCTGACCTGGTGAACTCTCACGCCACCCCCACTCCCCGACATTTTATATCCTATGCTACAGGACAGCTAATGGTGCTTGTGTTAGAAACAGCCAGGACAAAGGTCAGCAGTGAGGAATGTCTCTAGGACCCTACTTAGCCAGCTCCGTGAGGCTGATGCAGGAGGGCGTGATGATGAGAAAGTAAGACCGCAACTGTTTGAGCCCTGTTATCTGAGCCAATGTAAACATCGAACCACAAATACTTCCCCTTCCTCCTCCAGGATCCAAATGTCAATTGCTTCCAGCTTCAAAGTTCTGAGCCTGTACCACACCTCCCTTTGATTCCAGCTTGCTTGGAAAGAGAACAACATGCCTGACTCCATCTGTGCGGTAAAATTGAGTCTCTTTAGCTAAGTCATTAGGAGATACTGGGTGTGCCCCAAACCTGGATCCCAAAAATTTAATTCACCCTAGAGAAAATTCTGGCCCTCTATCAAACGACCACACAAACAACAGGTCAAACTCTGAAAAGGCCATCCTCTAGGTGGGTGGGACCCAGGACAAATCAGCTCCAGTTCTGGAGCCTGAGTAGGAGGGCTGAAGGGGCCACAAAGGATGCCACAGTGCTGAACCTAGGAATCATTCCACCTGGGAACTGGGACAGAGGGACAAAACAGATTACCAGTTCCCCTTCCCAAGCCTCACATTCTTTTGACCAACAATATCAGACAGTATTATACTTGCCATCCCTTTTCATTAGTAAACTTATCCCCAGCCCTTTAGCTTAAAAGCAGTTGAGCTTATGATCCATTATAACTAGTTTGCCAAATATTCAACCCCCTCTGAGTGCTTTCCTACATTGGTGTGGGTGTTCCGAAAAAGTATTTTGGCCTTTTTTTTTTTTTTTTTTTTTTGCCATTTTATGGACTCTCTGTTATCAGTGCTATAATGCTGAAGTCTAGCACTTGAGTTTGTTTTCAGGCTACGGTATCTCTTTTCCTATCCTACTCCAGAAAATGTTGCCCTGTTCCCAGGCCCAGCAGGTGGAAGACAACCATGATCCTCTTTAGGCAGGTGCTAGGTTTGGACAGTTCCTCCTGGTTTTTTAGCAGCTTGCTACATAGTGGTGATGGAGGAGGAGGAAGGAGGTGGGAGGTAGAGGTGGCAGCAGAGCCATTTAAATGAGCAGCGTTGGGCCAACTCTTGATTCTTCCTGGGGGCACCTGCCACGTGGAGACTGAGCTGCTCACCTTGCTCATCTCTCCACCACCCCAGTCCCAGTACAGTCTGTCTCCAACCCTGCCTTTCCTTCTACTATTCTCATTCTCCTTTCCATAACAGGACTTTTTTTTTTTTGGTTCCACTTCCCAGGCCATATTTTCATGATACATAATTTCCCTTGGGTTCATAGGTTGGAATTTGACCTCTGGTTTCATAGGGCTCTGGTTCCTGGCAAGTAAGAGAATGCTGCTTGTGAGAGCAACTTAGTGAGAACTAGCGGCTGCCATGGTCAACGTTTCCCAGCCCCCCTACTGATCTGCATGTTAGCTCCATACACACTCAGTTTTGTTCATTTTCAGAAGTGAGAAACTGACTACAGCCGACTTCTATAGGATTCTTAAGCAAATGGAGAGTAACATGAGAGGAATGGTATAGGTTTTAGAGTCTGATAGGCTGGGCTCCCTGTTCTGTTTTAACCACCAATAGGGTGTATGTCGTTGGGAAAAGCACTACCTCTCAGGGTCTTGATTTCCTCATCTGTAAAATGGGAATCATAACAGTCCTTTCAGGAGCTCTTAAAGAAAGAGCTTTCATGTGAAGAAAGAGTGATGGATATAAGATACTGGACTTGCTAATGTTTTTGCAATGCAATCTTTTGTTTTTTGCCTGTGGGTCCTCCCACATACCACTCATTGCCTACAGCATTCTTCAGCTTGCTCCTATTATACGTGATACTTTAGATAGCGTGGTTGGAGGAAACATCTTTGAGGATGTCATATTTGTGTCAAAACCTTACAGAGAGCCAGGCAAGGGAAAGCTTTACCAAATAGAACAGTGCTTATGTGCAGTTACTATGGCTTTAGTCTTCCAGTCTCCATTCATTTCCAAAGTTACTTAGGTCAGTACCTCCCCAACCCCAACCCTATCACTTCCTTCAGTGAGGTTATCATATACATTTATAACACATTAAGTTCTTTTGTTGTAGCCTATATTCCATCCTGGGATCCCCTGACCTCCTAAGTGATTTTTTAAAAGTTGTATATAAGAAGTTCACTGTTTGCAAAGTTCTATGGATTTTAACAAATGCAAGATGTCATGAATTCACCATGACAGCATCACATAGGTGAGTTTCACTGTCCTAAAGAATCCCCCATGCTTCACCTATTCAACTCTTTCCCTTCCCCAAGCCCTGGCAATCACTGATCTGTTTACCATTGCTATAGTTTTGTCTTCACTACAATCTCTTATAAACAGAATCATACAGTAGTCATCCTTTTCATACTGGCTTCCTTCACTTAGCAGCATGTGATTCTGTAACTGTTTTTAACAGTTCATTATTGAGGGCTAACTAGATGTCAGCTTATGCTCTAGGCAGCTTGACTGTAAATCCGCATTTTCCTGGTGTAGTCTGTGCTTACACCTATTATCCTTGCATCTCACTCATCATGGTATTTTAGCACAAACAAAAGTGTCCCAATTTGGAAAATAAATTATATTGTCATCCTAGTTCTAGGTTATGAGACTATATCCACGAACAAGATGAAGTCTCAGCCATTAGGGAACTTACATTCTAATGGATAGAGATAGAGAGTAAAGAAACAAACGAGAAAGTTCCATGTACTAGTATAAAGGGAAAAAAGAAAATATTAACTGAACTAAATAATCCAGGAGATACTTTAGATAGTGTGGTCGGAGGAAAAGTCTTTGAGGATGTCATGTTTATGTCAAAACCTTGCAGAGAGACAGGCAAGGAATCTCCCAGGCAGAGGGAAAAGAAAATACCAAATATCTAAGGCACAGAAACTTGCCATGTTTTCGAAGAGAAAGAACTAAAGGGAGAATAGAATAAGGTGAGTTTGCTGCAACAAGCCAGGTTAAGAAAATCTAGACCTTTTCTAAATTCACTGGGAAATCACTGAGGGTCTTTAGCTAGGGAATAACATGACACGATTCATATTCTAAAAAGATTAGTTGGCCATGCAAAGAAGACACTGGAGTGAGGCATGCATAAAAGCAGAGAGACCAATGGGAATCAATTGCTGTGGTCCAGACAAGAGGTGATGGTGGCTTAAACTTTCATAGTGGTGATGGGAATGGAGAGACATGGTAGAGTCAACATGTATATTGTAGGTGATCTGATGGATTGGATGTTGGGGTTAAAGAAACAGTGATAAGAGATTTCTAGATTTTTGGCTTAGCAACTGTCTGGTAGGATCATTTACTGAGGTTCAGTGCTGGGGGGAATTGGGAAGGAACCATTGGATGGGTGACAATTCCTGGTTTGTTTCAGACATGTTAAGTTTGAAACGTTTGTTACACATCCATGTGGTGATATCAAACAGGAAATCAGTCCTATGAGTTAGTTTGCAATTTGGAAGAGGGTTTAGAGCTGAAAATTAACTAAGAATCCTCATTATGCATTATTTAAAGCTATGGGACTGGTTAAGGTTTCATAAGGAGAGAGTATTGATAGAAAATAAGACTCAGGAATAAGCCCTGGGAACTCTAATATTTATCGGTCAAAAAGTCAAGGAGCAGCCAGAAAAACAGGAGGAAAAATAGGAGTTGGTTTCATCAAAACTAAGAGGGAAAAGTGTCTTAAGAAAGATGGGCAGTCAACTCTCATGAATGTTGCCAAAAAGTCAAGTACAGTGAGGTCTATTAGGTTTGGCAACATGGAGATCATGAGCATCCTTGACCAGGGCAGCTTTAGTGCAGCCATGGAGATGGAAGACAGATGAAACGTGTTGAAGGTGAACTTGAAGAGGAAGCACAAATGGCTCACAGTTTGTTTAACTGTGATAAATTCCGTGATAGTGTAGACCATCTAGCTTTTAGTTTTTGCTGTAACTCCAGCAATTACTTGCCATTTAAATACCTCCACACTCTCATGAATATTTCCAATGCCTATTGTGTAACCTATTTATAACCAGGACATAAGCTAAAAGCTGCACTGAAACAAAGATAACTATTAGAAAGACCTACGAAGATTGCCTGTTTTAGTCAGGCCACTTTTATGTTTCACTTTTTACAATTATCACCTAGGTGAAAGGAAATTGGCAGTCCCCCAAAATTTCTTCATCTTCTTTATGATCACTAGTGCTTCATTTATGGAAGTTTAGAGAATCATGGGTGTTCCTATTATATTACACTGAAGCATTCCCTGTTTAAGAGGGAAGCTGGCCTTTTAAAACAATAAATTTAGAGCAGTAATTCTGATTTAAAATCCCAAATCATATTAGCAAAACCAAGAAGGAGGAGAGAAGGGGGAATTTACATGTTAAATTACTCATCTAAAGTGGGAGGAGGCAAGGGATAATGTTTTACACTTGATATTAACAATTAAGAAACTACAGAATAAAATGTATTTTTGGGTTGACTTCTGGGCCTCCTAAAAGTTATTGCCAAATGCTTCAGCAAAATAAAGCAGACAGAGCCTTAAGATCCGGAAAGGAATCAAACCACCAGCCAGCCAAAGCTATACCATGCCCAGTTTCACTGCAGAGCCTGAGTCCTAGACCACCAATAAAAAGCATGGTTCTGTGGGGCCTACGGACAGTCATTTCAAAACCATTAACTGGAGAGTAAATTAAATTAAAATAAGGAAAGAGTGAAAGAAAAATATCCACCCATTTAAAATGAGCCTAAAAATATAAGTTCCAAATAAAGCAAGAAATAGGAAAAAAGCCAACAAAATTAACGATCAAAATATGAGTTCACTACAGATAGAAATAAAATAAGAAAACAATCTGAAATAGGCCTCAAAATAAATATGTTTAGGATCTACAAAGAGATAAATGAAGGAATCATATCTACAAATAACAATAAAATTATGAAATAGAAACGTAAAAAGAACAAGTGAGTATTTTTTAAAATTACAACCATTAAGTTGAAAAATATAGTTGATCTAATAAACTCAACAGGATAATAGGACAATAACTTGACTGGGATTAATTAAAGAGAGAATTGGGGAATTTGAAGAAAATACAAAAATGTTTTCTCTATAGTGTACACAGAGAAATAGAGATTTTTTTTTAAAGAAGAGCTGTTAAAAGACGAGTAATATATTGAGAATTTCTAATATCCATTAAGTAGGAGTTCTGGAAAAAGAGAATAAAGGTAAAAATGGAAAGGCAATATTAAAAAAAAAAAAAGCTAAGAATTGCCCAGTATTGAAGAAAGTCCTTTTAAGTATGCATCAATATTGAACGAAATTAAAAAAAAAAAACAGTGAAACTAGAAAGCACAAAATAATTAAAATAAAAATGTCAAAAGTAGACCTTTGGAAGTCTTAAGCCAGAGTAATTAGGCAAAAGAAAAAACTAAAGGGCATCCAAATTGGAACAGAAGAAGTCAAATTGTCCCTATTTGCAGATGACACGATCTTACACATAGAAAACCCTAAGAGTGCCATCAAACTTTTAGAACTGATTTTTAAAAATCAGTAAAGCTGCAGGATACAAAATCAACACATAAAAATCTATAGCGTTTTTTATAGACTATCAATAAACTAGCTGAAAAAGAAGTCAAGAAAGTAACCACAGTTGTAATAGCAACAAAAATAAAATAAAATAAAATACCTAAAAATAAATGTAATCATGGAGGTAAAAGATCTCATCAATGAAAACTATAAAACACTGATGAAATAAAGAGGACAAAAAAAATGAAAAGACCTTCCATGTTCATGAACTGGTAGAATGATATTGTGAAAATGAGCATACTACCAAAAGCAATCTGCATATTCAATGCAATCGCTATCAAAAGATCAACGACATTCTTCACAGGAATAGAAAAACAATCCTAAAATTCATACGGAACCACAAAAGACCTCAAATAGCTAAAGCAATCCTGAGCAAAGAGAACAAAACTGGAGGCATCACACTGTCTGACTGAAAATATACTACAAAATTATAGTAACCCAAACAGCATAGTACTGGCATAAAAACAGTCATGTAGACCAATGGACCAGAATAGAGGACCCAGAAATAAATCCACACAGTTACAGCCTACTGATTTTTGACAAAGATCTTAAGAACATTTACTGGGGAAAAGACAGTCTATTCAATGAATGGTGATGGGGAAACTGCTTATCTGATATGGTTTGGCTGTGTCCCCACCTATGTCTCATCTTGAACTGTAGTTCCCATCATTCCCAAAGGTTGTGGGAGGGACCTAATGGGAGGTAACTGAATCATGGGGGCGGTTACTTCATGCCATTCTCATGATACTGAGTGAGTTCTCATGAGATCTGATGGCTTTATAAGGGGCTTTGCCCCTTTGCTCTGTACTTCTCCTTGCTGTCACCATGTGATGAAGGATGTCTTTGCTTTACCTTCCACCATGACTGTAAGTTTCCTGACGCCTAACCAGCCATGCTGAACTGAGAGTCAATTAAACCTCTTTCATTTATAAATTATCCTGTCTTGGATGTGTCTTTATTAGCAGCATGAGAACAGACTAATACAATATCCATACACGGAAGAATGAAACTAAACCCTATCTCTCGCTATATATAAAAAAAAGTAAAATGAATTAGACTTAAATATAAGATCCCAAACTATGAAACTGTTAGAAGAAATCATAGCAGAAATGCTTCAGGACATTGGAACAGGCAAAGATTTTATGGATAGGCCTGCAAAAGCACCTGCAACAAAAGCAAAAATAGACAAATGGGATTATATCAAACTAAAAGGCTCCTCCATGGCAAATGAAGCAATCAACAGAGTGAAGAGACAACCTAAAGAATGGGAGAAAATATGTGCAAACCATTCATCCAACAAGGAATTAGTATCCAGAATATACAGGGAACTTAACAGCAAAAAATAATCATAATAATCTGATTTTAAAATGGGCAAATGAACTAAATACACATCTCTCAGAAAAAAAAAATATACAACTGGCCAACCAGTACATGAAAAAATGCTCAACATCACTAATCATCAGGGAAATGCAAATCAAAACCACAAGATATCATTTCACCCATTAGAAAGGCTATTATCAAAAAGACAAAAAAAGGCTAGCAAAGATATGGAGAAAGGGGAATTCTTATACACTGTTAATAGGGATGCAAATTAGTACAGGCATGGTGGAAAGCAGTATTGTGGTCCCTCAAAAAACTAAAAATAGAACTACCTTATGATCTAGCTATACCCAAGGAAGGGAAATCAGTATGTTGAAGAGATTATCCACACCTCCATGTTTATTGCAGCACTATATGCAATAACCAAGATATGGAACCAAACTAAGTGCCCATTAAGAAATAAATGGATAAAGAAAATGTGGCCTATATACACAATGGAATACTATTCAGCCATAAAGAGAATGAAATCCTGGTATTTACAGCAACATGGATGAGCTTGGAGAACATTATGTTCAGTGAAATAAGCCAGGGACAGAAAAATAAATACTGCTTGTTCTTACCCTTATGTGGAAGCTAAAACAGCTGATCTCATAGAAGCACAAAGTAGAAATATGGTTACTAGAGGGAAGGAGAAAATAGGGAGAAGTTGGTTAATGGATGCACAACTACAGCTAGATAGGAGGTACAAGTTCTAGTGTTCTGCAGCACTGTAGGGTGACTATAAACAACAACTTATTGTATATTTTCAGATAGCTAGATGATTTTGAATATTCCCAAAGAAGTGAAAAATGTTTGAGATGATGGATATGCTAATTACTCTGATTTGATCACTACACATTGTATACATGTATCAAGATGTACCCCATAAATATGCACAATTATGTGTCAATTAAAAATAATAAAAGAAAAAAGTTAAAAATAAAAGAGGAAGAGCTGATGATCAAAACTTGTCCCTCAAACGGCAAATCCCTAAGCTGGGATTTACCAACATAGACTGAAAATAAAAATGAGGCTTGTCTTAATCCATTCGGGTTGCTACAACAAAATACCATAAACTGGGTAGCTTATAAACAACAGAAGTTTATTTCTTCCAGTTCTTCAGGCTGGGAAACCTGGTGAGATCCTGATTTCTGGTTCATAGATGGAGCCCTCTTGCTGGGTCCTCCACGGTGGAAAAGGCTCACTAGCTCTCTGGGGCCTCTTTTACAAGAGCACCAATCTGAATCATGCTGTCTCTGTTCTCATTAATCGCCTTTCAAAGGCCCCACCTCCTAATACCATCACCATGTGGGTTAGGCTTTCAGCATATTAATCTGGGGGCGACACAAACACTTAGATCATATATCTGATAGCCTGCACGTATGGACAGACACAGAAAAAGGTTCAATTTTTTTCTGTAGGGTATTTAAATGATGCCTATTTTGTGAATGACATGCAATGTGAAACTGTAGGAAATAAAATGGAAGTAGAGGACATAGGCCCCATCCTTAAAGTGTTTACAGTCTAGTTGGGGGAGAAAGACATTCATCCAATGAACAGCTAGAGACACAAACACCTATCTGATCACAGAGAACTACCTGACTGCATTCAACAGGTATATCATCTTTACCTTTCCAAAACACTTACATAAATAATCTTTTCTCACGACAGTTCTGTCAAGTGAGAAGACTAGATAATGTCCTCATTTCTTAAGTGGGGAAAGTTGGATGGCTGGTCTATGTTATTCAGCAGGTTAATGAAGAGTCATAGTTGCAACCAGCTATTCTGAGTCCTAGATGCATTGAGGTAAAACATCAACCCAGAGACCCCAGAGGATGAATCTTCCAGCAGCTTCTCTTCTGTTCCTTAGCAAGGGCTCCCCAGAACTCATTTTTAAAACAATATGGATTTTTGCTTCTGGTTATGCTTAAGTAGTTTGCAGCAGACCACTCTCTAGCCCAAAACAACTGGAAAAGCTAAATAAAACAAAGCAAGATAAAAGAATTAGTTTCAAGGCATTGGAGAGCTGACAAAACAACCAAAACTGGGGAGAGGAGAATATTCTAAAAAGGAGGACAGCTCAGAGATTTCAACCAATAAATTGCATTTGTTTTTGTTTTTCCTGGGGTCATTACTGATTCTGAGCATAGGGAAAGAGGCTGATAATCTGGAATTTGCCTCCCAGAGGGAAGGCTGCTGCTGGGGGACAGAAAAACCAACAGAGACATTTGCGTGGGGAGAGGGGCTGGTGAGATGACTGAGAAAGAGTGGGCAAGAATACCGAGCTGGACACAGAGCCAATATATAGAGCTCAGTACATTGGCTGAAAATCTAAAGCTGTGACTCAGAAGGTTAAAAAATTAAGCTGGAAGCCTACAGAAGAAAACAAAACAACACAAAAAACAGGGAAAAGTTGTCCGGAGTCATACCATGCTACAACACAAGGATTAGAGTTTAGGATCTATCTAGGAGCCAAGTAAACCAGACACAGACTTCACCATACCAAAATCGCAACTGGCCTTGAATCAGTTTGTTTCCTAATGTGATTAGTTGATCAGTTCCCACTCTGTCTAGCAGAGGAAAGACGAACTCTTTCAGGATGAAGTTAACATTACATGGAACCTCTACTGTGTGTGTATGTGTATATGTGTACCCATACAGTCTAGTATTCTATTTAAAAAGTTACTGGGTATGCCAAGAAACAGGATGACTAGTAATAAGAGAAAAAATAGATAATAGAAACATACCTACAGGGGATACAGACGTTAGTGTTAGTACACAAGGATCTTAAATATGATTATGATGCTAAAGACAATAAAGAAAAGGTAGAGAAAATAGAAGATTAAATGTTTCACCAAAGAGTTGGACTCAATTACAGATTTTTTGAAAAGTAGACCTTTAAAACTTTTAGAAAAAAAAGTATAGGTAAATGTCTTTCTGGCCTTGTAGTAGGGAAAAATTTCTTAATACACTAAAAGCACTAACCTCAAAAAGAAAATGTTGACAGATTCAACTGCATTAAGAGTTTTTAAACTTCTGCTCAAAAAGACACTTTAAAAAAGTAAATAATCAAAATATGCATATAATGAAGAAACTGTCCAAATTGAAAATATATTCTTAAATTTCTATACAATAATAAGAAACAATCTAGTTATGGAAAAAAGATTTTCTGAATTATATACCATATGGCTAATAAAGTGAAGATATGTCCAACTGCACTAGTAATCAGGGAAATTCAAATCAAACGGAGATGTCATTTTTTTGCTAATTTGATTTATAAAAATTGAAGACTTTTTTTAGGTCTGGCTATCAGTGGGCACTCCATCCCTGCATTTTATTTTTATTTTTATTTATTATTTTTCCATAAGTTACTGAGGTACAGGTGGTATTTGGTTACATGAGTAAGTTCTTTAGAGGTGATTTGTGAGATTTTAGTGCACCCATGAACTGAGCAGTATACACTGCACCATATTTGTAGTCTTTTATCCCTCACCACCCCCCCAACTTTTCCCCCCAAGTGTCCAAAGTCCTTTGTATCATTCTTATGCCTTTGCATCCTCATAGCTTAGCTCCCACATATCACTGAGAACATACGATGTTTGGTTTTCCATTCCTGAGTTACTTCACTTAAAATAATAGTCTCCAATCTCATCCAGGTCACTGCAAATGCTGTTAATTCATTCTTTTTTATGGCTGCATAGTATTCCATCGTGTGTGTGTGTGTGTGTGTGTGTATCAATCACAGTTTATCCACTTGTTGATTGATGGGCATTTGGGTTAGTTCCACAATTTTGCTATTGTGAATTGTGCCACTTTAAACATGCATGTGCAAGTATATTTTTTGAATAATGATTTATTCATCTCTGGGTAGATACCCAGTAGTGGGATTGCTGGATCAAATGGTAGTTCTACTTTTAGTTCTTTAAAGAATCTCCACTGGTGGCTGTACATTCCCACCAGCAGTGTAGAAGTGTTCCCTGTTCACCACATCCACACCAATATTGACTGTTTTTTGATTTTTTGATTATGGCCATTCTTGCAGGAATAAGGTGGTATCACATTGTGGTTTTGATTTGCATTTCCCTGATCACTAGTGATGTTGAGCATTTTTTCATATATTTGTTGGCCATTTGTATATATTCTTTTGAGAACTGTCTATTCATGTCCTTAGCCCACTTTTTGATGGGATTGTTTGGCTTTTTTCTTACTGATTTGTTAGAGATAGTTGTAGATTCTGGATATTAGTCCTTTGTCCGATGTATAGATTGTGAAGATTTTCTCCCACTCTGTGGGTTGTCTGTTTACTCTGCTGACTGTTCCTTTTGCTGTGCAAAAGCTCTTTAGTTTAATTAGGCCCCAGCTATTTATCTTTGTTTTTAATGCACTTGCTTTTGGGTTCCTGGTCATGAAATCCTTGCCTAAGCCAATGTCTAGAAGGGTTTTTCCAGTGTTATCTTCTAGAATTTTTATGGTTTCAGGTCTTAGGTTTAAGTCCTTAATCATGCGTTGATTTTTATACAAAGTGGGAGATGAGGATCCAGTTTAAGTCTCCTACATGTTGCTAGGCAATTATCCCAGCACCATTTGTTGAAACGGATATCCTTTCCCCACTTTATGTTTTTGTTTGCTTAGTCAAAGATCAGTTGGCTGTAAGTATTTGGGTTTATTTCTGGGTTCTCTATTCTGTTCCATTGGTCTATGTGCCTATTTTTATACTAGTGCCATACTGTTTTGATGACTATAGCCTTATAGTATAGCTTGAAATCAGGTAGTGTGATGCCTCCAGATTTATTCTTTTTGCTTAGTCTTACTTTGGCTATGCAGGTCTTTCTGGTTCCATATGATTTTTAAAATTATTTTTTCTAATTCTGTGAAGAGTGATGGTGGTATTTTAATGGAGACTGCACTGAATTTGTAGATGTTTTTGGCAGTATGGTCATTTTCACAATATTGTTTCTACCCATCCATGAGCATGAGATGTATTTCCATTATGTCATGTCATCCATGATTTCTTTCAGCAGTGTCTTGTAGTTTTCCTTGTAGAGGTCTTTCAACTCCTTGGTTAGATATATTCCTAAGTTTTTTTTTTTCAGCTTGTGAAAGGGGTTGAGTTCTTGAATTGATTCTCCACTTGATCGCTGTTGGTGTATAGAAGAGCTACCAATTTGTGTACATTAATCTTGTATCTGGAAACTTTGCTAAATTATTTTCCAGTTCTAGGAGCTTTCTGGAGGAGTCCTTAGGGTTTTCAAAATAAATGAACATATTAGCAAACAAACGAACATATGAGCAAACAGTGACAGTTTGACTTCTTCTTTCCCAATTTGGATGCCCTTTATTTCTTTCTCTTGTCTGATTACTCTGACTATGACTTCCAGTACTATGTTGAAGAGGAGTGGTGAGAGTAGGCATCCTTGTCTTGTTCCAGTTCTCAGAAGGAATGTTTTCAACTTTTCCCCACTAAGTATTATGTTGGCTGTGGGTTTGTCATCGATGGTTTTTATTACGTTACGTCCCTTGTATGCTGAATTTGCTGAGAGTTTTAATCATAAAGAGATGCTGGATTTTGTTGAAACTTTTTTCTGCACCTATTGAGATCATCATATGATTTTTCTTTTTAATTCTGTTGATGTGGTATATCACATTTATTGGCTACGTATGTTAAACCATACCTGCATCCCTGGTATGAAACCCACTTGATCATAGTGGATTATCTTTTTGACATGTTGTTGGATTCGGTTAGCTAATATTTTGTTAAGGATTTTAGCATCAATGTTCATCAAGGATATCAGTCTTTAGTTT
Organism: Homo sapiens; assembly: GCF_000001405.40. Classification (NCBI taxonomy): domain Eukaryota; kingdom Metazoa; phylum Chordata; class Mammalia; order Primates; family Hominidae; genus Homo; species Homo sapiens. The sequence goes on along the minus strand of NC_000008.11, from coordinate 25,772,735 downwards.
TTCTTTTGGTTATGTCCTTTCCTGGTTTTGGTAATCAGGTCATGCTGACTTCATAAAATAGATTAGGGAGGGTTCCTTCTTGCTCTATCTTGTGGAATAGTGTCAAAAGGATTTGTACCGATTCATCTTTGAACGTCTGGTAGAATTCTGCTGTGAATCTGCCTGATCTTGGACTTTTTGTTGGTAATTTTTAAATTGCCATTTCAATCTCCCTGCCTGTTATTGGTCTGTTCAGGGTATCTAATTCTTTCTGATTTAAGCTAGGATGGTTGTATTTTTCCAGGAATTTATCCATCTCTTCTAGGTTTTCTAGTTTATGTGGATAAAGGTGTTCATAGTAGCCTTGAATGGTATTTTGTATTTCAGTGGTGTCAGTTGTAATATATCCTGTTTCGTTTCTTAGTGAGGTTATTTGGATTTTCTCTTTTCTTTTCTTGGTTAACCTTGCTAATGGTCTATCAATTTTATTTATCTTTTCAAAGAACCAGCTTTTTGTTTCATTTATCTTTTGTATTTTTTGTTTCAATTTCATTTAGTTCTGCTCTGATCTTGGTAATTTCCTTTCTTCTGCTGGATTTGGGTTTGCTTTGTTCCTGTGTTTCTCTAGTTCCTTAAGGTGTGACCTTAGAATACCAGTTTGTACTCTTTATCTTTTTGATGTAGGTGCTTAGGGCTATGAACTTTCCTCTTAACATTGCCTTTGCTGTATCCAGAGGTTTTGAAAGGTTGTGTCATTATTGTATTCAGTTCAAAGAACTTTTAAATTTCCATCTTGATTTCATTTTTGACCCAATGCTCATTCAAGAGTAGGTTATTTAATTACCATGTATTTGCATGGTTCTGAAGGTTTCTTTTGGAGTTGATTTCCAGTTTTATTCCACTGTGGTCAAAGATAGTGCTTGATATAATTGCAATTTTCTTAAATTTATTGAGGCACGTTTTATGGCCTATCATATGGTCTATCTTGGAGAAATTTCCATGCACTGTTGAATAGAATGTGTATTATGCTGTTGTTGGATTAAATGTTCTGTATATATCTGTTAAGTCCATTTGTTCCAAAGTATAGTTTACATCCATTGTTTCTTTGTTGACTTTCTGTCTTGATGATCTGTCTAGTGCTGTCAGTGGAGTATTGAAGTCCCCCACTATTACTGTGTTGCTGTCTATCTCCTTTCTTAGGTCTATTAGTAATTGTTTTATAAATTTGGGAACTCCAGTGTCCGGTGCATATATGTTTAGGATTGTGATATTTTCCTGTTGGACAAGGCCTTTTATCATTATATAATGTCCCTCTTTGTCTTTTAACTGCTGTTATTTTAAAATTCATTTTATCTGATATAAGAATAGCTACCCCTGCTTGCTTTTAGTGCATTTGCATGAAATGCCTTTTTCCACCCCTTTAAGTATATGAATCCTTATGTGTTAAGTGAGTCTCCTGAAGGCAGCAGAGGGTAGGTGAGTACTGATCCATTCTGTGATTCTGTATCTTTTAAGTGGAGCATTCAGGCTATTTACATTCAATATTAGTATTGAAATGTGAGATACCATTGCATTCATCGTGCTCTTTGTTTCCTGTGTACTTTGGTTTTTTTGTTTTTGCTTTTTAACATGTATTTTTGTTTTATAGGTCTTGTGTGATTTATGCTTTAAAGAAGTTCTGTTTTGATGTGTTTCCAAGTTTTGTTTCAAGATTTAAAGCTCCTTTTTACCAGTTCTTATAGTGGTGGCTTGGTAATGGCGAATTCTCTCAGCATTTGTTTGTCTGAAAACGACTGTATCTTTCCTTCATATATGATGCTCAGTTTCACTGGATACAGAATTCTTGGCTGATAATTGTTTTGTTTGAGGAAGCTGAAGATAAGGCTCCAATCCTTTCTAGCTTGTAGGGTTTCTGCTGAGAAATCTGCTGTTAATCTGCTAGGCTTTCCTTTATAAGTTACCTGATGCTTCTGTCACAGAGCTCTTAAGATTCTTTCCTTTGTCTTAACTTTGGATAACCTGATGACAACGTGCCTAGGCAAAGATCTTTTTGTGATGAATTTTCCAGGTGTTCTTTGTGCTTCTTGTATTTGGATGTCTAGGTCTCTAGCAAGGCCAGGGAAGTTTTCCTTGATTATTCCCCTGAACATGTTTTCTAAGCTTTGAGAATTCTCTTCTTCCTCAGGAATGCTGATAATTCTGAAGTTTGGTCATTTCACATAATCCCAGAATTCCTGGAGGCTTTGTTCATATTTTCTTATTCTTTTTTGTCTTTGCTGGACTGGGTTAATTCAAAGACCTTGTCTTTGAGCTCTGAATTTCTTTCTTCTACTTGTTCCATTATATTGCTGAGACGTTCCAGAGCATTTTGCACTTCTAAAAGTATATCCAAAGTTTCCTGAATTTTTGATTGTTTAAGCTATCTATTTCCTTGAATATTTCTCCCTTCACTTCTTGTATCATTTTTTGGATTTCCTTGCATTAGGCTTCACCTTTCTCTGGTCCCTCCCTGATTAGCTTAGTAACTAACCTTCTGAATTCTTTTTCGGGTAAATCAGGGATTTCTTCTTGGTTTGGATCCATTGCTAGGGAAAGAGTGATTTTGTGGGGGTGTTGAAGAGCCTTGTTTTGTTATTATTACCAGGGTTGGTTTTGTGTTTCCCTCTCATTTGGGTAGGCTCTGTCAGAAGGAAGGTCTAGGGCTGAAGGCTGTTGTTCAGATTCTTTTGACCCACAGGGTGTTCTCTTGATGTAGTACTCTTCCTCTTTTTCTATGGATGTGGCTTCCTGTGAGCTGAACTACTATGATTGTTGTCTCTCTTCTGAGTCTAGCCACCCAGCGAGTCTATCTGGCTACCAGCTAGTACTGGGGGTTGTCTCTACAGAGTCCTGTAATGTGAGCTGTTCTCTCAGCCGTGGATACCAGCACCTGTTCTGGTAGAGGTGGCGGGGGTGTGCAATGGATTCCATGAGGGTTCTTAGCTTTGGTGGTTTAATGTTCTATTTTTGTGCTGGTTGGCCCCCTGCCAGGAGGTGGCACTTTCCAGAAAGCATCAGCTGTAGTAGTATAGAGAGGGACTGGCAGTGGGCAGGGCTCTAGAGCCCCCCAGATTATATGTCCTTTGTCTTCTGCTACCAGGGTGGATAGGGAAAGGACCATCAGGTAGGGATGGGGCTAGGTGTGTCTGAGCTCAGACTCTCCTTGGGCGGGTCTTGCTGCAGCTGCTGTGAGGGATGAGGGTGAGAGTCCCAGGTCACTGGAGTTGTGTTCCTAGGAGGATTATGGCTGCCTCTGCTGAGTCATGCATGTTGTCAGGGAAGCAAGGGAAAGCCGGCAGTCACAAGTCTCACCCAGCTCCCACACAAACCAAAAGGCCAGTCTCACTCCCACCGTGCCCCCACCAAGAGCCCAAGTCCGTTTCCAGGTGCAGAGCATGACAGGCTTGAAAACTTGCCCCAGGCTACCTGCCTCTCCAGCTGAGAAAGAAAAGGGCTTGGTTCTTTCCCCACCTGTGGAGTCTGCACACCGGATTTGTGCCCTCACCCAGGTTCTGGCCAGGGGCCTTCTCACCCCGTTCAAATTCTTACAAAGTTCGGCTACAGAATTCCTTCTCCTGGTGGAGTTTCACCCCCTGCTCCTCTCATCATCCTCCCTATGGATCCCTGTGGTGCCAGCAGGAATGGCCTGCTAGGGGACACAGTGAGCTCCCAGGGCCTTTCTGATGCTTCGTCAACACCTGTATTTTGTTCAGTTCTCTAAATTGACTCAGCTCCAGGTAGTCAGAAACTTCTCCTGCAAATGGACATTTAGCTTCTCCTGTGGGTGTGTGTGTTGGGGAGAGGAGGGTCTCCCTTTTCCACCTCCACAGTTGGGGCTCTCACAGTATTCGGGGTGTCTCCTGGGTCCCGCAGGAGCAGTCTGTTTCCTTCGGACGGTCTGTGGGTCCTCTCGGGTTTGCTGGTTTGTACTTGCCAGTTGATCTGGAGCTAAAATTCACAATGCGAGCTTCCGCAAGCTGCTGTGTCTGGAGCTGCAATCTAGCCCTGACTCCCATTGGCCATGACGATCAAATTGAAGACATTTTTTGCCAAACATACTGTTTTGGCAAAAATATGTGTCAGTAGGATCCCCATGTGTAACTGCTGAGAGTGCAAACTGATAGTCATTTTATAAAACAATACAGCATTATCGTATAAAACAAAGTTCTTATACCCCACAACTCAGTAATTCTACTCCCAGACACATATCCAAGAAAAACTTTAGTATGTGTGTCTCAAGAGATAAGTACAAAAATGTCATAGCAGCACTATTCATAATATCAAAAAACTAGAAATAGCCTAAATGTCAGGGGGAAAAAAATTGACAGGGAAAAGTTAAATGGGTATATTCTCACAATGGAATATTTCAGAGAAATGAAAATGAAAAATTAAAACTACATAAATGACCTGGATGAATCTTAAAATGTCACATGAAAAAGAAAATCACAGAGAATTACATATAGTAAGATACTCCTTTTATATAGTTCAAAATCAAGCAAGACTGATTCATGTATTATAGAGACATACATATGTATATGCAATAAAATACTTTTTAAAGCAGGAGAATGCTAAACAAGATTCAAGTTAGAGATGATTCCTCAGAAGCAGGGAGACACGCAAATGCGATTAGAAAGGAGTCCAGAAAAGAATGCATGTTTTTGGTAATAATTTAGTTAAGTTCTTAAATCTTCATTGGATATTATATATTAAGGGCCATGTCTCTATCTGTATAGATCTAGATATCTGTCAACATATATCTATCCAGATATATATAGTATTTTATATATATAGTATTCATGAACCATGAATTATAATATATACATCACATATATTATGAATATATAATGACCAAAAAATCCTAAGTGAAGTTTAACAACGTATAAAGAGGCATAACCATATATGTAATAGAGTTTTTTCTTTAATCATGAGAACATTAGGAACAACCTTAAGCCAATAAATTTTGAAGCTTAAATGAAATGGGTAATTTTCTAGAAAAACCTAAATTCTAAAAATTATCTCAAGAAGAGAATTTAAGGAGTTTCACCCCTTAAATATGTCTATATCCTTTAAATGCCTGAGCATAGTGGCTCACGCCTGTAATCCCAACACTTTGGGAGGCCAAGGCGGGTGGATCACTTGAGGTCAGGAGTTTGAGATAAGCCTGGCCAACATGGCGAAACCCCATCTCTACTAAAAATACAAAAATTAGCTGGGTGTGGTGGTGGGTGCCTGTAGTCCCAGCTACTCGGGAGGCTGAAGCAGGAGAATCGCTTGAACCTGGGAGGTGGAGGTTGCAGTGAGCCGAGATTGCACCACTGCACTCCATCCTGGGCAACAGAGTGACACTCTCTCAAAACAAAAAATCCTTTACAATAATTTAACTGATAATAAAATATTTCTTTACCCTCACAAAAACATTACCATTCTAAGTGGTTTCACAGCTTAGTTTTTTTAGACGTTCAAGAAATATTCTCTTATGTAAACAGGTTTAGTCGGTGGGGAGAAGTTATACAACTCACTCTATAGGTTTGATATAAAATTGTCCCACACTGAACAAAAATAAGATCATATAACTCAAACTCATTTATAAGCATATGTACAAAAATTTTAAGCTATTAGCCAATAAAATTCAATATATATTCCAAGAATGCAAGGATGTTTCAGCATCAGAAAATCTATTTATATATTCCTACCATATTAACAAATTATAGAAGGAAAACCATATAATCATCACAATAAATGCAGAAAAGAGATTTGACAAAATTCAACAGCATTCATAATTTAAAGAAAAAGAAATTCCCAGTAAACCAAGAATAGAAGGAAATTTCTTTAAGAACTGTATCCAAAACCAAAAGCAAATATTATTCTAATTAAAGCCAAGAACAGCACAATGATTCTCAATATCAAATCTACTATTAATATTGCACTAGATATTCTAATTACAAGAAAATTTTAAGAATTGTAAAGGAAGATACATCACTCACATTATCTGTAGAAAATACAGTTTTCTACATTGAATATCAAATCTGCAGGCAAACTAATAAAGATTCATCAAGAACACTGGATAAGAGATCAACATATAAAATTCATAACAAGCAGAGTACAATGGCTTAATCTCAGCTACTCAGGAAGCTGAGTTGAGAGGATCCCTTGAGTCCAGGGGTTTGAGGCTATAGCGAGCAGTGAGCTATGATGAGGTCACTGCACTCTAGCCTGGGCAACAGAGCAAGAACCCTCATCTCTAAAATTAAAATAATAAAAAATAAAATTCATAACAGACAGGATAGCAGCACTAACAAATGTTGTTGGCCTCCTCTTATGAATACATGTCCCATAGAAGCTAGGGAGAAATTAGTGAATCAGAGTGGTTAAACAAACAAATAAAATGCTAGCAACTCCAGAGCAACAGTGTGCGATTGGGGTCCTGGTGAGGCTGTGAGTCAGCATGAACCGGCATGACAAGTATAAAAGTCAACATGAAAAGCGGGCTGCATAGCACAGGTAGGACGAGGGAAAGTTTGTGTGTTTTTTGTTTTTTTGAGACAGGGTCTCACCTGTTGCCCAGACTGGAGTGCAGTGGTGCAATGACAGCTCATTGCAGCCTCAATGTCCCGAGCTCAAGTGATCCTACCCCCTCAGCCTCCTGATTAGCTGGGACCATAGGCAAATGCCACCACACGTGCTAATTTTTTGTAATTGAGACGAGGTTTCACCATGTTGCCCAGACTGGATGGAAATTTTTTTTTAATGTGCCTTTTATCTCTCCAGGGCTAGTGTCTTCATTGCTGCAGGCAGAACCTCATATGTAACATCAAATACAGCAGCAGTGTGGAGTCCCAGCCCAGCAATAAAGGGAGAGTGAAAAATCAGGGTGGTGCATCAGCCTCTCCAGAAAGGACTGCAGCTAACCACTCAGGATTCCCCCAACACCCAACCACCCACATCTCAGTACCTACAGGATTACAGCTCCTGAAAAGGCACAGCCAGGGCAAAGAGAGAGACAAGCAACAGAGCTAAAGTGTTTCTCCTCTGGAGAGCACACACGCTGGGACCTGATCTCTAACTCCTTTCCTGGGGTTTGCTTCATGAACCAAGAAGATCAAACTTCCCCAGGAGACTGTGAGTTTGCTAGAAACAATCACAAGACATCTTCATGGCAGTTATAAGAAAGAAGGCAACCTGGACAAATGAAACCAACAGAAAGCGTCAGAACAGAGCAAGAATTTAAAATACTTATCATCAGTGAGACAAGAGAGGTTGTTCAAAACATGAAAGAGGAACATAAAAGAGGACACTTTCAACACTGAAGGAGGAAGAAGTCATGAAGAATCATCTGCACGTATTACGCATGAGAAATACAATGGAAATAATTCAGTTAATAGCATGAATGGAGACATAATCATTTTAAGATCATATTAAAGAACTCTTCCTAGAAGGCACCAAGAAAGTATTAACAAAAAATATGCATATATTGAAATGCCAGGGGAAGAAAAAAAGATATATATATATATATATATATATATATAAAAAACACAGTTGAGAAGAAATAACTGGATTTTCCAGATTTCAAAAAATATCACTTTCAGATTAAAAATAAATGCAGAGTAAATATAAAGCTCTCCTGCACTAAATAAAATTATAAAACTTCAGAACATTAAAGCCAAAGAGGTATTTCCAAAAGATTCCAGAAAAAAGCAGTGGCTCACCTACTGAAAAGCAAGAATCACTTTGACATCAGACTAATTACAAGACCAAAGGCAGGCAGCAATAGAGAAATATTTTCAAAATGTTGGAAGAAATTATCTTAAAGCCTAGAATTTTATATCCACAGAAACCACCATTTAGATATAAGCATGTAATAAAGATTTTTTTTTTGGCATAAAATGGTTTGCTACAAATACCTCTTCGGAAATACTCCTAGAGAAAGTATTCCAGTAAGAAAAGTAAGAAGTTGAGGAGAATAGTTATAATATAAACGAAGGATTGACTGTAATAAATTTATCATATATCCATTACAACTCAGAATTAAAATTCTAGATAACAACAACAAAATGAAGAGAGGAATGAGTATAAGGAAAGAGATAAATAAATTATAAACCATTTCACATGCACCTAGATACACACATTTTAAATAAAATATTAGCTAACTAAAGCCAACATATGGATCTTGATCAATAGATTTTATCCTAATTTGTAAGGGTGATTTAACATTAGAAAATCTATCAGTACAATTTACCATATCAAAGGTAGATGCAGAGAAAGCACTTCATAAATTAAATTAAAATACTTATTTATCCAGCCTGAGCAACAAAGCAAGACCCTGTCTCTACAAAATTTTTTTAAATAAACTTAGCCAGGCATGGTGGCATGCACCTGTAGTCCCAGCTACTCAGAAGACTGAGGCAGAAGGATCACTGGAGCGATCCTCACTGAGAATTCACTAAACTGGCCAACTGACATTCCAGCAGGATTTTTTTTTAGGAGCTTAATAATTTATTTTAAATTTTATATGTAAGAATGAAAGGTCGTGAAAAGCTAAATCAACTTTACACTGTGTATATATTGGTGGTTTATCAAGGAGGTGGTATAAATTGATGTAGAAAGAATGGATTGTCTAATTGATGGTGTTGGTAAAACTGGCTCACAGGAGGAAGAAAGCTTACCTTGTACTATTTGCAAAAATCTATACCAAATGGATTAAAAATCAAGATAAGAATGTGAAACTATAAAGCTGGTAAAGATGTTGAAGTAAATCTTACCTAGGGGTGGAGCCGGATACTTTTAAATGAGACTCCACAACCACAAATTTTAAGGTGAAATTTTAGTGAAATTGACTACACCAAAATGAAAGAATTCTGTTCAATGAAGTATACCATGCATGCAGTTAGTTGCTGGATGACAACTAGGAGGAAAAATATATATATATATATCTATATATGTGAGTGTGTGTATCTTATACATGATATATATATGGTATAGGATCATATATATATATATATATGGTATAGGATCTAGATGGTTAAAAGCCAATGAAAGATCAATATTGAGAATTTAAAAAGACTCTCACAAAATCATAAAGAAAAAGATGGCACAACTAAAAGACAAATATTTGTAGGTGATATTCCTAAGAATGTGAGAAGGAAGTGAGCTTCCTAGGTCTTACAAGATAATTCACTAAATTGGCCAGTTATAAAATAAATATGCATTATACTAGCAATACTCTGTTAGAAATATAATGAAATAAGACTCCATTCACGACAGGAACAACAACAAAATGAGATTCCCAGACATAAATATGATGTTTAAAAATTGCTTAATGCATAAGAAAACTTTACGGACTAAAGAAAAGATGGATCAAAATCATGTTTCTGGATGGGTAGATATGATTTTGCAAGTTGTCAGTCAGCAGTTATTTAATGAATGAATCAATGAGATTCTAACAAATCCTAAAAGGACCTTTCTGGAACCTGAGTTAATCATTTTTAAAGTTTATCTAGAAAAATAAATGGAAGAGTCAATAAATCTTCTAAAAAAGAAGAAGGGTGGAATGACATTAGTAAATATTTAGACACATTGAAATTCTACAATAATGAAAAAGTGTCCTTTCAGATAAACAGATAATTGAAACAAAAGACAAAGTCTAGAGTGGAGAATAGTATGTGTGAGAGTTTGATACCAATAAAGGTGATGTTTAAAATCATTCAAAGAAAGGAATTATTCAGTAATAGCACTAGGAGAATTACCTAATTATTTAGGGAAAAAATAAAGTAGTATTAATTCTATCTCACAACATCTCAGTATAAACCATAAGTTGAAACGTTAAAGTATTTGAAATAAAGTAACATGAAAAAGCATATTAATCTTGTATACACGTAAAGGCAGAATTTATCAAAAAAAGAATGTATTTCACAACATTAAATGAAAGAATTCTATATGTAAAAAATCAACAAAAATGAAGTTCACAGGCAGATGAAAACTGGGGAAATATTATTGTAATATATGGCAAAAAGTTAATAACTGCAATAAATAAATAGTTCTTACAAATATAAATACAAAGGAGACAAAAGATATAAGCTGTCAAGTGACAAAAGAAGAAATATAAAGGGTTTATGAGATGGAAGGAAATTTAACAAAGTACTCAGGTAAATGTAAATTAAACAACCGTGAGGTGTAATTTTTATACATACTTTGAGTTCTGGGATACATGTGTATAACGTGCAGGTTTGTTACATAGGTATACACATGCCATGGTGGTTTGCTGCACCTATCAAGCCATCATCTACATTAGGTATTTCTACTAATGCTATCCCTCCCCTAGCCTCCCAACCCTCAACAGGCCCCAGTGTACGATGTTCCCCTCCCTGCATCCAAGTGTTCTCATTGTTCAACTCCCTCTTATGAGTGAGAATATGCGGTGTGTGGTGTTCTGTTCCTGTGTTAGTTTGCTGAGAATGATGGTTTCTAGCTTCATCCATGTCCCTGCAAAGGACATGAACTCATCTTTTTTTATGGCTGCATAGTATTCCATGGTGTATACGTGCCATATTTTCTTTAACCAGTCTATCATTGATGGGCACTTAAGTTGGTTCCAAGTCTTTGTTATTGTGAATAGTGCTGTAATAAACATACGTGTGCATGTGTCTTTATAGCAGCATTATTTATAATCCTTTGGGTATATACCCAGTAATGGGATTGCTGGGTCAAATGGTATTTCTAGTTCAAGATCCCTGAGGAATTGCCACACTGACTTCCACAATGGTTGAACTAGTTTACAGTCCCACCAACAGTGTAAAAGTGTTCCTGGCCGGGCGCGGTGGCTCACGCCTGTAATCCCAGCACTTTGGGAGGCCGAGGCGGGCGGATCACGAGGTCAGGAGATCGAGACCATCCCGGCTAAAAAACGGTGAAACCCCGTCTCTACTAAAAATACAAAAAATTAGCCGTGCGTAGTGGCGGGCGCCTGTAGTCCCAGCTACTTGGGAGGCTGAGGCAGGAGAATGGCGTGAACCCGGAAGGCGGAGCTTGCAGTGAGCCGAGATCCCGCCACTGCACTCCAGCCTGGGCGACAGAGCGAGACTCCGTCTCAAAAAAAAAAAAAAAAAAAAAAAGTGTTCCTATTTCTCCACATCCTCTCCAGCACCTGTTGTTTCCTGACTTTTTAGTGATCACCATTTTAACTGGTGTGAGATGTTATCTCATTGTGGTTTTGATTTGCATTTCTCTAACCACCACTGATGATGAGCTTTTTTTTCATATGTTTGTTGTTCACATAAATGCCTTCTTTTGAGAAGTGTCTGTTCATATCCTTTTGATGGGGTTGTTTTTCTCTTGTAAATTTGTTTAAGTTCCTTGTATATTCTGGATATTAGCCTTCTGTCAGATGGATAGATTGCAAAAATTTTCTCCCATTCTGTAGGTTGCCTGTTCACTCTCATGATAGTTTCTTTTGCTGTGCAGAAGCTCTTTAGTTTAATTAGATCCCAATTGTCAATTTTGGCTTTTGTTGCCATTGCTTTTAATGTTTAGTCATGAAGTCTTTGCCCATGCCTATGTCCTGAATGGTATTGCCCAGGTTTTTTTTCTAGGGTTTGTATGGTTTTAGGTCTTACATTTAAGTCTTTAATCCATCTTGAGTTAATTTTTGTATAAGGTGTAAAGAAGGGATCCAATTTCAGTTTTCGGCATATGGCTAGCCAGTTTTCCCAACACCATTTATTAAATAGGGAATCCTTTCCCCATTGCTTGTTTGTGTCAGGTTTGTCAAAGATTAGATGGTTGTAGATGTGCGGCATTATTTCTAAGGCCTCTGTCCTGTTCCATTGGTCTATATATCTGTTTTGGTACCAGTACCATGCTGTTTTGGTTACTGTGGCCTTGTAGTACAGTTTGAAGTCAGATAGCATGATACCTCCAGATTTATTCTTTTTGCTTAGGAATGTCTTGGCTATATGGACTCCTTTTTGGTTCCATATGAAATTTAAAGTAGTTTTTTCTAATTCTGTGAAGAAAGTCAATGGCAGCAGGATAGGGATCACATTGTATCTATAAATTACTTTGGGCAGTATGGCCATTTTCATGATATTGATTCTTCCTATCCATGAGCATGGAATGTTTTTCCGGTTGTTTGTGTCCTCTATTATTTCCCTGAGGAGTTGTTTGTAGTTCTCCTTGAAGAGGTCCTTCACATCCCTTGTAAGTTGTATTCCTAGGTATTTTATTCTCCTTGTAGCAATTGTGAATGGGAGTTCACTCATGATTTGGCTCTCTGTCTGTTATTGATATATAGAAATGCTTGTGATTTTTGAGGTACAATTTTTTACCTATAAAACTGGTGAAGGGGATATGGGGAAATAGGAAATTTCACATAATATGGATTGGAATGTAAATTGATTAAAAACAAAACAAAACAAAAATCTTTCTGCCAAGCTATATGTGTGAAAAAACCATAACACTGTGCACACTATTTGACTCAGTGATTCCATAACTACAACTTATAAAAATATAATAAGAGGTGCTAAGGCTTTGGGTCCAGGGATGTCTATCAGTTATGTATAATCATGAAATGTTCAAAACAAGCTAAGTGGTCAATAACAAATTGACTGCATGACCTATTGAGAAGCTAGAGCATACAGCAAACATTGAAAGTTACATTCTATGAAGAATTCTTGATTACAGAGAAAATATTCTAAATGTATTAAGAAAACAAAGTTAGAAGATGCTTGTATTTCATACAACATTAAAAAAAAAAACCCTAAAAGTATATATGCCAATATATTAACAAATTTATATTACAGAGGGGACCTTATCAATGATTTTCATTTCATCTTTATGATTCTATACACTTTGCAAATTTTCTACAAGGAACACATTTATTTTGTAATCAGAAATATATAATAAATGTTAGTTTTATAAATTACATTGGAGTGATGGAAACAAATTTATTTTCTGCTTCTACCAATGTATTCACATTTAAATATATTCAAGGCAAATGTAGTATGAGGAAGCATTAATAATTTATATATAGTGAGCCTGGAGAAGAATAAGCATTTCACTTGGCTTCTATTTTCACTCTGTCTAGTCTATTAATTGGCACAAGAACTCTAGCTGGGACCAACAGCTACAAACTCCAAGCCATGGATCAATTAGCTCAAACTTTGATAGTCATACAGGCAAGCTGAATTTTTTTGGCCTCATTTTCTAGTGAACACGTGCTTATTTCAGTGTAGGCACATTCTGCACAGTTATTAAGAAATTGCTGCAGGCAAGTATGTAAAAACAGCCAGGGAACCATTATTCTCAACTACTTCAACTATTCCTTCCTTCATGCCTTCAATTATTCATTCATTTCTATTGTAGTCTTTTATTTTATTATTTATTAAACACTTATTATATGTCACATGATGGGCTAGTTACTTGGAGGGATTGAAAATATAAATGAAACACATTCTGTACCTTAAAGCTCTACTTAAGGCTTAAAAGCTTTAAGTCTTGGAGGAGTAATAAAAACATACACAAATAGCTACACACAAGTAAGAAGGAATGTTATGTGGTCAATACATGTGACAAAATTGATATGTCCTCAGTAATAGGAGTATTTCTGTCTGGTAATTGGAGAAAACTATTCTAATCGTATAAATGCTGTCTGAGTTGAGTCTTAAAGGATGGATAGGAATTTGGTCGATTGGAGAGAGGGTGCTCTCCAGAAGGAAGGTGTTACTCAGTAGGTGGCACTGTCTGATACACACGTGGGTGAGGAGGGCGGGAAGAGCAGATCTGTTAGAAGGGAAGGATCTGAGATTGTGTGAGAAAGTCAGGTGGTAGCCAGAGATGGTGGAAAATCTTAAATTCTAGGGTAGGGAGTTTGATATGGACTTGATCAACAGTGGGAAATCATTGAAGGTTTTTGAAGAAGGAAGACATGTCATGATCAAACTGTACTTTAGGAGTTTACTCTGACATCAGTATGCATTTGAGATCTCAAATTCAACATGCTCAAAATTGCACTTAATTCTTCTCTTATTTTCCTTCTTTGCTTCTATGGCCTCTTATTTCCTTATTCCCTGTCTCAGTTAACAACCATCATCTCTGCAGTTATCCAAATAATAAATTAGGGGTCATCCTTCATACTTACCACCTAACCACTCCTAATATCCAATAAACCCATGAATTCTACATCAAACTATAAGTCGGATACCATGCTTGACACCGTGTGAGACTCTGGAGATACAATGGTATCTGAAGTCCAGAATTTGCCATAAACGAGTTGGGCTTCAAAGGGCAGCTAAAATAGTAGAACTAGAGTTCTGAAATAAGGGCAGGGAGTGAAGCTATAGATTTAAATTTCCATATAGAAATGATAGTTAAAGTCATGGGATTAATATCAGATTACCCAGAAAATGAATATAGAGGGAGAAGAGAAGATGGCCTACAACTATATTCAGTGAGCAAGAGAAAGAAGAACCTCAAAGATATCAGAGAAGAATTGACTGGAGAAACAGAAGAAAATGTAGGTTTGTGTGGTATCAGACCAAGAAAAGAGTTTCAAGAAAAAGGAAGTAAGTAACAATGTGAAATGCTCCCAAAAGTTTAAAGGGAACAAAGAATAAACAGCCCATTAAATATGCAATTAGGAGGACATTGACAGACACTCATTAAGAGAGCAGTTTCTGTAAAGTACAAGCTGCTTTAGAGGAAACAAAATAATGCAAAGAAATAGAAGTACCCTGCATCTGTAAATATTCTTTTTATAAATCAATTTAAGATCAGACGAATATAATTTAAGAGTACTGCTTTAATGAGTTTTGAAAATATATTCACCCACATAGTCATTACCCCAATTAAGATACAGAACACATCATTCACAGAAAGTTCCTGGGGGCTCTTTTGAAGTCAAACTCTCAGAAGTTTTGGGTACCCAGTGATCCAATTTCTATTGCCATAGCTTAAATGTACTAGTCCTAGACCTTCAGGTAAATGGAATGATGTACTTATGTACTCTTTTGTGTCAAGTTTTTTCATGCAACTTAACTTTTTGAGATTAACTCCAGTGAAGAAAGCCTTTTCTTCATTTTTATTACTGAGTAATAACTTATTGTATGGCTATACCATAATACATGGTATTCCAAAAAGATTATTTGAAAATCAATGTTTCAATGTTTCCTATTTCCATTTACCTCTTGATGAACATTTGAGTTTTTTCGAGTCTGGGGCTATTATAAATAAAGCTGCTGTGAAAATTTGTACACAAGATTTTATGCATGTATGTTTTTATTTGTCTTCAGAAAATAGCTAGGCTTAGAATTTCCAAGTCATTAAGTGGATGTGTATATAATTCTTTTCCAAAGTAGATGTATTATATTACAATCCCACAAGGAATATATGAGAGTTCCAGTTGCTCCACATCATCCACAACACTTGGTATTTTCAGCTTTAAGACTTCAATCTAGTGAGTATGAACTGGTATCCCATTTTGCTTTTATTTGCATTTTTCTGATGAGTGGTGGCATGCATCCTTCATGTACTTATTGGTCATTTGTAAATCTTCCCTGAGGTTTCTGTTTAAGTTTTTTGCATATTTGTTTCATTAGGTTGTCTGGTTTATTACTGAATTATGAGAGTGCCTTATATATTCTGGATACAAGTCTTTTGTCAGATATATTACTAAAGATATTTTCTCCTGGTATGTGGTTGCCTTTTCATTTCCTTAACAGTGTTATTTGAAAAGAAGTTATTAATTTTAATAAAGACCAACAAATAACTATTAATATTTTAATAGTTTGCTTTTTGACTCCTGTTTAAGAAATTTTCACCTACCTTAAAGTCACAAAGGCTTTTTCGTATATTTTCTTCTAAAAGTTTTATAATATCTGCTTTTATGTTTAGATATCTAATCAATTTCTTTATATGCACATCCAATTCATCTAGCATCATTTGTTGAAAAGATTGTATTTCTTTGATGAATTATCGTCATATCTTCATTGCAAATAAATTGACTATAAACATGTAGGTGTATTTTTGGACTATTTTGTTTCATTGATATGCTTTTTCTTTATCATTATTTTAATAATATAATTTCTTTAATAATTTAATAATATAATTTCTTGATTACTGTAGCTTATAGTGAGTGTTAAGGTCACATAGCAAAAGCCCTTGATTTTGTTTACAAATTTGTGTTGTATATTCTAACTCCTTTATATCTTCATACAGATTTTAGAATCAGTTTATCAATGGCTACAAAAAAAACCTGCTGGGAGTTTGGTGAGTATTATGCTAAATCTTTAGATAAATTTGGGAACAGGTGATACTTAATGTTGAGTCTTCTAGTCCATGAATATGGTATAATTGATTGAGTCTTTTAAAATTACTCTCAAAAATGTTTTAAAGTATGTATTATATTTTTCATCTCTTATTAATTTTATTCCAAAGTATTTAATGCTTGGAATACTATTTTAAAGGGGAATATTTTAAAATTTTATTTTCCAGTTATGGGTTGCTTATTTATAGGAATGTAACTAAATTTTTATAGATTCCTGTTATCTGTGAATAAAGAGTTTTACTTCTTCTTTTCCACAAAGACAGTTGTATGTCTTATTACACTGGCCAAACTCCAGTACAATGTTGAATAAAAGTGGTAAGATAATGTATTCTGGCCTTTTTTCTGCTGTTAGGGGAAACATATTTAATATATCATCATAAAGTATAATGCTAGCTATAGTTTTTCAATGGATGCTCTTTATCAGATTGAGGAAATTCCATTCTACTACTACTTTGCTGTTAACTTTTTAAAATCATAAATGGGTTTTGAATTTTGTGGAATGCTTTTTAGGTATATGGTAGGCTGCATCTACAGTCGCCTCTGATGGCCTCTGCATATTCACACCCTTTGTGTAACCCTCTCCTTTGTGTATGAGCTGAACCACGTGACTTGCTTCTAAAGAACAGGATATGGCAAACAGGATGAAGATGTCATTTTTGAGATAAGGTAATCAAGGACTGACTTTCCACTTGCTTGCACTCTCTCTCTTGCCCTCATTTGTTCCCTCCAATGAAGCAAGAGGCCATGTTGTGAACTGCCTTAAGGAGAGGTCTCTGTGACAAGGAACTGAGGCTGACCTCCAAACAAGAGTCAGCAAGGAACCAAGGCCCTCAGTTCAACCACCCAAAGAACTAGATCTTTGCAAAAGCCATATGAATGAGCTGAGAAGTGGAACCATCCTCAGTAATGCCAAAAGATGACTGCAGCATCAGTTGGTATCTTGTTTGTGGCCTTGTGAGAGACCGAGCTAGAGGCATCCAGCCAAGCTACGTAATGGATTCACAGGAACTGCGATATAATACATCCTCATTGCTTTGAGCCACTAGGTTTTGGGGTGATTTGTTATGCAGGAATAGAAAACTAATACATGTATCTATTGAGATGATCACACGATTCTTCATTTCAAGATGAATTATATTGATTTCTTTTTTTTTTTTTTTTTGAGATGAAGTCTCACTCTTGTCCCCCAGGCTGGAGTGCAATGGCGCGATCTCAGCTCACTGCTACCTCCGCCTCCCAGGTTCATGCGATTCTCCTGCCTTGGCCTCCTGAGTAGCTGGGATTACAGGTGCCTGCAACCACGCCCAGCTAATTTTTGTATTTTTAGTAGAGATGGGGTTTCACCATATTGGCCAGCCTGGTCTCGAACTCCAGATGTCAGGTGATCTGCCCGCCTCGGCCTCCCAAAGTGCTGGGATTACAGGCGTGAGCCACCGTGCCTGGCCCTGATTTCTTTAAAAAAGTGAACCAACCTTGCACTCCTGTTTATTTGTTTTCTTTTCAATATATTTATGGTTTTTTATTTGCTAACTTTCAAAAAAGATTTGTGTCTATGTTCATGAGGCTGTTGGTCTGTAAGTTTATTTTATTTTAATATCTTTGTGAGGTTTGGTATCAGATTTATGCTAGCCTTGCAAAATGAGTTGGAAGGTATTCCCTCTGGAAAAAGAATTATGTGGCATCGGCAATATTTCTTCTCAAATATTCGACTGAATTCATCCATGAAACCATATTGGCCTGCAGTTTTCTTTGTGGGAAGATGCTTAAGTACAAATTCATCTTCTTTCATAGATACAAGGCTTTTCAGAGTTTCTAATTATCCTTGTGTTAGTTTTGTAATGTGTCTCTTTTAAGAAATTTACCAATTTTATCTACATTGTCAAAGTTGTTGACATATGACAAAAGTTACTGGTCACAATATGCCCTTATTATCCTTTTAATGTCTATTCAATCTGTAGTGATATTATTCTCTTCACTCCTGATAAAGCAAATTTAAATTTTCTCTATTTGCTTATTAGCTTTGCTAGGTGGTTATCAATTTCATTAATCTTTTCAAAGAAATATCTTTTTAGTGCTGTCAATTTTCTGTTGTTTTCTATTTCATTAATTTCTAATCTTATATTTATTATTTACTTCCTTATACTTTGCATTTAATTTGGTCTTGTTTCTAGCTTATGGTGGAATTTTAGATCATTGATTTTAAATCTTTTTTTATATAAGCATTAAGTCTATAAATTATCCTCTGAGCACTCAGTTACACCCAACTTAATTTTAGAACATGTCTTTTTTCATTCAATTTGAAATATTCAATTTGAATATCCTTCTTAGATTCATAAGTTATTGATATGTGGATTATTTATTTTACAAATACTTGGCAATTTTCTAGGTATCTTATTGTGAATTTCTCACTGAATTTTACTATGGTTAAACACTTCAGTCTTTTGAAATTATGGTCTCTCTTGCCAAATGTTTCAAATGCACATGGTAGCATTGGGATATTATGTAAATATCAATTAGGTCAAGTTGGTTGATTGTATTATTTATATCTTCTGTATTCTTACTCATTGCTTATCCAGTAATTCTATAAATTCCTAAGACTGCTAAAAATCTCTAACTATAATCGTAGATTTGTTTTTAGTTCTGTCAGTTTTTACTTTATGTATTTTGAAGTTTTATTTTTAGCAGCATATACACTTAGAATTCTTACTTCTGAATTGACGCTTTTATCTTAACATAATATGTTGATATTCATATATCCATACCAACTTCCCCTTGCTTACTGTTCAAATGGCACGTATTTCTCATCCTTTTACTCTTAGCTAATCTGTATCCTACTATTTACTCTCATGTAGACAACATATGAGTTTTGCTTTTACAAACAGGCTGATCATTTCTGCCATTCCATTGGAGTTCTAAGCCCATATACAACTAAGGAAATTGTCAATATGGGTTGGGTTTATGTTACCACTTTGATGTTTGTTTACTCTTTGTGCCATTTGCTTTTGTTTCTCTGCTCTTCTCTTCCTGCTTTCTTTTGGGTTATATTTTATGTTCTTTTATTCTATTGGCTCTTTAGCTATAAGTGTGTATGTGTGTGTGTGTGCGCGCACGCATGTGAGAAAGAGAGAACTTTAGAGATTGAAATACTTACTCTGAAGTCTGCAGAGACTTTTGTAAGTTCTCTCCTCTCCAGCATCCTACCCTGAAATTTCCAGGTCTTGCAGCAGACCCTAACACTGATCTCATCCTCCCCAGCTCAGCAGGATTGCTATACTCTATGTGGGCTCCACTTCCTTGTGCCCTGTTTAGCAAATTGCCCTAGGTAGAAAAACAGTATGAAAGTGCGGTTCCTCTTCTGCGCTTTTCCTTTCTCAAGGGTCACAGCTCTGTGCTGCTTCTTGTCTAATGACTGAAAAGAGTTGCCTATTTCTTTTTCAGTTTATCATTATTTATGACAGGAGGACATGTCTAATACTCTGTACCTTATAATCCAAGCTGGTAGTGTTTCTTCTAATACAACCCTTTAAAAAATGTGGCTTTCCTATGAATTTGATTGGGAATCATTAAATGCCCCCCGCCAAAGATACATCCGTAATTCTTTTTGAGAAAGGCCTTTCTCTATTTGTGACCTTGCATGGAGCTGCTTTAGAATATGACCCTGTGGTTCCTAGAAGTCCTTTGTGAAGAGAAGAGGATCTTCCTGGAACTACATTAAATAGTTCCAAACTAAATGATCTTATACCCACACCCTTAATTTGATCTTTACCCTGATACTGTTTCCTACTTTAAGAATCTTTTCTGGGAGAAAATATTTGCTGGGAAGAAAAAATAGTTTTAGGGCCAAGTGCGGTGGCTCGTGCCTGTAATCCCAGCACTTTGGAAGGTTGGTTACTTAGTATGCCCTGAACCTAATGCATGTCCTGAACCTAGTGCATGTCTTTTAATTTTTCCTTGCAAGCTAAACAGTTCCTTCATGAGTTCATGTATCTCTTCGTGTATCAGTACAGCTAAAAAATGACAGCTGATATTTCTAACTTTATGCCAAGAAATTTCCTTATTCACATCCACACATTAAACACATAGTCTAGCTTCCAAATTGCTACAGATAACAATCTTGCTCATCTTTTCACCATTGCATAACTTGGGTCTTTCTCCAGTGTCCACAAGAACTTTCTTGTGATCATTTCGTCTTCACTCCCTTTTTCTTCACACACCCTTCCCACCTCCATCTGCCACCTGATCCCAAACGCAGTGGCATATGTTTTAGGATTTTGCTATACATCATCCTACTTCCAGGTAGCAATTTCTCTTTCCTTTAGCCACTGCTGTGTAACAAAGCACTGAAGAACTCTATGGCTTAAAACAACTTTGTCTTATTTGTCAGAATTCTGAAGTTTGAGCATCTCCTTTGCTGGTTTAGGCTGGGATAATACATGAAGCTTGATTCAGCTTGATTCAGTGATTCTTTGCATTTATCCTACTTGGGGTTTATTACTGGTTGACTGGGCTGGAGGCACAATATGTCCTCACTCACATGTATGGAAGCTGGCACAAGCTATTACTTAGGGCACATGATTCTCTTCCACATAGCTTATCTCCAGCAGGCTTGACCAACCTTCTTCCATGGCAGCCTCAGTTCAGTGTTGAAGACAACAAAGGTAGGAGCTTCAATCCTTCTTGAGGCTGAGGCTCTGAAACTTACAAAGTGTCACTTCTGCCACATGCTCTTAGTCCAAGCAAGTCAAGAGACCAGCCATTATTCAAGAGAGCAAGAAATAGGCCTCATCTCTGGATGTGAGGAGTGGCAAAGTCATATTGCAAAGAGATGGGCATATTAGGATAAGAAAAAGTTGTAGCCTTTAAGCAGTTCCTTCTATGTTAAGAATTTTAAAAATTAAACAACATTACAAATGACACAATGTAAAAGTAGATATGTTTTGTTATACCTTAAACATATTGTAAAGGTGAGCAGAAAATAGCTATTTTAAATGGCATACATAGTATGTGAACAAAGCTACTTTAAACAGGATACATCATATAGCCTAGGTAAATAAATGAATTAATAAATGAATAGCTGAATAGACACTTAACAACAGCATGGTTATCTCTTAAGGACTGATACCTCTAGAGATAAATATTTTACCATATATAAGCTTTTGACCAATTTAATACGTTACATGACTAAAGCTGAAAAAATTATGAACCAGTGGAAGAGTGAGATCATATTAGTCAATGAGAGTCATTTCAATCAACTTCCAGACCGCCTTTCTTCTTAACAGCTTTGAAATATAAATTATAGACTATGTCATTCACTCATTTAAAATACACAATTTAAATGTGTACAACTTAAAGTATATAGTTCAGTGGTTTTTGTTAATATTCAAGTAGTTGTATAAGGATTATGTCCTTTCTCTTTATAAAAATTACCCGCTTTACCCCTGGTAATACTCCTTGTCTTTAAGTCTATTTTATCTGATATTCATAGAGCCAAATCAACTTTCTTATTTTTAGTCTTTACGTGGTCTGTAGTTTTTTCAACAGTTTATTTTCAATTTGTCTGTGTCTTTCTATTTAAAGGGCCTCTCATGTAAACAAGATACAGTTGGGCTTTACTTCTTTAAGCAGGCTGACAATATTTTCCTTTTACTTGGAGAGTTTTATTTAATGTAATTATCAATATTGTTAGGCTTTAGTCTACAATTGTTTTAATTTGTTTTACTTGTCCCTTTTGTTCATTTTCTTATCCTTTTCTGTCTTCTTTTGGATTAATTAGGTATGTTTTAATATTCCCTTCTCTCTCTTCTACTGGCTTTTTAGCTACCCCTTTTTATCTGGGTTGTTTGTTGTTCTTGTTGTTTTGACAGAGTCTCGCTCTGTTCCCAGGCTGGAGTGCTGTGGTGCGATCACGGTTCACTGCTGCCTTGAACTCCTGGGCTCAAGTGATCCTCTCACCTCAGTCTTTGGAGTAGCTGGAACTACAGGCGTGTGCCACCATGTCTGGCTATAATATGCATCCTTAACATGCCACAATTTACTTTGAACTAATGATATTCCACTTCCTTTATAATAAAATACAGAAATTTTACAACATAATAACTTAAATTGTACACTCTCATCCTTTTTGATAATGTTGTATTTTTCTCTTTTCATACTTTACAAGCCCATAACATATTAATATTTCCCTTAAATAGTAAACTGTATTTTAAAGAATTTTTATTTATTTATTTATTACTCTGTGGTGCGATCTCAGCTCACTGTAACCTCCGCCTCCGGGGTTCAAGAGATTCTCTTCCCTCAGCTTCCTGAATACCTGGGATTACAGGCACCTATCACCATGCCTGGCTAATATTTGTATTTTTACTAGAGACAGGGTTTCACCACACTGGTCAGGCTCATCTCAAACTCCTGACCTCATGATCTGCCCGCCTTGGCCTCCCAAAGCACTGGGATTATAGGCGTGACCCACTGTGCCTGGCCTAAAGGAAAAAAATTTGTCTTTCATATTCAGCCATATATTTACCGTTCCCGGTATTCTTCATATCTTCGTATCTTTGTCTACATACAAGTTTCCATCTGGTATAATTTTGCAGCAGCCTGAAAAGCATCCCTTAGCATTTCTTTCAGTCTAGGTCTGCATCTTGGATCATTCCACTGTTTTCCATGAGAAGTCAGCCGTCATTGTCCCCTATACGTAATGTGCCTTTTTTCCTCTGGCTGTTCTGTGATTTTTCTCTTTGGTTTTCAGTTGTTTGACCACGATGTGCCTACTGGTGGTTTTCTTTGCATTTATCCTACTTGGGGTTTATTGAACTGTCTAGAATTATGAATTGCCATTTTTTATTCAACTTTGGAAAAATTTTAGCTGACAATCTTCAATAACCTTTTCTGCCTTATTTTGTCTTTTATCTTCTTCTTATACTTCAAATACACATATATTTGATATTGTGTCATGGTTGCTGAGTTCCTGTTATTTTTTATTTTATTCTTTTTTTCTCTCTGTACTTTAGTTTGAATAATTTAAATTCATCTTTCTTTAAATTCATCATCTCTTTCTTCTGTTTTGTCCAATCTGCTATTAATCTCTTCCAGTAAAATTTTCATTTCAGATTCATTTCTCAATCTTAGGATTTTCATTTGGCCCCTTTTTCACTGTTTCTAAATCTCTCCATAAATTCCCCCATCTCTTCATCCATTTAATCCATCTTTTTCTGTGAATTGTTTAACATATGTCTTTAATATAAATTATTTTTCCTTTAAATTTTTTTAAATACAATTTACTACTTAAAGGAGAAATCATCAACAATATATGAGGATTATAAAGTCTGGAGGAATAAAGTATCTTACAACATATCAAAAAAGAGTATTAATATATTTAATAGCTATTTTAAGGACCGTGTCTGATAATTCCAACATCTGCGTTGTCGGGTTTGTTACTATTCATTGATTTTCTCTTAATCTGTGTCACATTCCCCTGCTGTTGCCTGAATCATAGTATTTTATTGTGTGTTGGACATTGGGTCTAAAAGAACAGTAGAGACTAAAGAAAATGGGCATGTGCAACTTGGGTGACTGCTGATGAATTTGATCCAATCAGGAGTTGAACTGTTTGGGGGCAGCATTGCAGATTTAGTTCCTCCAGCAGGGAGGTGGAATTTAGTATGAGGGATCTAAAGAAATTAGTCTCTGCTTTTCAGCCCAGCCCCTAACTCATGTATTGTGCTGGTGCTGAAATCTTTGAACACATCAGATGTTAAATAGAATAGGTGTTTGGTTGTGGCTTTGGTTAGACTAAGTTTTTACACCTCTGTCTTCAAACACTTTGAAAGGAAGTTCAGCCCTCTTTCTCTGGGAAAGTCCAAAGACCAAACCCTATAAGATGGCTAGGCCTCAGAACCAAGAGATGGTGAGAGTGGACGATCATGAGACTTTAAAACCACCAGTCTTCATGACCTCAAATTTTCAAGAGTTCAACAGAGCAAGCCCATGAGATAAGATTTGGAGGTAAAGAGTGTTTGGAACCATGAGACTTAGAGATCACAAGATTTCAAAAACTGTGAGATGGCTAGATTTGAGAACTCTTTCTGCTTTTCACCTTCTCTTCCAGCCTCTGTTTACTTAGCAACATTAGTGAGTTATTTGGAAGAGAGAATTATTTCTGCACTGGGGGCTCCTCCAGGATCAAATCTGATGATACCAGCCTCCAAGTTTGTCAATAGTTTAGAGAGTTTCTCCCCACCCAAGTAAAAACTGTCCTTCCCTGAAGCCTCACTCCCCTGTCATTTTACCCCCAAACTCAGCAACTCAATCTAGGTATGCAACCTCCTCTATTCCTTGCTGCTCACCTTCGAAGAGCTCATTCCTCTAGAATTTGGTTCTTTTAGATTTGTGTCCAAAGCTCTGTAATGACACTAAATAAAAAGTATGCTTTTTGTTTTCTCTGGTGATTTCTTCTTCTTTTGGCAGGAGCAAAGTCTTTCACATGCTCCTACTTGCTAACCAGCAGCAGAACTCTGGATGTTCTTTTAAATATTGTTATTCATGGCTGCATAGTTTACACCTTTGTAGAGAGATTTTTTTTTTTCAAGTTGGGAAAGTCTTGCCAAGCCAAATTTTGTGAAAAAGATAAAACGTCAGGCTAGCTAATGTCGTGCTTGAACTATACATATATAAAATTCCTTTCTGGAACACCCTTAGCAATGTTTGTTTTTCTTCTTTCAAGGAATTTCAATTGCTTAGAAATAGCAACGGAGAACTAGCTCTTGAGGCAGCTCCAAAAAGAAGTAATTCCTAAAAAGTATTGAGCAAAGCAGCATCGTTGAAGTGAACACTTGGCTTCACAAAGAAAGGACACCAAAGAACAAAGCCAATGGCAATTTGTGAGTGCTGCTATATTTGCTTTTTAAAAAGCCTCAGGTCTCTATAGTAACTCCTTATGATAGTGCAATCAAATTTTACAAAAAGAAGACAACTCTGGAGGAGGCAATAAGAATTGATAGGTATGAGATGATCCTGCAGGTAATGAATTGAAAGGTGAAGACATTTCCTTATTCTCAAGAATGCTTATACACTGTTGACAGGAATGTGAATTAGTTTAGCCACTGTGGAAAACAGTTTGGAGATTTCTCAAAGAACTTAAAACAGAACTACCATTTGACCCAGGAATCCCGTGACTGGGTGTATACCCAAAGAAAATCCTTCTACCAAAAAGACACAAGGACTCATATGTTCATTGTAGCACTATTCACAATTGCAAAGATATGGAATTAACCCAGGTGCCCAATAATGGTGGACTGCATAAAGAAAATGTGGTACATATATACCACGGAATACTATGCAGCCATAAAAAAAGAACAAAATCATGTCCTTGGCAGCAACATAGATGCAGCTGGAAGCCATTATCCTAGGCGAATTAACACAGGAACAGAAAACCATATACTGTATGTTCTCGCTTGTAAGTGGGAGCTAAACACGGGGTCCACATGAAGACAAAGATGGGAACAACAGACACTGGGAATTACTAGATGGAGGAGAGGGGAGAGGGTTGAAAAACTACCTATTGGGTACTATGCTCACTACTTGGGCAATGGGATCATTCATACCCCAAACCTTGGTGTCATGCAATGTACCCATGTAACAAACCTGCACATGTACCCCCTGAACTTAAAAACTGAAAAAGAAAACATTTCCTTATTCTAACATAGAGGTGGGCAATGTCCTTTCTCAGCCACCAATCTGAGCAGTGTGCGGTGGGCTGTCCCACTACCATGGCTACCAAAGGGCAGGAACAAGCCAGTTAATGGGATGGATATGGGTGTGAAGGCAGAGCTGAGTGGGTAAGGGGAGTGCAGGCCAAGATCAGATAGAGTCAATCACCATGAGATGCCAAGTACACACCGGAGCAACTAGGAGAAACAGATTCTAAGACCCAACCCAAAATCTGAACTGCTAGAAAGAGGCAAGGAAACAAGACTTCAACATTCAGGCTGTTGCCTGGCTGACCCTTTGTTCCCATTGAGAGAGAACATCCTGACCCAGCATCCCACTCACCCTGGGAGCTAAACTATTAGCAGTTGATTTATTTCCAGTCTTAATGTAAAGTATATGGAAATGGAGCTGGAGTAGGAGTTGAGAAAGAATATTGTTTATTAAGCAATGACCCAACACCATGCATTGAAAGAGCAGTGACTATTTAAAAATTACCCCAAGGCTTGCCTATGTTGGTGTGTTTTCCCTTTGCATTCCTGGGGCCTTGCAAAAAAGAGTAGAAGAAATGTAAACAATTACAGGTGCTTTATGAATATTGAAGCAAAACAAAATCAGCTAGAGGTGGGGTGAGGGAGGAAGGACTTTAAATTTAAGACACTGTTATTTAGAAAGTTTTTGAAATAAAAAATTTAACTTCTTCCAGGTTCATAAGTCTGTCTATCAGAAGCAAAGGTATTTTGAGCTTCCAAAGTCTCACTGAGGGTCCTTCCTGGAGCCCTGGGTGGGTACCCTTTGTACTTTGAGCTTTCCCACCATTTCCCTTATTTCTTGTCTAGAGGAATTTGAAGTGGTAACATAAAACCCAGAGAAAGAAACCAGTTTTTAATATGCAAACCACCGAGACTAAATCTGGGCCTATGAGCCTCTGAGGCTTCATAAAAGGGAGGATAACGTCAGCTTAGGCCTTACCTCAAACCACAAGACATTTACTTTCTGATTTATGGTCTAGGCTGGACCAGTATAAGTTATCAAGAAGGATCATGTTCCATCGCTATTTTTTAAAATGTAAAATAAAAGTAAGAGGACTGAACTTGCTCAGTTCCTTCCTTTTTGGTTAATGGAATTGCTCATGGAGGTGGGGAGGCAGTTAGACGCCAAAGCAATCCTTTAGAACAACCTGGGTTTCCTTCTCAGATTTGCCATAAGTTGACCAAAGGATCACAGTCAGGTTTCTCTTACTCTCTGGGAGTCTCACCTTCAGCCTCAGTCACGAGGTGACTGTGCCCTGTACTCTGCACTTGGCGGAGTCCTTTCTGGCCCTTGTCCTGTGGAGGAGTCCCCAGAGCCAAGGTGACATGCCTACTCTCCATGGGAATTCCTTTCCCAAATGGCCCCTCATTCACTTCCAGGGCATGTACAGCCTCTGACCCATGACTGTCCTCCCAAGTGGTAACTGACTCACCAATGCCCTTATCCTTTCCCCAAGGGGTGGTCAAAGGGCAGTTATTTGCAGAGCATGTGAATGGAGCTTGGCCATGTGGCTATCATGTTAATGTGTCTGTATATGTGCAAACAGGGTGCCACAAAGACCAGAAATATCTGGGGGAAGGTAAGGAGATAAGAGAGCCAAGTTGGTGGCTGAGGGTTGGTTCTTCCAGGGCTGCCAAGAAATCCCAGAACTCTAAAATGCAACCTAGCCTTCCAAATCTGCTAGGGCAAATTTTGTTTAATATTTTTAAAGCTTGGGTTATAAATTGTAACTATTTAGACATATGTGGGCCACCACTTTTATCTTTGTTTTGGGCACCACAAATATGGAAATAGGGCATGTCTCCAGAACACTTCCCTTTTTCCTTGATCATAAACATCCTGACTGTCACAAACAATGGGGTTTTGAAGGTATTTAGAAACCTCCAGAACCTCAAACCATTTTTATTTCTCTCCTTTCAAGTTTCAAGTGGTTACAAAAGGCAGTTCAGAATTTGTTCCTGTTGATGACTAACTCATGGATTACAAAAAGCTACAGAATGTATAGCAAACTGTGAATTCTCTGTAGTGGTATGTTTTAAAAATTCAATATAATTTATTAATTTTTCACATTCATATTACATATTTTGCTTCTATGCCCATGCAGGCAGAAGATCATAAGTAATTGTTTTTCATTTATACAACAGAACTCCATTGGGTTTCCATAATGGGGCCTGTAATGCTATATGGTATAGATATACACAACTAACTAAAAAACAATGTCATAACAGCTGTTAAAAGAAGTGTGTCTTCAGTATCATGGAAGAAGAACGTTAAACTACTCAGTTAAAAGTAGCTACCAAGAGGTGGCTCACTGAATCTCAGGACTGGAGAATATGTTTAATCCCAGCACTAGCACAATAAATAAAACATTTATTTTTGTGATCACACCACCGTGAAGTTTTAGAACACTGGGAAAAACAGAAGATCTTAAAAGCTTCTAAAAAGAAAAATCAGGAGTATTCACGGGCCAGAATGGCCCTGGACATTTTAACACTAAGACTGGAGGAATGCCATCAAAATAATAAGGAAAAATTTTTTCCAACCTAAACTCTATAACTGATCAAACTATTAACTCAGGATAAAGATAAGCTGAATATGTTTTCAGATATGTAAGTTCTCAACATATACACGTTTACTGAAGGGTACTAGAAAAGTTGCTCCGTTTTTAAAACAAGAAGATCAGCTAATAAAGATGTAGACACTGGGCTTACGTAATGAGGAATTCAATATGAGAGAGGTGTTATATAATAAAAGAAACCCCTAGAATACAACAAAGAATAGCCCCAGGAAGGCAGCTAACAATAGGCTTGCAACCAACGGTCAGGAACTAACTAAATAGAGAAGAAGGTTTCTGCAGTAATGTTTCCAAGTAGATACAATTGCTAAAAATACTTAATGCATTGAGACATATTGAAAGAGAATTTGAGGCTGAATCAGAGATAAGACCATAGAAAACGCAGTACATCAACAAAACAAAACACTTAGTAAATCTAGGGAAAACAAATGCTTGTTCAAGAAAGGAAAAAATAATAGTATTCTATGTGGCTCAGCTGTGAACAGTATTTATGTACTCAATTTAAGCACTGATGATAGATCTAGCCAAAATATATATTTATTTTGGGAGAATGGAAACATGAATAACTGTGCATGCTTTTGCTACTAGTAGAGTGATGGGGATGAAATGGCTAAGATCTCATCTTCCTTAATGGGTAGGTCATATAATGCCTAAAACTAAGAAGTCAAGAAATGGCACTATGGGTAGCTATTTAGATATATGGAGCTAAATATCACAAAAAATAAAAATTCAGTTGTAAGTGGTTGCCTCTGGGGAAGAGGACATCAGTGACAAAAGGAAGCAGATGTATGGACTATGTGTTGTACAATAAGTCTGTAGAGGAGGAAATTATTATCCTAATTTTGTAGAGGAAGACATTCAGGCTTAGGGATGACAAGAATGTGGCTGAAGTGAAACTTGAGTCCAGCTCTCCTAACTCAAGGTCCTTTCCTTGTGTCATGGCTGATTTCTAAAACGGCTCTCTGAGCCTGAGAATATTTTATAAATTCAAGATTGCCTTACTCCTAGGATGTCGGTAGAAGTGCTGTTATTTGGTGGTAGGGTTGGGAAGGAAGTTAGTGATAATCTGGCTCAATCTCATTCTACATATAAAAAACATGGGTCTCAAGAAAGATTTTTCAGGTCACCAACATATTATTAAGTGCACAGAAGGGTACCAGTGGGAAATCACTGACTAAATTTCTTTTGAGTTGCTAATTGCCTTTGTAACATTCCAACAAGGTAGGGCTTATTTTTATTTCACAGATGATGGAACCAAGGTGCATAAAGACAAAATGCATAGCCGGGATTCTACAAACAGATGGGGGTTTTCCTTGAGCAATCACTTCTAGTGTACTCCCTTGAGATAGGATCCTCGTGGACTGTATCACGTCAAGGGAGCTAAAATTTTACTGTACAAGCCTCGTCCCTTTGTGTCACTTTGCCCCTCTGGAGCACAGATGCAGTAGAGTCTTTCCATGGTAATCAATCCAAGTCAATTTCTGGAATGAGCAAGCCAAGTAAAAGGAAATCCTCACCACATTTTATACTTTCTCTCATTATCAAAATGGCCTCGTGGACTGTTGCTTCCAAAGCATTTACAATGTGGTGACCTGACAGATTTCTACTGTCAGAAGTGATCATGTAAAACAGTCCAGCAACACCCCCATACATGGCAGGAACTGAGGAAGTTTTATTTTGCTGGCAGTACACACACCTTTCCAAACAAGTACGTTTCTTTTTCAGGTCAATTAAACCTGTGTTCAATAAAATCACATGGAAGACAAGAGGGCCGGGTACAGTTATTGATTACATCTTGCTTACACCTGAAGAGAGGTTCTCCTGGCTGACTTGATTAAAAATCATCTCAAAATCTACATTTCCACAACATCACATCATTTTCCATTATTCCCATCCACCTTCTCGCTTCTCTATCCACCCACCCCCGCCAACTCTGAGTGTGTGGAGTGAGGGCTCTGCTGAAGATGTTCTGGCTGTGTGCTCCTCAATTTGTACATTACTTAATTGAAAGACAGCCTGACCCTGAGATGGGCCAAGACACCACTAGGAAAAATGATGAATGCTTTCCTTGTCAAGATAAGTAAGAAATTAGAGCAAAGAGCTGCAACACTTCATTTATGAGCATCATCATGGAATGAGCTCTTCAGTATGATTGTATTTTCTGGGGCTCCAAACCTAGCTGTACTTCTTACCTTACATAAGTTACTTAACCTTTCAAAGCCTCCATTTCTCCACTATAAAATAGAGATGATAATGTTTGTCTCACCCATTGTTGTATTAAATGAGAGGATGAATTTTATGCTTCTATTTGTATTAATAGTTTTGGTTACATTCCAGGTATACTTTGAAGGTTAGTTCACTTCCCTTTGAGAGTATCAAAACTCTAAAAGAAGAAAGCATATCTCCTACTTCCCTGACTTGTCAGTAAATACATAGTCTTGACGCCTCAGTCACTGGCTGGCCTCATTTGTTAGAATGACTCTTTCTTACATCCAGTGGTAGGACACTGATCACTGATCTAGATAAACTTAATGAAACTGACTTACACATGGAAACTGGATAGAAATAAAATTACCTTACCCCAAGATTGTTGATGTTTTCCAGGGAATATATGAAAATTATACATATATACATATATATATATATTTTTTTTTAAGACAGAATCTTACTCTGTTGCCCAGGCTGTAGTGCAGTTTTGCAATCATGGCTTACTGCAGCCTCTATTTCCCCTGGTTCAGGTGATCCTCCCACCTCAGTCTCATGAGTAGCTGGGACTACAGATGTGTACCATCATGCCTGGCTAATTTTTGCTTTTGTAGAGACAGGGTTTCTCTATGCTGCCCAGGCTGGTCTCAAGCTCCTGGGCTCAAGCAATCCTCCCACCTCGGCCTCTCAAAGTGCTGGGAATACAGGCATGAGCCACTGTACTGAGCCAAGAATTTTCTTAAGTGTTATACTGGATTCAATTATATTGTGAGACAAATAATGTACATGTTGGGAGTAATGGTCTGTCTCTGTTGTCATGCAGTACAAAACCTCACACACCAAAAGAAACGGTGTATATTCAAATTCTGATTCTTCTTCTCATTAGCTGTGTAACCTTGAGAACGTCTCTTCTCTGCCCTGAGCCTTAGTTTCCTCATCTGTCCAATATACATAATATCTTCCTTAAAAGGCAAGCACCTGGTTCACACTAAGTCCACAAATGGTAGCAGTTATTTTTAATCAATAATCATAACCAGGTGGGATTCTTATTTTCCTCATCAAAATTAAAATCAAGTTATGCCATGTATTAAAACAATTCTGTCATTTCTGCTCCTCTCAAGAGCAGATGCTTCTTCAAATTGATTTATACTAGTGAAAATGAGATTAATTTCACTGATACATTCTTCCATCAGGTCCCATTATTTACTCGTATTGATCATCTATGATAATCAAGTTCACACTACTGGATAGGCCTCCAGGAAAAAGAGATGGAGCACTAACATTTATTATCTATTCCATGCAATGAATTGTGCTAATTGCTACAGCATACATCAATTACATTATTTGCTCCTGCTAAAAACTATATGAAGAAAAAACTAGGCTGCCCTTTTTTAAATGCCTACAGAAACTGAGGCATGCAGAGGTTTAATGCATTGTTGATAGTAAATGGCAGAGCTTGGATTCAAATCAAGGCATGTCAGATTTAAAATAGCCCACACCCACAACTTTAAAATAGCTCATCAGATATGGAAGCATTCCTGCAGGATTACAAAGGATGGGATGAAATTCACATTCCAAGATCATTTCTTCTTCAGAGCCCTGTGAGGAGCAAAGAATCTTTGTTTATATTCTAGTGTAAGCAATAGTTTCCCCAATTTTCTGCTTCCCTTTTACTGAGCATTTTCCAAATCCTTGAAAAAATGATTAAGGTTAAAAATTTTTCTTCTAGCAAACTGTGAAAAATGAGCTCATCAAGCTGCATACATGTTTCCTGATTATAATGAGATTGCCTATGACTCTCTTGTTTTCTGCAATATCTGAAAGTGTCCCCTTCAGTAAGTTGTCCATTTCTTTCTCTTGCTTTCTTTCTTCCATTTTTCTTTTTCTCTTCTCCTTCCTTTTTGAATGATACCCTGAGGTTAAAGGATATACACAGCCATGCAGAAAGAAAAAATCAGAAATAAAATGTTTATGAAAACATTTCTGTTGATCAGAAGGAACAAATGAGTACTGCTTACCCGAGATATCAAAACAAGGACTCTACTGAGCTAAAGCAAAGCCTTCAGGCTAGTGTGATACCTACTGAAAGCTTTATTCTGTTAAAAAAAAAAAGAAAAAAAGAAAAAGAAAAAAGAAAAGGCATGTCAGGTAAAGCTCAGATGTGTCCAGCAGGGCATGTCTTTGTTCAGAAGGCATAAGAGAGCACTTTTTTTTTTTTTTTTTTTTTGGAGACAGAGTCTCTCTCTGTCACTCAGGCTGGAGTGCAGTGGCACGATCTACACTCACTGCAACCTCCACCTCCTGGGTTCAAGTGATTCTCATGCCTCAGTCCACCAAGTAGCTGTGATTACAGGCACCCACCACCATGCCCAGCTAATTTTTGTACTTTTGGTTGAGATAGGGTTTCACCATGTTGGCCAGGCTGGTCTTGAACTCCTGACCTCAAGTGATCTGCCACCCCTCAGCCTCCCAAAGTGCTGGGATTATAGGCGTGAGCCACCGTGCCCATCCAAGAGAGCAATTTTCAACGAGAGCATGTACCACTGCCTTATACCATGCCAGAAGCTATAGTCTTCCTAGGAATGCTATAAGATATGGACTTTTTTCCCCCCCATTTTACAGATAAGAAAATTGAGACTCAAAAAGTGGTAAACTTAAGGGAAAAAAAGTTATAGTTAGTGGAAGAACTTGGATTTGAATCTCATCTTTGAGTGGCTCAAAAGTAATTTTCTTTTACTGTACACCTATCACACACCAGGTAATTTGCAGAATGACCTCTAATCCTCACAATAATCTCACAAGGTAGCTGTTATTCTCTCCATTTTTAAACATCAGGAACCTGAGATTTAGGCAGGCTGAGTAATGTTTTCAAAACTACACAGCCAGCAAGAAGTAGAGCCAAGGTTTTAACCTTGACCTATAGGCTCCAAAGCCATCATGTTCCTTGGCCCCACAGATAACGACCACACTGGCCTTAATTAATACAAATTGACAGTGGATGTGGAAACAAGGAGAGTCTACAGGAGAATACTGCAGTGTTCTTGGAATTCATGCCCACTGGGAAGAGAATGGGTGCAAGGTTAGTATGGGCTATGCAATTCAAGAAACAAATTTTTGGAAATATATTAAAGAAAAAGTAAAAAGAGGAGTCAACCCATGGACAGAGAAAAATAAGAACCAGAAATTACCAAAGTAAAATTACGACAATACAATCATGGCTGATGTCAAATAGAAAGACAAGTGCAGTCATCTAAAGAAATACACAACCCAAGAAGGCCACTGATATGAAAAGAATAGGACTAAGAGAAAGGGCCCCTCGGACAACCTAGAGCAGACTCTGATAAAGTAAAGTGCTCAAGATAACAAAAAGGTGTTCTTTGTAGGTCACTTTGAGAAAATATTTTAAGAAACAAATGAAGAGTCTGGGCCTGGTGGCTCACACTTGTAATCCCAGCACGTTGGGAGGCCAAGTCAAGAAGATCATTTGAGCCCAGGAGTTCAAGATTGGCCTGGGCAACACAGTGAGATCCCTTCTCTACAAAAAAATTTAAAATGAGCCAGGCATGGTGGTCCCAGCTACTCGGGAGACTAGGGTGGGAGGATTGCTTGGGCTCAGGAGACAGGCTACAGTGAGCCATGATAACACCACTGCACTCTACCCTGGGTGACAAAGCAAGAATCTGCCTCAAAAAACAAACAAACAAAAAAAAACAAACAAACAAAAAATCAAATAATGAAAAAATACTAAAAGTAAATAATAACACAACAGAGTCAGCAGGCTATGCAACACCTGCCTCCACTGCATCTGTATTTGTTTATTTTCATTCCAGAAAGAAAGAGATTCTGAGTTTTAATCCCAACTTTAGTGATGGTTCCTGACAGCCCCATGTAGTAGTGTAGGAGAACATGCAGGATCCCAAAAGTTGTCAGCCTTGAAGTTTCAAGTTAATATTAAAATTTTTTTGTGGAAGGAAATTGAAGAATAGAATAAAAAGGATGCAGGAGTTGTGGATGGGTGGCAAAAGCATGTAAGAATGACGTGGCAAAGGAGGAAAAGTATAAACTGCATCTGTATATACATATGGTTGAAATTGGAGTTAGACTGGAAAATACTCAGAGCCTAATTAGTGCTTAGAGAAAATCCCTTTGTCATTGGCTTGATCTAACTACTTCATCTCCGGGAACAATGGGGGATGGGCTGTGCTGCCTAAGGGTAGCAAGTAATGGTCTGCACCATCTGTGGCTGTTCTCTTGCACCTGAACCCAAAGAGGAGCCACCCTGTGTAGGAACTGTTACACCCTGGATACTGAATGTGCACCTATCTCCACTGCCTGCCCCCAAGCCCTTGCAAGAGGAATTAGCCCTGATCTTGGAATAAAGAAGAAAATTGTCACTGGGAATAACCTGAAATCAGTGTCTTGGAAAGATTTTCTTCCCTCACCTTTTCTTTCCTTTTTTTTCCTCTTCTTTTCTTCCTTCCTTTTCTATTATATTACTATGTGAACATAATAGATGTTGCACTACTGGTCTTTGAAGAAGGAAAAGGAGAAAGCAATGCAGAGTGAAACTGCTTACAATAAAGATGAAAGAATATGAGCAAAAGTGGCCATGGATGAAGAATATGGAAGAGGAGGAGGAAGAGTAGGAAGAGGAGGATGAAGGATAGGAAGAGGAAGAGAAAGAGGAGGGAGAAGAAAGAGGAGGAAGATGAGAGAAGGAGAAGGAGGAGGAAGGAAGAAAAGAAGAGAAGGAAGAAGAAAAAGAAATTGGGTTTCAAAAATAAAGAAATTACAGAAAAATGATTTTCAAAACATTAAAAGTATGAGAGACAATGTATTACTGTTAGGTATTGATGTTATACCCAAGAATCACATTTTCTCTTCTGTAAAGTAGATAATTGTACATGCCTCATAGGATTTTACTAGGACAATAATACCAACTATTTCACACAGTTAAAGAACTAAATTAGATAATGCATGTAAAGCACCTAAAACATGTTTAGCACGTAGAAAATGTTCAATATTGTTTAGCAATTGTTGCTATGTTGTTGCTGGAGTAGTAGTAATATTAGTATTATTGAAAAGCATGTAATGTGCCTAATACATCTCCAGGTACATGCAAGTTTCTAATAAACGGCTATTATGATCATATTAATTCATAATTATTATTGCTATTACTATTTAAATAAAAATGTGACATAAAACACTAGAAAAATAAAAATAAAGAAAACGTACCATAAACCAAAAGACTAAAAACAAAATAATGGGAAATCACAAGATCAAAGTAATAATAAATAAAAGTTCAACTTTCATATACCATAAAAGCAGAAAGGAAAGGAAGAAAAAAGAAAATTAGTCGTATATTAAAAAAAGAAAATACCATAATTTGCAGATATTATGGTTGTATAAAAGAAAAAGAATAACAACTGAAATATTAAAACTGATAAATTCAGAAAAGTGTTGCTTTAAAAAATAAGATGGCAAAAGTTAAGATTGTTCCTATATACAAATAGATGTAAAGAAAATATTAAAGGGGGGAGGAGCCAAGATGGCCGAATAGGAACAGCTCCGGTCTACAGCTCCCAGCGTGAGCGACGCAGAAGACGGGTGATTTCTGCATTTCCATCTGAGGTACCGGGTTCATCTCACTAGGGAGTGCCAGACAGTGGGCGCATGCCAGTGGGTGTGCGCACCATGCGCGAGCCGAAGCAGGGCGAGGCATTGCCTCACCTGGGAAGCGCAAGGGGTCAGGGAGTTCCCTTTCCGAGTCAAAGAAAGGGGTGACGGACGCACCTGGAAAATCGGGTCACTCCCACCCGAATATTGCACTTTTCAGACCGGCTTAAAAAACGGCGCACCCACACCTGGCTCGGAGGGTCCTACGCCCACGGAATCTCGCTGATTGCTAGCACAGCAGTCTGAGATCAAACTGCAAGGCGGCAGCGAGGCTGGGGGAGGGGTGCCCACCATTGCCCAGGCTTGCTTAGGTAAACAAAGCAGCCGGGAAGCTCAAACTGGGTGGAGCCCACCACAGCTCAAGGAGGCCTGCCTGCCTCTGTAGGCTCCACCTCTGGGGGCAGGGCACAGACAAACAAAAAGACAGCAGTAACCTCTGCAGACTTAAATGTCCCTGTCTGACAGATTTGAAGAGAGCAGTGGTTCTCCCAGCACACAGCTGGAGATCTGAGAATGGGCAGACTGCCTCCTCAAGTGGGTCCCTGACCCCTGACCCCCGAGCAGCCTAACTGGGAGGCACCCCCCAGCAGGGGCACACTGACACCTCACACGGCAGGGTATTCCAACAGACCTGCAGCCGAGGGTCCTGTCTGTTAGAAGGAAAACTAACAAACAGAAAGGACATCCACACTGAAAACCCATCTGTACATCACCATCATCAAAGACCAAAAGTAGATAAAACCACAAAGATGGGGAAAAAACAGAACAGAAAAACTGGAAACTCTAAAACGCAGAGCACCTCTCCTCCTCCAAAGGAACGCAGTTCCTCACCAGCAACGGAACAAAGCTGGATGGAGAATGATTTTGACGAGCTGAGAGAGGAAGGCTTCAGACAATCAAATTACTCTGAGCTACGGGAGGACATTCAAACCAAAGGCAAAGAAGTTGAAAACTTTGAAAAAAATTTAGAAGAATGTATAACTAGAATAACCAATACAGAGAAGTGCTTAAAGGAGCTGATGGAGCTGAAAACCAAGGCTCGAGAACTACGTGAAGAATGCAGAAGCCTCAGGAACCGATGCGATCAACTGGAAGAAAGGGTATCAGCAATGGAAGATGAAATGAATGAAATGAAGCAAGAAGGGAAGTTTAGAGAAAAAAGAATAAAAAGAAATGAGCAAAGCCTCCAAGAAATATGGGACTATGTGAAAAGACCAAATCTACGTCTGATTGGTGTACCTGAAAGTGATGCGGAGAATGGAACCACGTTGGAAAACACTCTGCAGGATATTATCCAGGAGAACTTCCCCAATCTAGCAAGGCAGGCCAACATTCAGATTCAGGAAATACAGAGAACGCCACAAAGATACTCCTCGAGAAGAGCAACTCCAAGACACATAATTGTCAGATTCACCAAAGTTGAAATGAAGGAAAAAATGTTAAGGACAGCCAGAGAGAAAGGTCGGGTTACCCTCAAAGGGAAGCCCATCAGACTAACAGCGGATCTCTTGGCAGAAACCCTACAAGCCAGAAGAGACTGGGGGCCAATATTCAACATTCTTAAAGAAAAGAATTGTCAACCCAGAATTTCATATCCAGCCAAACTAAGCTTCATAAGTGAAGGAGAAATAAAATACTTTACAGACAAGCAAATGCTGAGAGATTTTGTCACCACCAGGCCTGCCCTAAAAGAGCTCCTGAAGGAAGCGCTAAACATGGAAAGGAACAACAGGTACCAGCCGCTGCAAAATCATGCCAAAATGTAAAGACCATCGAGACTAGGAAGAAACCGCATCAACTAATGAGCAAAATAACCAGCTAACATCATAATGACAGGATCAAATTCACACATAACAATATTAACTTTAAATGTAAATGGACTAAATTCTCTAATTAAAAGACACAGACTGGCAAGTTGGATAAAGAGTCAAGACCCATCAGTGTGCTGTATTCAGGAAACCCATCTCACGTGCAGAGACACACATAGGCTCAAAATAAAAGGATGGAGGAAGATCTACCAAGCAAATGGAAAACAAAAAAAGGCAGGGGTTGCAATCCTAGTCTCTGATAAAACAGACTTTAAACCAACAAACATCAAAAGAGACAAAGAAGGCCATTACATAATGGTAAAGGGATCAATTCAACAAGAGGAGCTAACTATCCTAAATATATATGCACCCAATACAGGAGCACCCAGATTCATAAAGCAAGTCCTGAGTGACCTACAAAGAGACTTAGACTCCCACACATTAATAATGGGAGACTTTAACACCCCACTGTCAACATTAGACAGATCAACGAGACAGAAAGTCAACAAGGATACCTAGGAATTGAACTCAGCTCTGCACCAAGCAGACCTAATAGACATCTACAGAACTCTCCAACCCAAATCAACAGAATATACATTTTTTTCAGCACCACACCACACCTATTCCAAAACTGACCACATACTTGGAAGTAAAGCTCTCCTCAGCAAATGTAAAAGAACAGAAATTATAACAAACTGTCTCTCAGACCACAGTGCAATCAAACTAGAACTCAGGATTAAGAATCTCACTCAAAGCCGCTCAACTACATGGAAACTGAACAACCTGCTCCTGAATGACTACTGGGTACATAACGAAATGAAGGCAGAAATAAAGATGTTCTTTGAAACCAACGAGAACAAAGACACAACATACCAGAATCCCTGGGATGCATTCAAAGCAGTGTGTAGAGGGAAATTTATAGCACTAAATGCCCACAAGAGAAAGCAGAAAAGATCCAAAATTGACACCCTAACATCACAATTAAAAGAACTAGAAAAGCAAGAGCAAACACATTCAAAAGCTAGCAGAAGGCAAGAAATAACTAAAATCAGAGCAGAACTGAAGGAAATAGAGACACAAAAAACCCTTCAAAAAATCAATGAATCCAGGGGCTGGTTTTTTGAAAGGATCAGCAAAAGTGATAGACTGCTAGCAAGACTAATAAAGAAAAAAAGAGAGAAGAATCAAATAGACACAATAAAAAATGATAAAGGGGATATCACCACCGATCCCAAAGAAATACAAACTACCATCAGAGAATACTACAAACACCTCTATGCAAATAAACTAGAAAATCTAGAAGAAATGGATACATTCCTTGACACATACACTCTCCCAAGACTAAACCAGGAAGAAGTTCAATCTCTGAATAGACCAATAACAGGAGCTGAAATTGTGGCAATAATCAATAGTTTACCAACCAAAAAGAGTCCAGGACCAGATGGATTCACAGCCGAATTCTACCAGAGGTACAAGGAGGAACTGGTACCATTCCTTCTGAAACTATTCCAATCAATAGAAAAAGAGGGAATCCTAACTCATTTTATGAGGCCAGCATCATTCTGATACCAAAGCCGGGCAGAGACACAACCAAAAAAGAGAATTTTAGACCAATATCCTTGATGAACATTGATGCAAAAATCCTCAATAAAATACTGGCAAACCAAATCCAGCAGCACATCAAAAAGCTTATCCACCATGATCAAGTGGGCTTCATCCCTGGGATGCAAGGCTGGTTCAATATACGCAAATCAATAAATGTAATCCAGCATATAAACAGAGCCAAAGACAAAAACCACATGATTATCTCAATAGATGCAGAAAAAGCCTTTGACAAAATTCAACAACACTTCATGCTAAAAACTCTCAATAAATTAGGTATTGATGGGACGTATTTCAAAATAATAAGAGCTATCTATGACAAACCCACAGCCAATATCATACTGAATGGGCAAAAACTGGAAGCATTCCCTTTGAAAACTGGCACAACACAGGGATGCCCTCTCTCACCGCTCCTATTCAACATAGTGTTGGAAGTTCTGGCCAGGGCAATGAGGCAGGAGAAGGAAATAAAGGGTATTCAATTAGGAAAAGAGGAAGTCAAATTGTCCCTGTTTGCAGACGACATGATTGTTTATCTAGAAAACCCCAGCGTCTCAGCCCAAAATCTCCTTCAGCTGATAAGCAACTTCAGCAAAGTCTCAGGATACAAAATCAATGTACAAAAATCACAAGCATTCCTATACACCAACAAGAGACAAACAGAGAGCCAAATCATGAGTGAACTCCCATTCACAATTGCTTCAAAGAGAATAAAATACCTAGGAATCCAACTTACAAGGGATGTGAAGGACCTCTTCAAGGAGAACTACAAACCACTGCTCAAGGAAATAAAAGAGGATACAAACAAATGGAAGAACATTCCATGCTCATGGGTAGGAAGAATCAATATCGTGAAAATGGCCATACTGCCCAAGGTAATTTACAGATTCAATGCCATCCCCATCAAGCTACCAATGACTTTCTTTACAGAATTGGAAAAAACTACTTTAAAGTTCATATGGAACCAAAAAAGAGCCCGCATCGCCAAGTCAATCCTAAGCCAAAAGAACAAAGCTGGAGGCATCACACTACCTGACTTCAAACTATACTACAAGGCTACAGTAACCAAAACAGCATGGTACTGGTACCAAAACAGAGATATAGATCAATGGAACAGAACAGAGCCCTCCGAAATAACGCCGCTTACCTACAACTATCTGATCTTTGACAAACCTGAGAAAAACAAGCAATGGGGAAAGGATTCCCTATTTAATAAATGGTGCTGGGAAAACTGGCTAGCCATATGTAGAAAGCTGAAGCTGGATCCCTTCCTTACACCTTATACAAAAATCAATTCAAGATGGATTAAAGATTTAAACGTTAGACCTAAAACCATAAAAACCCTAGAAGAAAACCTAGGCATTACCATTCAGGACATAGGCGTGGGCAAGGACTTCATGTCCAAAACACCAAAAGCAATGGCAACCTAAGCCAAAATTGACAAATGGGATCTAATTAAACTAAAGAGCTTCTGCACAGCAAAAGAAACTACCATCAGAGTGAACAGGCAACCTACAACATGGGAGAAAATTTTCGCAACCTACATATCTGACAAAGGGCTAATATCCAGAATCTACAATGAACTCAAACAAATTTACAAGAAAAAAACAAACAACCCCATCAAAAAGTGGGCGAGGGACATGAACAGACACTTCTCAAAAGAAGACATTTATGCAGCCAAAAAACACATGAAAAAAATGCTCATCATCACTGGCCATCAGAGAAATGCAAATCAAACCCACTATGAGATATCATCTCACACCAGTTAGAATGGCAATCATTAAAAAGTCAGGAAACAACAGGTGCTGGAGAGGATGTGGAGAAATAGGAACACTTTTACACTGTTGGTGGGACTGTAAACTAGTTCAACCATTGTGGAAGTCAGTGTGGCGATTCCTCAGGGATCTAGAACTAGAAATACCATTTGACCCAGCCATCCCATTACTGGGTATATACCCAAATGACTATAAATCATGCTGCTATAAAGACACATGCACACGTATGTTTATTGCGGCATTATTCACAATAGCAAAGACTTGGAACCAACCCAAATGTCCAACAATGATAGACTGGATTAAGAAAATGTGGCACATATACACCATGGAATACTATGCAGCCATAAAAAATGATGAGTTCATGTCCTTTGTAGGGACATGGATGAAATTGGAAACCATCATTCTCAGTAAACTATCGCAAGAACAAAAAAACAAACACCGCATATTCTCACTCATAGGTGGGAACTGAACAATGAGATCACATGGACACAGGAAGGGGAATATCACACTCTGGGGACTGTGGTGGGGAGGGGGGCGGAGGGAGGGATAGCATTGGGAGGTATACCTAATGCTAGATGACGAGTTAGTGGGTGCAGCACACCAGCATGGCACATGTATACATATGTAACTAACCTGCACAATGTGCACATGTACCCTAAAACTTAAAGTATAATTAAAAAAAATAATAATAATAGTAATAATAATAAAAAATAAAATAAAATAAAATAAAATAAATATGTATCCCCCAAAAAAATAAAATCTTAAAAATAAGATCTCATATGCAAGGCTGCATAAATA
This sequence comes from Homo sapiens, assembly GCF_000001405.40. NCBI lineage: Eukaryota > Metazoa > Chordata > Mammalia > Primates > Hominidae > Homo > Homo sapiens. Next base: position 25,730,228 of record NC_000008.11, on the reverse strand, counting down.
TAAAACTAGACCTAGAACTTTATTTAATAAGAGAAAGAGATTTAGAGACCCAAATACACTCACAATCCTATAAATAAATTTAACGAGAAATGTGCAGACTTTGATAAAGAAAGCCATAGTCATTCCCCCTGGACATAAAAGAAAACTTGAATAAATGTAGAGATAAAATATATTTGTTGGGGAAGAGAAAATGATTCTTAAGTTTATTTAGAAGAAAAAAATCATGGAATTTAGCAAAAAAAAAAGGAAGTAGAATTTAGCAAACAAAGGAAATTAGTATGGCTTTATATTGTATTTAATACAAACATTTGTATTACAAATTAAATACAATATAAAGTCATACTAATTAGGCCATTATAGGAACTACTGCTGGAATAAGATAGTAATAGCCAGCATTTAACAGTTGCTTTCTTTGTTCCATGCACTAAGTGTTTTACATGCATTTACTAACTTTATCTCATTGCAATGCTGTGAGGTGGGTACTATTTTTATCTTCACCTTAGAAGAAGGAATCAGAAGCAGTCAGATTAAGTAACAGTCATCCACAGACATACAGCTGTTATGTGTGGAACTATATTCAAACCTAGGCTTCCTATCCACAAATTTTGTCAAAGATGTTTTAGAAGAACTTAATATATGGAAAAGTTTTAATCTTATATTTAATTTTTAACCATATAATTAGAAATTTCTAGTAAAACCTTAATACTTCAAATGAAACCTGATGTTTCACCCTTGCTCATACCCCCAATTCCCATGTCCTAGAGGCAACCACTTTAAATTATTTTAGGTATTGCCATTATTATCTGATCTTATACTTCTAAATTAAAAGCTTACATCTTTATTCTTTGGTTTTTAAATTTTAAACATTATCTACTGACTTCTAACTCTAAAACGTGAGGATTTATTTAAGCACAATTATCTCTATCCTTATCATATAGCAATTAAACAATCTCTGGTTAAGTCAATATTTTCTATTTATATTAATATAAATATTATTCACAAAGTTATGTAGTAGACTAAGATTATATTGTCCTTCCAGTACCAACTCAGCAACTCCCTGGACAGAGCCTCTACGGGCAACTGAAAGCCTCTGTGCCACTCCCTCTGCAGTGGAATTGCCCTTAACACCCTCAGACTAACAAAAGAGTAAAGACCCTAAGTGCCTCATTCACGCCGCCAACAAACTGCAGTTAACCCAAGGAGAGAAGGCCAGTCCTTCTTCCATGGGACCTTCACATCCCCCGCATCTTAGCACCAGACAGGGAACCCCTGGCTTGGGAACACAGCACAAACCCTCCCTCTTGGGCTGACTGCACTGAGTGATTGCTAACCTGCGTCTCTCTGGAGTGCAGTCCCCAGGAGTCAAGCAAATGACCCTTGGACACTTGATCTCTTGCTTGGACTACTAAGATCTCTTCCTCTGCTGCCTCTAAGCTGGGGAAGGACATAAACACTGAGATAACTTCAGAGGTGCAGTCGGCAGCCCAGGAATGCCAAGTCATGAACTACAGCCTGGACTTAAGGGGGAGAGAAACCCACACTTTCAGAGCACTGAGAGGGAACATGGCTGCAACTGTGAGGCAACAGGGGAGCCACACAACTGGGCAAGAGTCTACCAACTGACTAATAAGCCTAAGTATCACCTGCTGGATCACACCCCAAAGCTTCAACACCAAAAAAAAAAAAAAAAAATACCTCACTAACATACCCCACTCTGAAACAAGACACAAGAAGTCAGCTTCAAATAAAGACCCTACACAAAGCCTCAGCCTGGTGAAAATAACCAGAAAAGAAGTATATTAACTGTACTCAGTCTCTATTGCAGTTAAATGAACACTCACATGCAAAGATGAGAAAGGATCAATGCAAGAACTCTGGTAACTCAAATGGCCAGAGTGTCATATGTCCTCCAAACAACCACACCAGTTCTCCAACAAGAGTTTTTAACAAGGCCAAACTGGCTGGAATGACAGAAATAGAATTCAGACTATGGAATAGGAACAAAGATCATCAAGATTAAGGAGAATGGCAAAACCCAACCCAAGGAAAATAAGAACCACAATAAAGTGATACAGGAGCTGAAGGACAAAATAGCCAGTATAAAAAAGAACTTAATGGGTCTGACAGAGCTGAATAACAAAATACAAGAATTTCACAATGCAATCACAGGTATTAACAGCAGAATAAACCAAGCTGAGGAAAGAAATAAACCAGTCTTCAGAACTGGAAGACTGGTTCTCTGTAATAAGTCAGACAAAAATAAAAAAAAAAATAAAAAGGTATGAACAAAACCGCTGAGAAGTATGAGATTATGTAAAGAGGCCAAATCTATGAATCACTGGCATCCCTTAAAGGGATGGGGAGAAAGCAAGCGATTTGAAAAATATATTTTAGGATATCATCCATGAAAACTTCCCCAACCTTGCTAAAGAGGCCAACAGCCAAATTCAGGAAATACAGAGAACTCCTGCAAGAGTCTACACAAGATCATCCCCAAGACACATAATCATCGGATTTTCCAAGGTCAAAATGAAAGAAAGAATGTTAAAAGAAGCTAGAGAGAAAGGGCAGGTCACCTACAAAGGGATCCCCATTCAGCTAACAGCAGATCTCTCAGCAGAAACCCGACCAGCCAGGAGGGATTGGGAACCTATATTCAACATTCTTAAAGAAAAAAATCTTCAACCAAGAATTTTGCATCCACCCAAACTAAGATTCCTAAGTGAAGGAGAAATAAGATCCTTTTCAGATAAGCAAATGTTAAGGGACTTTATTACCACCAGACCTGCCTTACAAAATATCTTGAGAGGAGCACTAAATACAGAAAGGAAAGACTGCTACCAGCTAATCAAAAACACACTTAAACACGCACAACAGTGTCATTGTAAAGCAACCACACAAACAAGCCAACACAATAATCAGCTAACAGCACAATGACAAGATCAAATTCACACATTACCAATATTAATCTTGAATATAAACAGGCTAAATGCCCCAGTTAAAAGGCACAGAGTAGCAAGCTGGATAAAAAATAAAGACCCAATGGTATGCTGCCTTCAAGACACCCATCTCACATGTAATGACACTCATAGGCTCAGAATAAAGGAATGGAGAAAAACCTACCAAGTAAATGGAAAACAGAAAAAAGCAGGAGTTGCAATCCTAATCTCAGACAAAACAGATTTCAAACCAACAAAGATCAAAAAAGACAAGGAAGGGTATTACATAATAGTAAAGGGTTCAATTCAACAAGAAGACCTAATTATCCTAAATATATATGCACCCATCACAGGAGCACCCTGATTCATAAAGCAAGTTCTTAGAGACCTACAAACAGACATAGACTCTCACATGATAATAGTAGGAGACTTCAACACTCCACTGACAGTATTAGACAGATCTTCAAGGCAGAAGATTAACAAAGATATTCAGGGCCTAAACTCAGCATTGGACCAAATGGATCTGATAGACCTTTACAAAAGTCTCTACACAAAAACAACAGAATATACATTCTACTCATCACCACATGGCACGTACTCTAAAACTGACCACATAATTGGACACAAAACAATCTTAAACAAATGTCAAAGAACCAATCATAGCAAACACACTCTTGGACCACTGTGTAATAAAAACAGAAGTCAACACAATGAAAATCCCTCAAAACCATACAATTACATGGCAATCAAACAACATGCTCCTGAATGACTTTTGGGCAAATAATGAAATCAAGGCAGAAATCAAGAAGTTCTTTGAAAATAGTGAGATACAAAGATACAACATACCAGAATCTCTGGGACACAGCTAAAGCAGTGTTAAGAGAGAAAATCATAGCACTAAATGCCCACATCAAAAAGTTAGAAAGATCTCAAATTAACATCCTGACTTCACAATGGAAAGAATTAGAGAAGTAAGAACAAATCAACCCCAACACTAGCAGAGACAACAAATAACAAAAATCAGAGATGAACTGAAGAAAATAGAGACACAAAAAAAACATTCAACAGATCAACAAACCCAGGAGTTGGTTTTTTGAAAAAATGAATAGGACACTAGACTAAGAAGAAAAAAGTTCCAAATAAACACAATTAGAAATGATGAAGGGAGTGTTACTACGGACCCCACAGAAATAAAAACAACCATCAGAAACTACTATGAACACCTCTACACACACAAACTAGAAAACCTAGAAAAGATGGATAAATTTCTGGACATATACACCCTACCAAGACTAAGCCAGGAAGAAATTGATTCCCTGAACAGACCAATAATGAGCTCCAAAACTGAATCAGTAATAAATAGCCTACCAACTAAAAAAAGCCCAGGACTGGATGGATTCACAGCTGAATTCTACCAGATGTACAAAGAAGAGCTGGTAACATTCCTAAAGACACTATTCCAAAAAATTGAGAAGGGACTTCTCCCCAACTCATTTTATGAGGCCAGCATCAACTTGATACCAAAACCTGGCAGAGACACGATAAAAAAAGAAAACTTTGCCGGGTGCAGTGGCTCATGCCTGTAATCCCAGCACTTTGGGAGGCTGAGGTGGGCAGATCACGAGGTCAGGAGATTGAGACCATCCTGGCTAACACAGTGAAATGCTGTCTCTACTAAAAATACAAAAAGTTAGCCAGATGTGATGGCAGGCACCTGTAGTCCCAGCTACTGGGGAGGCTGAGGCAAGAGAATGGTGTGAACCTGGGAGGCAGAGCTTGCAGTGAGCCAAGATCACGCCACTGCACTCCAGCCTGGGTGACAGAGCAAGACTCCATCTCAAAAAAAAGCAAACTTCAAATAAATATCCTTGATGAACACTGATGTAAAAATCCTCAACATAATACTTGCAAACCAAATACAGCAGCACATTAAAAAGCTAATCTACCATGATGAAGCAGGCTTTATCCCCAGGATGCAAGGTTGGTTCAAACATGAAAATCAATAAATGTGATTCATTACATAAACAGAACTAAAGACAAAACCCAAATGATTATCTCAGTAGATGCAGAAAAGGCTTTTGATAAAATTCAACACCCCTTTATGGGATGTGCTTTCAGCCAACAAGCACATGAAAAAAGGGCCAGTATCACTGATCAATAGAGAAATACAAAGAAACATATGTCAAAATAATAAGAGCCATCTATGACAAACCCACAGCCAACATTATACTGAATGGGCAAAAGCTGGAAGCATTTCCCTTGAAAACCAGCACAAGACAAGAATGCCCTCTCTACCACTTCCATTCAACATAGTATTGGAAGTCTTAGCCAGAGCCACCAGGCAAGAGAAAGAAACAAATAAACCCAAAAAGAAAGAGAGGAAGTCAAACTATCTCTATGTGCAGACGTTATGATTCTATATCTACACAACCCCACAATCTCAGCCCAAAAGTTCTTTCAGCTGATAAACAACTTCAGCAAAGTTGCAGGATACAAAATCAATGTACAAAAATCACTAGCATTCCTACACACCAACACAACCAAACTGAGAGCTAAATCAGAAAGGCAATCCCATTCACAATTGCCACAAAATAAATAAATAAATAAATACGATACCTAGGAATACAGATAGCCAAGGAGGTGAAAGATCTCTACAATGAGAATTACAAAACACTGCTCAAAGAAATCAGAGAAAACACAAATGGAAATACATCCCATGCTCATGGATAGAAAGAATCAATATCAGTGAAATGGTTATACTACTCAAAGCAATTTACAGATTCAATGCTATTCCTATGAAACTACCAATGACATTCTTCAAAGAACTAGAAAAAATTATTTTAAAATTTCTATGGAACAAAAAACAAAGAGCCTGAATAGTCAGAGCAATCCTAAGCCAAAAGAACAAAGCCGAAGGAATTACTTTACCCGATTTCAAACTATATTACAAGGCTACAGTGGCCAAAACAGCATGGTACTGGTACAAAAACATAGACCAACGGAACACAATAGAGAGCCCAAAGATAAGGCTGCACATCTATGACTATCTGATCTTTGACAAAGCTGACAAAAGGAAACAATGGTGAAAAGACTCCCTATTCAATAAATGGTGCTGGGATAACTGGCTGGCCATATGCAGAAGATTGAAACTGGACCCTTTCCTTACACTGTATACAAAAATTCACCCAAGATGAATTAAAGACTTAAGTGTAAAACCCAAAACTATAAAAACCCTGGAAGACAACCAAGGCAATACCGTCATGGGCATAGGAAAGGGCAAAGATCTTTATGACAAAACACTAAAAGAAATAGCAACAAAAGCAAAAATTCACAAATAGAATCTAATTAAATTTAAGAGCTTCTGCACAGCAAAAGAATTAACAGAGTAAACAGACAACCTACAGAATGAGAGAAAAAATTTGCAATTTACTCATCTGACAAAGGTCTAATATCCAGCACCTATAAGTAACTTAAACACATTTACAAGAGAAAAACAAATAACCCCATTAAAAAGTGGGCAAAGGACATAAACAGACACTTCTCAAAAGAAGACATACATGCAGCCAACAAGCACATGAAAAAAAGGTCAATATCACTGATCATTAAAGAAATACAAATCAAAACCACAATAAGATACCATCTCACACCAGTCAGAATGGCTATTACTAAATAGTCAAAAAATAACAGATGCTGGTGAGGTGGTGGATAAGAGAGAACCCTTATACGCTGTTGGTGGGAGTGCAAATTAGTTCAACCATTGTGGAAAGCAGTATGGCAATTCCTCAAAGAGCTAAAAGCAGAACTATAATTTGACCCAGCAATCCCATTACTTGGTATATACCCAGAGGAATATGAAGCATTCTATCATAAAAACACATGCACACGAATGTTCATGGCAGCACTGTTCACAATAGCAAAGACATGGAATCAACCTAAATGCCCATCAATGACAGACTGAATAAAGAAAACGTGGTACATTTATACCATGGAATATTATTCAGCCATAAAAAAGAATGAGATAATGTCTTTTGCAGAAACAAAGAGTTGGAAGCTATCATCCTTAGCAAACTAATGCAGGAACAGAAAACTAAATACCATATATTCTTACTTGTAAGTGGCAGCTACATGGTAAGAATTTATGAACACAAGAAAGGAAACAACAGACACTGGGGTCTACTTGAGGGAGGAGCAAGAGGAGCAGAAAAATTATTCAGTACTGAGCTTAATACCTAAATGATGTAACAACATAAACAACAAACTCCTGTGACACATATTCATCTATATAACAAATCTTCACATGTACCCCCAAACCAAAAATAGAATTTTTTAAAAAAGATTCTTTTCAGACAAAAATTGAGAAAATAGATCACAAGCAGGCAAAGTCAAAAACTGTTAAAGGAAGTTCTTCAGGGAGAACTTTTATAAGAACAAAAATAAAATACAAGAAAGAAAACTTCTTTCTGAACAAAAAAAGGAAGATCTCCAGAAATAGTATTTTTTTTAAGTAATGCAAGAAAGGACATTTCCTATTTGTAATTGCTCTAAAAGAAATTGCTTATCTTCAGCAAAAAAAAAAAAAATCAAGATGATAGATTTTAATTCAAACATATAATTACATTGAATGTAAATGACCTAAACACACTAATTAAAAGACAAATTGTTGAAATGGATTTTTCAAAAAGCAAGATGCTTTCTAAAGAAAACACACTATAGTTATATAGACATTAAAAGGAAGGGAAAAGATATATCAGGAAAATTCTAATTTTACAGGAGAAGGAAATAAAGGGTATTCAATTAGGAAAACAGGAAGTCAATCATGTCATGTTTGCAGATGACATAATTGTATATCTAGAAAACCCCATTTTCTCAGCCCAAAATCTCCTTAAGCTGATAGGCAACTTCAGCAAAGTCTCAGGATACAAAATCAATGTGCAAAAATCACAAGCATTCTTATATACCAATAACAGACAAACAGAGAGCCAAATCATGAGTGAACTACCATTCACGATTGCTTCAAAGAGAATAAAATACCTAGGAATCCAACTTTCAAGGGACGTGAAGGACCTCTTCAAGGAGAACTACAAACCACTGTTCAATGACATAAAAGAGGATACAAACAAATGGAAGAACATTCCATGCTCATGGGTAGGAAGAATCAATATCATGAAAATGCCCATACTGCCCAAGGTAATTTATACATTCAATGCCATCCCCATCAAGCTACCAATGACTTTCTTTACAGAATTGGAAAAAACTACTTTAAAGTTCATATGGAACCAAAAAAGAGCCCACATCACCAAGTCAATCCTAAGCCAAAAGAACAAAGCTGGAGGCATCACGCTACCTGACTTCAAACTATACTACAAGGCTACAGTAACCAAAACAGCATGGTACTGGTACCAAAACAGAGATATAGACCAATGGAACAAAACAGAGCCCTCAGAAACAATGCCGCATATCTACAACTATCTGATCTTTGACAAACCTGACAAAAACAAGAAATGGGGAAAGGATTCCCTATTTAATAAATGGTGCTGGGAAAACTGGCTAGCCATATGTAGAAAGCTGAAACTGGATCCCTTCCTCACACCTTATACAAAAATTAATTCAAGATGGATTTAAGACTTAAATGTTAGACCTAAAACCATAAAAACCCTAGAAGAAAACCTAGGCATTACCATTCAGGACATAGGCACGGGCAAGGACTTCATGTCCAAGACACCAAAAGCAATGGCAACAAAAGCAAAAATTGACAAATGGGATCTAATTAAACTAAAGAGCTTCTGCACAGCAAAAGAAACTACCATCAGAGTGAACAAGCAACCTACAGAATGGGAGAAAATTTTTGCAACCTACTCGTCTGACAAAGGGCTAATATCCGGAATCTACAATGAACTCAAACAAATTTATAAGAAAAAAACAAACAACCCCATCAAAAAGTGGGCAAAGGATATGAACAGACACTTCTCAAAAGAAGACATTTATGCAGCCAAAAGACACATGAAAAAATGCTCACCATCACTGGCCATCAGAGAAATGCAAATCAAAACCACAATGAGATACCATCTCACACCAGTTAGAATGGCAATCATTAAAAGTCAGGAAACAACAGGTGCTGGAGAGGATGTGGAGAAATAGGAACAGTTTTACTGTGTTGGTGGGACTGTAAACTAGTTCAACCATTGTGGAAGTCAGTGTGGCAATTCCTCAGGGATCTAGAACTAGAAATACCATTTGACCCAGCCATCCCAATAATGGGGATATACCTAAAGGATTATAAGTCATGCTGCTATAAAGACACATGCACACATATGTTTATTGCAGCACTATTCACAATAGCAAAGACTTGGAACCAACCCAAATGTCCAACAATGATGGACTGCATTAAGAAAATGTGGCACATATACACCATGGAATACTATGCAGCCATAAAAAAGGATGAGTTCATGTCCTTTGTAGGGACATGGATGAAGCTGGAAACCATCATTCTCAGCAAACTATCGCAAGGACAAAAAACCAAACACTGCATGTTCTCACTCATAGGTGGGAACTGAACAATGAGAACACATGGACACAGGAAGGGGAACATCACACACCAGGGCCTGTTGTGGGGTGAGAGGAGGGGGAAGGGATAGCATTAAGAGATATACCTAATGTTAAATGACGAGTTACTGGGTGCAGCACACCAACATGGCACATGTATACATATGTAACAAACCTGCATGTTGTGCACATGTACCCTAAAACTTAAAGTATAATAAAAAAAATTCTAATTTTAAAATACTAGGTTGGCTATTTTAACATCAAAATAAATTTTATAACAAGAAACATTACATAGAATTTTTTAAAATTACATAAAAAGAAGGGGTAAATTCTCCAGTAGTACATGACAAATATAATTGTGTATGTGCTTAAAATAGAGCTTCCTAATATATGAAACAAAAACTGATAGAACTATAGAAAAGAGAAAGTAGACAAATCCATAATTACAGTTGGAGACTTCAACATTGCTCTATCTATAACAGAACAGATTAGATAGAAGCATCACTAAGAATATAGAATATCTGAACAACACTTATAATAATGGGTTTACTTCTGAACCAGTTAAAGAAATCAAGACCTAACTTAATAGAGAGATATAACATCAGTCATTGATTGGAAGACTCAATTTGTTAAAATGTCAGTTTTCTCAACATTTATATGTAGACTCAATGCAATCTCAAAAAAATCCCAGCAGGATTTTTTGGGTAGAAATTAGCAAGCTAATTCTAACATTTATGTGGAAGTTCAAAAGAACCGAGATAATCTAAAATAATTTTGAGGAAAAAAAGAATAAATTTGAAGGACTCAAACTACTTGACTTTGAGACTTATTATAAGTCTACAAAAATTAGCACAATGTATTAGAGAAAAAACAAATGTATAGATAAAAAGAATGTAATAGAGTCCTGAAATAATCCCACACACACATATGTGTGGTCAATTTTCAACCAAAGCGCAAAAACAAGCCAATGGAGAAAGGATAGTCTTTTTTCAACAAATGATGCTGGAACAATTAGAAATTCAAGTGCCAAAAAAAAAAAAAAAAAAAAAAAAAAAAAGAACCTCATCCCCTACCTCACACCAATACAAATATTAACTTTAAAAACAATCATAAACTTAAGTGTAAAACATAAAACTATTAAACTTCTAGAACAAAATAAAAAAAATCTTTGTAATTTTGAGTTAGACGAAGATTTCTTAGATATGACACCAACAGCCTAATCCCAAAATTAAACAGGGATAAATTGGACTTCATAAAAATTAAAAGCTTTTGCTTTTTGAAAAGCACTGAGAAATGAAAAGACAAGCAATAGACTGAGATAAAATATTTGCAAATACCTATCTATGTCTTGTATACAGCAAATATGAAAGAAAAAATACCTTTCAAAACTGAATGAGAAAAACAACACAATTTTTGAAATAGGTAAAAGTTTTGAGCAGGCACTCACCAAAGAAGATATATGTATTACAAATAAGCACTTGAAAGATGCTCAACATCATTATGTCATCAGGGAAATGCAAATTAAACCACAATGAGATATCACTAAATAATTATTAGAGTGGCTTTGTAAAAAAAGTTGTTGAGGATGCAGAATAACTGCAACTATCTCTGCTCTAAAGAGCAACTGGAAAAGCAAATGCGAAATATTTCCTCTTTGGAAAACAGCTTGATAGCTTTAGCTTTAACATAAATATGGCATATAACATAGCAATCCCACTCCAAGAAAAAGAAAAGTATTTTCATTTACATTCACATAAAAATTTGTATACAATGTTTATAGTTGCTTTATTTACAATTGTCAAAAATGGGGAAAAACATGAATGTCCTTCAACTGGTAAATGGATAAAAATAACTGTAGTGTATTTGTACATTGAGATTCTACTTTACACTAAAAAGGTAAGAACTGATATTGAGATACCCAACAACATGGGTGAATGTCAAAGAAGCCACAATCAAAGATCTACTTTCTAAACTATTATACATACATTTATAAAAAGGCAAAAATTTAGAGATGAAACAAATCAGTGGTTGCCAGGGATTAGGAATTTGCTACACTGAGTCACCTAGTAATTTGGGGGCTTCATTGAACTATTTTTGTATCTTGATTGTGATGGTAGTTGCATAAATGTATTTTTAAAATGCATAAAACCACATACTAAAAAGAGCATATTTTATAGCATACACATTATACTTCAATGAACCTGACTTTTTCAGTAATGCTAATTGGAAGCTTTGTGTACCTGTGTAAATTATAAACTTCTCTGCAGAATAATAAAGCTTTAAACCAGCTTTTTCATTGAGAGGTCCCCAAATGTCAGCATCTTAAGGTCTTCTTCCCATGGGCATTTCCCTAGAGAGAAATCCTCCTCCTTTCTTCTTAGGTTATTTGAGATTGGTTTTCACCCATCTGGGAGCTGAAGTGGGAAAGGGACTAGGTGTCTCACAAATCAATACACAAATTTTCATTTAGAACTTCTCTTTTCACTACTGTGCCTCAGTTCTGCCCTCAATTGTACTTGGTGATGCCAAACCTAGAGACAACTGGTTAAACCACCCTGCAAAAAGTGCATTTCCATCTCCTCTCAAGCTACTGAAGGGCAGTCGCCTAGCTGTACTGAGTAAGGAGAGGAATTTGTTGCTTCTGATCCAAATATTCAACCAATTCTCTGTCCACCGTTTTTTCATTAGAGGCATCTGCTGCCTCTAATTCTTAGGTCTTTTCAGGGTCTGTAGTAGGAATCCTTGAACCTTCTTGCTTCATGCTGGCTTCCCTCTTGTAGGCTGGCATTCATCTCACATCTGCTAAGTGGGTTCCCACTCATCCACCAGCTTTCTAGTTTCAAAAATGCTGGCTAATATCCCGCTACTCCTGTAATCTCTTCCCCCAATTTCTTTGTACTGTGGGTTTCACTTTTTTATGTTTTTATTGCCATTGCAATTGGGCTTTCAGGAGGAAGCAGAGACAAATGTGTGTGTGTTCAATTTGCCATGTTTAATCAAGAGTTCGGGGGTAGGGGGTGTATTTAAAATCAGTGAGGAAAGCCTGGACTATTCAATAAGTGATATTGGGGCAATTTGATAACAAACTTGGATTCCTACATACCGTTTCCTAAATACATATTTAAATTTTAAAAATGAAAAGAAAATTCACATATTAATACAATCTTGTGATAGGGAAGGTTTTATGGACATGGAACATCATACAAAGACCATGAAGGAAAAATTAATAGATCTGAACAGCTAAAAGTGTAAGTAAAAGCGTCATCTCTAAAGTAAAATAAAGTTACATATAAAATACTAGAAATATGTTTCTAATATACATGATAAATATAGGATTCAAGTCCTTATAGCATAAAAATGCCTCAATAAAAGAGAAAAAGATAAAAACCTAATTTAAAAATAGGCAAAAGACATGAAGAGTCGTTCACAAAAATGAAATATAAATAAATAAAATGATTACAAATTGTCAACCCTCTCTGTAACAATAAATACTAACTAAACTACAGGCACTGGTAAACTTTTTTTTGTTTAAGCACAATATCCAATACCTGACAATGGCACAGAGAACTGATTATTCTCATGCAAATGTAAATTTGGCCTTCTGTAGAGCAATTTAGCAACCTGTCTATTAATGATAATTTAGCAAGACAGTATATTAAGCCTTAAATGAATAATATACCCTACAGACAGCAATTCAATTTCTAGGATTTTTTCCTCAGGAAATTATTTTAAATGTATGCAAAGACTTCTGTTATGAAAATATCAATATTGTTTATAATAGCAAACATTAAAAACCATGAATAATTGCAAGTTGATAAAATAAAACACGGTCTTTAGTCTTCTAAGAATAATGTTGTAGTTAGAAAAATTTTTTGCCGTGGAAAAATACTGGTTATGTATTTCAAGCTAAACCAACAGAATTACACAATTTCCTGTAGAGCATGAAACCATTCTGTGAAGAATACAAGAGTGTGTCCATGTGCACATAGGGAATGAGCTGGGAAAAAGCCCATGTGGGAATTCCACAGGGGTTATCTATGAGTGTTAAGATTAAGTGTTTTCATTTATTTTATTTTTATTTAACTTATCACTGTTTTAGATTTTCAGTGATGAATATGTATTCTTAATTAGCAGAAAAACAAAGTTTTTAAAAAGTAGACTCAATATAGAGTAGTAACAAAAATGTAAAATACTTAGGAATAAATTTAAGAAGAAATGTAAAGACTCTACATGAACAAACTGTAAGTGGAGGATAAATAAAAGAAGACTTTTACTATCCATCTGACAAGATTCACAACCAGAACATATAAGCAGCTCAAAGAACTTAATAACAAAAAAAAAAAAATCTGATTTTTAAATGGTAAGAGATCTAAATGGACATTTCTCAAAAGACGACATACAAATGGCCAACAGGTATTGAAAAAAATGCTCAACATCACTAATCATCAGGGAAATGCAAATCAAAACTAAAGTGAGATATCTCGCCCCAGTTAGAAAGGCTATTATCAAAAAGAAGATAACAGATGCTGATGATCAGGACTCAGAGAAAGAGGAATGCTCATATACTGTTGGTGGAAATGGAAATTAATACAGCTACTATGGAAAACAGTATGGAAGTTCCTTAAGAAACCAAAAATAGAACTACCACATGATTCAGCAATCCTACCAGTGGTTATATATCAAAAGTAAAAAGGAAAACAGTGTATCAAAGAGATATCTGCACTCCCATGTTTATTGCAGCACTATTCACAATAGCCAAGAGATAAAAGCAACCTAAGTGTCCATCAATGGATAAAATTTTTAAAAATGTGATATACACACAATGGAGTATTGTTCACCATAAGAAGGATGGAAATCTTGTCATTTGCAGCAATATAAATAGAACTGGAGGTTATTATGTTAATTGACATAAGCCAAGCACAGAAAGAGAAATATCACATGTTCTCACTCACATGTTCATATGTAGGAGCTTTAAAAAAGTGGATCTTCTAAAGATTGAGAGCAGATTCATAGTTTCTAAAGAACAGGAAGGGAAAAAGGAAGAGGGGGATGAAGATAGGTTGATTAATGGGTATAAACATACACATTGACAGAAGAAGTGAGGACTGTGTTTGATAGCACAGTACGGTAACTATAGTTAACAATAATTTCTTGTATATATCAAAATAGTTAAAAGAGAAGATTATGTTGCCAACATAAGAAATGAAATGATAAATGTTTGAGGTAATTCATATCCCAAATACTCTGATTTGATCATTGTATATTGTATGCACATATAAAAATATCACATGTACTTCATAAATATGTACAACTATTATGCATAAATTTTAAAAAGCAAGACTTTTAGGTAGAAATTACATAGGGAAATATGTAACTGGTTGGGAAGTCACACGATTTTAAAGATAATTCATCAAAACACAATCTTTTGGCCATTCACAATGAAATAGTTTTAATTTTTTGTTTTTAAATGAAAATCATTGGGATTAATAAGAATATAGAAAAACGGAATTTACACACTTTAGTAGTGAAATTGTATGTTTATACTGCATTTTTGTAGGACAATTTTACAATACTTAATAAAAATCTTAACCTTTAAATCAAGAATTAAGGGGAAGAAAACTAGCCATGTCCACTTACTTTGCATTACACAGCTTTTATGCAGAAATGATTTCCAGTGTCTATCAGAGGAAAAAAACAATCCTAGAATGTGATAAACCTCAACAGGAATGAAGGAAATAAGGAGTGAGGGAGGGAAAAAGGGAGGGAGAAAGGAACAGGGGAGGAAGGGGGGAGAAAGGGAGGGAGTAGAGGAGAAAGGGAGGGAGCAGAGGAGGAAGGAAGGGAGGGGAGGAAAGGAGGAGGAAGGAAGGGAGGGGAGGAAAGGGGGAGGAAGGAAGGAGAGGAAGGAACGGGGGGGGAGGAAGGAAGAGAGGGAAGGAAAGGGAAGGAGGAGGAAGGAAGGGAGGGGAGGAAGGAAGGAAGGAGGAAGGAAGGGAGGAGAGGAAGGAAGGGATGGGTGAGGAAGGAAGAGAAGTAGGGAGAGAAAAAAGTAGTTCATTGATTTACTATGTGCTAGAAACTGATATCAGCTTCATGTTGGTTAACTGACATTTAAATTTTACAAAACCCTGAAATGTAGCTTTTTTCTATTCTATTTTGAAGATGAAAAATGACATGTTATGCAGAAAGTCAAACAGCTATTATGTGGCAGAGCTGGGGTTTAACCTGGATCTATGTGACTTCAAACCTGTGTTTATTCCACTTTATTACAATATAGAGTTGTGAAACTAAATCTATGGCCACAAACTAGCATGGTCAGGGAAGCACAACTTCATAAAGGAAGTAAAATTTCACCTGAGTCTTGAAGGGAATTCAATGTAATTAGACTACAACAAGCAAGAAATCCATCAAAACTAGTGCTTCAAGAGAACTGTATAGTCTTAAGTAATTTTCATGGAAATGAAGAAAGCTTCAAAATTAATGACATAAGTGTCCATCTTCAGAAGTTATATAAACGAACAACAGAATAAGCTCAAAGGAAGTAGAAAGTGATAAAGTAGGAGTAGAAATGAAATAGACATCCACACACACAAAAAAATCAGAGCTAGTCAACCAAGTCAAAAGTTAATCTTTGAAACTAAAAGCAAGACAAATAATCTTTAGTAAAACTTAGCAAGAAAGTAAGAGAGAGAATTCAAATAAACAATATTGCCTATTGCAAGCATGTATAACCACGGATATGGTAAGGATGCTATTAACTACTATGTGCCAACATTTTGAAACTTACATAAAATGGACAAATTCATAGAAGAACCTAACTTACCAGAATTGACTCAATAGAAAATAAAAAATTTAAAAATTCTATATTTATTGAAAGGATTAGATGATGGTTAAAAATTACCCATAATAAAAGTACTAGGCTTAGATAATTTTGTATGTCAATTCCATGAAACTTTCAAGTAACAGCTCATCCCAATAAACACAAACTTGTTCTAACAGTAAAAGGATAATAAAGTGAAGTATTTCTCATATTATGCTATGAAAACAGCATAATTCTTATTCCAAACTCAGACTAATGCATTGAGAAAGGAATATTACTAGCCTGCCTCACCTTTGAATACAAATGCAGAAAATCCTAACCAAGATATTTGCAAATTGAATTCAACAGTATATGTAAAAGATTATAGAACATAACCAAGTGGGGTTTAATCACACCAAAGCAGGTGGTTTTAATAACAGAAAATCAAATATAATTCATCACATTTGCAGCTTAAAAAAGTATGTGATAGATGCTATAAAAGTGTTTGCTGAAATTCAATACTGATATATAATAAAGACTCTTAATAACTTAGAAATAGGAGGGAATTTCTTTAAGCAGATAAAGATATGTTTTTTAAATGCCCTAGAGCAAACATCACCCTAAATTTCGAAACACTAGAATTATTTTCTTTCAAATCAGGAGTAATTTTATTATACCTCTATGAAATATTGAATAGACTATATTAGCCAATATAGTAAGACATGAAAAAGAAATTATAGTCATAAGGATTAAAAAAGAGGAAATAAAATTTTCATTATTTACAAATTATGTGATAATTTACAATTTCCGGGTTGGATTTGCATCCTAATCTTAGTCTTAAAAAATTAGAAAGCTGTTTCCACATGAGCTGTATAATGTTTTACTTTTTTACTACAATTGCTGTAATACTTCAGTCCTTAAGCATAGAAAATAATGCCCATTATTATATTGGGTGAAAAGAAAGCTTTTTAAGAGTAAAACATGTGAAATTATAGTCATAAGTATTAAAAAAGAGAAAATAAAATTTTCATTATTTACAAATTATGTGATAATTTACAAAGAAAACTCAAAATAACTTACAGAAAAGTTATTTAAAATAATGGAAGGGCTGAAAATTGGCTGGTAAATAAATAAATAAATAAATATATATATATATATATATATATATATATATATATATATATGTATGTTTTCATTTTGTTTGTATATATGCTTATGTTTTTTTTTTTTTTAATTGAGACAGAGTTTCACTCTTGTTGCCCAGGCTGGAGTGCAATGGCGTGATCTCGGCTCACTGCAACCTCCACCTCCCAAGTTCAAGCAATTCTCCTGTCTCAGCCTCCTGAGTAGCTGGGATTACAGATGTCTACCACTACGCCTGGCTAATTTTTTGGTATTTTTAGTAGAGACAGGGTTTCACCATGTTGGCCAGGCTGGTCTCAAATGGCGTCAGCCAACATGCCCGGCCACTTATGTATTTTTATATATTCAAAGTTTAGTTCTATTTCTAAACATTAGCAAACAACTAGAAAATATAATTAAAGAGAAGATAGCATTTACAATAGCCTCAGAGAATATCAAGAATTGAGACTTGGCACGGTGGCTCAATGCCTGTAATCCCAGCACTTTGGGAGGCCAAGGTGGGAGGACCACCTGAGGTCAGGAGTTTGAGATGAGCCTGGCCAATGTGGTGAAACCCCATCTCTAATAAAAATACAAAAATTAGCTGGGTGTGGTGGTGTGCGCCTGTAGTCCCAGCTACTCAAGAGGCTGAGGCAGGAGAATTGCTTGAACCTGGGAGGGGGAGACTGCAGTGAGCCAAGATCATGCCACTACACTCCAGCCTGGGAAACAGAGTAAAAAAAAAAAAAAAAAAAAAAAATCAAGGACTGATATACTGATACAGTTTGAATATTTGTCCCCTCCAAATCTCATGTTGAAATCTGATCTCCAGTCCTGGTGTGGTGGCTCATGGCTGCAATCCTAGCACTTTGGAAGGCTGAGGTGGGTGGATTGCTTAAGCCCAGGAGTTTGAGACCAGCCTGGTCAACATAGCAAGACCTTGTCTCTATTAAAAAAATAAAAGTAAAGAAATAAAGAAATATGACCTCCAATATTGGACGTGGGGCCTAGTAGCAGGTATTTGGGTCATGGGGGCAGATCCCTCATGAATGACTTGGTGCCTGTCCTGCATAAGTGAGTTCTTGCTCTATTAGTTCACATAAGATCTGGCTGTTTAAAAGAACATGGCACTGCTGCCTCTCTTGCTCCCTGTCTTGCCATATGACATGCCTGTTCCCACTTCACCTATCTACTATTGTTGAAAGCTTCCTGAGACCCTTACTAGAAGCAGATGCCGGTACCACTCTTCTTATACAGCTTGCAAACAATGAACCAAATAAACCTCTTTTCTTTATAAATTACCCAATCTCAGGTATTCCTTCATAACAATGCAAAACATACTAATACAAGGACTAATGAAGAAAAATATGTGCAAGATGAGAGATATTGCAGAAAACAGAGAGAGAGAGAACATGTTCTTACACAGGGAGATTTACCATAGAAATGACTACTCCCAAATTGAACTGTGGATTCAATGCATTTCCAATTTAAATGACCACTGTGTTGGGTGAGGAGTGGGTTTTTTAAAAGTAGAATTTGGTAATATTATAACATGTATATTAAAAAGTAGAAAGCCACAAATAGCCAGGACACATCTGAGTAAGAAGTATAAGAAGTATAAGGAATGAGCAAATGCTTTATTTAACTATTAGGACCTACTATGAAAGTCTGGCAATTAAAAGACTATGGTATTAGGGCAGAGACAGACAAATTGATTAATGAAACAGACTTAAAGAACCAGAAATCAACCAATTAACAGAACTTTGGGTTAGGACAAAGGTGTAATGTCTGATCAATGAAGAAAACTAAGTCTTGTTCAATAAGTGGAACTGGGGGGAAAAGGGGTTACCTATGTGGAAAAAAATTCAAATGTAACCCTATCTCACTTCATGGCCAAATACCAACTCCAGATGAATGAAGGATTTAAATGAAAAAAAAAATTTAAATTTCTTAGCAAAAAAACAAGAGGAAGAGCTTTTGAGATGAAAAAATTATTTTTGGAAAAGACATTAAAAAAGCATGACTATAGGCTGGGCGCAGTGGCTCACACCTGTAATCCCAGCACTTTGGGAGGCTGAGGCGGGTGGATCACGACGTCAGGAGATTGAGACACCAACCTGGCTAACACAGTGAAACCCCATCTCTACTAAAAATACAAAAAATTAGCTGGATGTGGTAGTGGGCACCTGTAGTCCCAGCTATTCAGGAGGCCGAGGCAGGAGAATGGCGTGAACCCAGGAGACGGAGCTTGCAGTGAGCTGAGATCACGCCACTGCACTCCAGCCTGGGAAACAGAGCAAGACTGCATCTCAAAAAAAAAAAAGAAAAAGAAAAAAAGGATGACTATAAAGAAAAGAGTGATAAATTTGACTATACTAAAACTAAAAACGCTTGTTCTTCCAAAACCTCATAAAAAATAAGTTGAAAATCGAGAAGATATTTGCAATGCACACAATGGATTAGTACCAAGATGATATAAAGAACTCATATCAATTTAAAAAGCACAAACAATTCAATATAAAAATGGGCAAAAGTCATGAACAGGCATTTCAGAATTGGATGTAACTGATAAACATTTGAAGATATGTTCAACCCTATTAGTGACCTAGGAAGTTCAAATCAAGGCCACCAGGAGATACCATTTTACACCTATTTAACTGGCTAAAAATGACAAACCAGTGCTGGAAAGAATGGGGATCCATAAGATCTTTTTTACATTGCTTGAGGAGTAAACTAGCAAATTCCCTATGGAAAACAGTTTGTCATTATCTCCTGAAGTTAAGCCTTCATATATCTTATAACCAGTAATTCTATTCTTTGATAAATACCCAAGAGAAACTCTTGCACATCTACAACAGGAAATATGTATTAGAACACTCATGAGAGCACTGTTCACAATAACAAAAACCTGATGTAATCCAAAAACCTATCAACGAGAGGGTAGAGAAACAAACCGTGGTATGTTCACACAATGTGTACCATATTACATATCTGAAAAAAACAACTGCAACATATAATGATAGTATGCTAAATTTCAAAGTCCTCCCAAATTACATTTAGCATATTATTTTTATAAAGTTAAAAACAAAAATTATATGTGTAGGAATACATTCACACATATATGCATATATGCACATGAACTGTTATGAATATACATGAAAAGAAAAGCAAGGGCATGAATCAACATTGGAACCATGATGATGGTTAAGTAATCTCAGGAGGGGGAATAGCAGAATGGGATGTGGATACATGACTAGATGTACATTATTTTTAAGGTCCTGACTACTTCTGAGTTGTGGCTTTATGGATGTTTTTATAGGATGAAAACTAATGAATAAATAAATATTGAGACATGTATCAATCAATGATAGGAATGCGTCATGAACTAAAGATCACGACTAGTCCATTTAATCATAATTGTGGAAGAACAAGAAACACTTTATAGGTCTCTGGAGCAGCTCCACGCACAGGACTCTGAGATGATGGAAATGTCTGTTTATGTACCAGCCTATGTGGTAGACACCACCTTACATGGAGCCCTCAAAATGTGGTTAGTACAAAAGAGGAACTAAATTTTCAATTGTATTTAATTTGAAATTATCTCTATTTAAATTTAAGTAGTCACATAGTATGAATAACTTTTGGTGGTGGAAGAAAATAAGCAATGTTCAGGGATCAGTGCCCAAGCCATTTACCTGGCTTAAATAAATAGTCCTCCATGGAAAGTAGCCTAAAGTAAGGTTGACCAAAGTTACTTACCTTGTGGAAAATCTGGTTCACTATTTCCAAAGGGTAGAATATTTACTTTTCTTTCCTCTTTTTATCATTCTACAAAGAGGGGTGTGAGACACCTTTTCATATCACCAAACCAAACTGCCTGCTTAAAATACTCACTCATTCATTCAACATTTCTTTTTTCTTTCTCCCTCTCCCAAGTACACCCATTTCTGTAAACAAGCAGGAGTGCTGAAGACACAAGCTAGTTATTATTAAAGTCTAAGACAGCACGTTTAGATGTATTTACCTCCTTCTTGCTAATGGCATCATTCAATCACAGTTTAGTAGCTTCCAAGTGAGAAGATTAGAAGTATCAGGGGAATTGCTCACTGAAACCAGGAAATGTGGGGTTTTTAGTTCAAACAGTATTTAAAGGAAGCTGGTGAGCAACAGCTGAGAAGATGAAAGATCAGATCAACGCCTCCCTTTGAAGTAAAGACTACTCAGACTGTGAGTATAACAATGTTCATTACTGCCAGAACTCCAAGTGGCTGTTCCTGATGCATGCTTTAGAATGTATCATAAAATCTATAAAAATATCAACAAGATGCTTTCAAGTGACACAAAACAGCCAGAGTGCCCTATTTGCAGGGACAGTGCTGTTTAAAGGCAATCTGCTGGATTGCTTTCCATCTGGGACCAAGGCAAGTGCCTTCCAATCTCTTTCTTCCCTGCTTTCCTTTCCTCCTCCCTTCCCCCCATCCCCAGCCCGGACTAGAAACTAAGATTTTTAATGTTTCATTTCTGCTTCCTTTGAGGGCCAGGAGGAGAAAATGAAGCTTTTCTTGGCTTGCTTCTCAACTCTCCTAAGAGATTCAGAGACAAAAAGATTGCTTTGGGAAAATAATAATGCCAAATGAGCATTAAAATAATAAATGGATTTTCTGGAAATTAGGTTCTCAGAGGTCATGCAATTAAAAGTTAGGAGGAAAACACACCTCAGGCTTGATTGGAGGAGACATCGAGAGCCAGGGCAAATACTTCCACCATCCTTAAAGTTCCATTCAAGGTTTTCAGCGTAGGAGCTGCTTGATTAATCTATTTGCATACTTCCAGGACTCGATAACAAGCCAGAGAGTAGTAAAATTTCATAGGCACTGATTATTAATAACATGGAACGTGATTAGGGCCATGAATATCTAGGTGGTCACAGTGGGGCACAAGACAAACATGAGTCAGCAGCACAACATTATTTGAAAAATAACAAACAAAGGCCTTGAACTGCCTGCAGAGATGCTGGGATGCCTTTCATAATACTGGGTGTTGATCTATTAGACTTTGGCCCTGCACAGTTAAAATCAAGCAACGTATTTCCTATATACTGTCCTAAGAATTTAGGGAAACCCAGGAACCCTTGGCAGTGTGTGTTTAAGGAAACGTGTTCTCTTTGTGATAAGTTTTACTCCTGGGTCTCTCAGGAAGCAGGATACATTGTCACTCTTCACTTCTGTCCAGTGACCTTGCTCACACAGTCTTTGATCCCGAGAATTGGGAAGAACCTTCTAGCACTTCTCCAGAAACCTATTTGCCTCACTGATGCAGGTAGGAGATAGTCAAGGCTAAGCCTCAGATCAGAACCTTGGTCTCCCAACTACTTATTCAGTACTCTTTAAATAAATAATCCACTAAAAAAAAAAAATTGCACTTCATTTTTGCCCTGAGCTAGAAAGCCAGATCCATGCAAGAGGACAGAGTTACATATCTTCCTAGTGCAAAATCTTGGGGATCTGACAAACCAGCTTAGAAAGTGCTGTCTTACATTAGACAAACAAGCCATGTTTGAAATATTATGTTTTGCACTAAAGAGTGTTTGGTGAGGAATAGCAGATAGATACTTTAGAAGCTGATATATTTGGATGAATTAAACTGCAGTTGATGTCTTCCTTTGAGGAAACTGTTTTCACTTGTTCTCCCTCCCTCCAAGAGAGGATAACCAGAGAAAGACTGTTACACTACGGAATGTGACTGTCTAGGTAGACACAAATGTCCCACTGAAATACTCTCCATCCCCTAGCTGTGGGTTCTCTCACAAACCTTTCTGGCAAGAGTAGATTCTGCTCCTGTTATTGAAACACCAGGGATTTGGTCTACATCCTGCTGTTCACCACACAGAAAGCCAATCACTGAGATGAGTATTGCCAGGGAAGAAGGCTTTAATCCGGTGCCACAGCCAAGGATATGGGAGATAGGTCTCAAATCCATCTCCCTGACCAACTAAAATTAGGAGTTTATATAGCAGAGAAGAAATGTAACCATATATGGAAAAACAGGAATTTGGTGGGGGGTGGGGGTGGTGGGGGTGGGCAGGAAAGGAAGAGAAGCTGTTCAATGGGAAGCAGGTGGTCGGTTAGGCAATCATGAAGGGTGAGAAGTCTGGTGTCTTATTGTCCAGATGCAGTGATTTCAGTAAGTTTCAGCTCCTTGATACTATCTGAAAGCCCTGATGGTTGGTTTCCTGAGAAAGGAACTCAGATAAGGCAAATGTAGCTTTCTCAAGTTTTAAGACTGGGAGGGCCAATTTCTACGTTTATTCAAAGAAACCGTAAACATTAGTTCTATGGGACAACTGGGCCAGTTTCACCTCCAATGATTACACAAAGGCCTGCATCAGAGGGTCTCTGAGGTCCTTTCAGATCTAAGGTCTCTGGTTCCATTATTTAACCAGATCTCCTCGCTCTTCTGTTAAACTTTAAAAGGCAGTAGTCATCTGCTTCTACATTTAATCAAATTTGATCCTTATTAATGGAATGGCATGGCAGAGTTCCTTTTAAATGTATAGAGCTTTGCTATTTAATCCCTCAATCACTTTTTTAAAAGAATATGTCTTTGACTCTACCTCTGCTTCCTGATGGTAGGCTTTCTCTAAGTTTATTTTTTTATTCCATTACATGGTAGATGAAAGATGGCCACAAATCCTCCCTACTGAGAGGTGAGGTCCATGTCCTCCTCCTGTGGATCTGGGTGGGCTTGTGACTGATTGGCCAATAAAATATGGCAGCAGTAATCCTGCACCAGTTTCTGGTTGTTGGCCTTAAAATTTGACAGCTTCTACTTCCTATCTTTAGAATCCTCATCCCCATCATGCCATAGGGAAGCAAAAGCAGGCTCATGGAGGGACCCACATACGAAGGAACTTAGGACCCCAGCCAAGCACCCACCCAAATCCAGCACTAACTTGCCAGTCGTGGAAGTGAATCCTCCAGTCCCTTTTCAGCCATGTGGGCTGACATCATGGAACAGGAATGAGTCATTCCTACCAACCCCTGACCAAATTGCAGATTCATGAATAAGTAAATAGTTGCACTGAGGCAGTTTTTTATGCAGCAATATATACTACTAACAGTAATGATGATAATAAAGATAATAAAGCTAACATTCTGTAAGCAGTTATCAAATTATAGATATGGTACAAAGTACTTCACATGAGTTATATCATTTAATTTTTGCAACAAAGCAAGGAGGTAGCCACTTTTTTTCCCCTTTATGAAGGAAGAAATTGAAGCTTCACATCACAAATAACAAGCCCAAATTCACATAGCCAGCAAGTGGCAGAAATAAAGCCACCAACCTAAATCTGCCTTCACTTTTGCTCTGTTCCACTCCCACTGCATCTTGTCACTCTTGGAGATTCATCTCTTGCATGGCAGTATCTATTGCTACTCTGCAAATGAGGTCCACGTGGGTTTTGACAGTCCTGGCTTCTCACAAGCTCCCATCTGATCTCGATAAGAACATGGATAAATGTCTCCTTGGATCTCTCACCCCTGTGCTGCCTCTACACCTTGCTGTTCTAATCACTGTATTGCAATTCATTTGTTTGCCACTACTTCCCTTCTAGGCTTTGGGAGTCTCACAGGAAATGGACTAGGTCTTATTCTTCTCAAAATCTTTAGTACCTCCCACATAGTAGACTCCACATAGTATGTTTAAACTTGTTATGTCCCAGAGCAAATCATAATCTTCATTCTCAACTGACTCCTCCTTTCTTCTTCCCTATCCTACCAGACCTCACCATTCTCACAGTCCTGCCAACTCTCTTGCCTTTGAAGCCTCCTCTCCTCCTCCAGGCACTGAGTCCTATCATTCTTCAGAATGTCCCTCACTTCTCCCCTGTCCATTGCATTCCCTACTGGGCTCCCACTGCACTCTATGTGGATTGGTGCCATTTTTCTAGGACTGGCCTTCCTGCTTTCTTCTTATCTCTTCCCATCCATTGTGAACCTTTCTTCACAAAAGCCAGATGTACCTTTTGCTATGGCCTGAATGTTTGCATCTCCCCAAAATTCATATGTTGAAATCCTTACCACCAAGGTGGTAGTATTATGAGGTGGGGCCTTTGGGAGTTTATAAGGTCATGGGGACAGAGCCCTTGTGAATGGGATTAATGCCCTTATAAAAGAGATTCCTCACTCTTCCTACCATGTGAGGACACAGCTAGACAGCACCATCTATGAACCAGAAAATGGGCCCTCATCAGACACCAAATCAGCTGCTTTGATCTTGGACTTCTCAGCCTCCAGAACTATGAGAAATACATTTCTGTTGTTTGACATACCCGGTTTATAATATTGTGTGATAGCAGCCCTAACAGACCAAAACAGCTTTTTAATTCATTGCTTGTATCTTATTACTACCTTATCAAAACCCTTCAGTGACCTGTAACCCCAAAATTACATCTAGCTGTTTCATTTTGTGAATTAATTGGGATGGTTTCAACAACAAGTAATAGAAAATCCAACTCACGTTGGTTTAAAAAAAGAAATACAGGATTCATATAAGAGCCATCCAGAAGTAGGATCAATGGCTCAGGGCTGTGAAAGATCTAACTTCTTTCCATCTCTCCAGCATTGGCTTCATGCTAAGGCTGGTCTTTCCCATGATTTAAGTTGCCTAACAGTGAAATCAAGGGCTTCATGCTTCCCCAGTAACTTCCAGTGAAAGATGTAGTCCCCGTGTGTAGGTGGGTGGGTGGACGGGTGTGTGTGTTTTCAAAGATAAAAAAAAAAAAACTTTCCCCAAATCATCTAGTAGACCTTTCCTTTCAATTCTTTATTGGGCTAAAGTTGCTGTCACTTACAATAAGGGTTTGGCTCTTGCTTGTTGCGCATGTCTGACGTGAATTGGCTGCAGTTCTGTTTCCTATCTTCTAATTCTAGGGCCCATATTGAAGGAAAACTCTTATCTAGGACATTGCCAGACCCATCCCTGGGCTCATTTTCATTAGCCAAAGTAAGTCCACAGCAAGATTGGCATCAATGGGGTCCACGGGAAGGACTTTAAATATTATGAAGACTCACAGATCTACCTACATTGGGGTCATGGACCCATTCCTGAACTTGCTATCAGCAGTGGGTGGATATTATCCCTACGCCAATCAGGCATACCCCTTAAGCTAAAGTCTGGTCTCCAAGAAGGTTTTCTGTAACCCATTTGGAAAAAGGAAGCTGAAGACTTAATCACTTAACCACTTAACCAAGAGTCCAATATACTTGGCATTCAAGGTCTTTCATGTTTTTTTTCCCAACCCAAAGATCCAGTCTTCTCTCTTTCTGCTCTCTGACTCATCCATGAATACCTTCTTCTAGAGACAAACATTCCTGACCTTTGCTGACATTGGTTCTCACAGCCTGGACTTCCATCCTGGCTACACCCTCTTTCTAGAAAGCTCTCCCCTATTACTCCCATCCACTGACATTACTTTTCCTGACTTCAAACACCACTTATTCACATAGACTCATAAAATGTGATACATTCAAGGACCTTAAAATAACTTAATTCAGGCCGGGCACAGTGGCTCATGCCTGTAATCCCAGCACTTTGGGAGCCGAGGTGGGCAGATCACCTGAGGTCAGGAGTTCGAGACCAGCCTGGCCAATATAGTGAAAGCCCGTCTGTAACAAAAAACACAAAAATTAGCCCAGTGTGATGGTGCATACCTGTAGTCCCAGGTACTAGGGAGGCTGAGGTGGGAGGATCACTTGAGCCCAGGAGGCAGAAGTTGCAGTGAGCCGAGATTTCACCACTGCACTCCAGCCTGGGCAACAGAGTGAGGCCCTGACTCAAAATAAATAAATAGCTTAGTTCAGCATTCCCTAAACAGGAGACACATCAATCCTTTAAGATGGTTTGTGTCTCCCTGCTAAAAAAAAAAAAAAAAAGTGGTAGGAAAAAGTAGATCAGACACTCCCTATAAGTGTTACAGTCTCTTAATTATTAACAATGTCCATTAGCATACTAGAATTTCTGGAAAGTTTTTAGGAAATTATTATGATTAAGAAATAATTATCATAGTTACTAAATACATTTATTTTATAATAAATACACTTAATATATAATATATAATATGTAATATAAAATATATCATAAAATTATGATTAAGAAATTAATAGTTAAAAAATTAAACTTTAAATTGACATTTTGCCAATATATTTGTCACTGATTAATGTCCTGCACAACTAGTAAGTATTCCCTGTTACTTCGGAAAATGCTGATGTAGGCCAAAGCCTTCATTTCATAAATTACATTCCTGAGATACAGATAGGTCTAGTGACTTGTGTCAGGTCACACAGCACCTGTGGTGGAAGATCCAGGTTTGGAGGTAAAACTCAGTTTGAGGACTATCTTTTAAGTAGGTATTTTAAGGTAGATTAACTACAAAACATTAGAAATATTGATGTCCTTGGCTGGGCATGGTGGCTCACGCCTGTAATCCCAGCACTTTGGGAGGCCGAGATGGGTGGATCACAAGGTCAGGAGATCGAGACCATCCTGGCTAACACAGTGAAACCCTGTCTCTACTAAATATACAACAACAAAAAAAAATTAGCCAGGCATGGTGGCGGGCACCTGTAGTCCCAGCTACTCAGGAGGCTGAGGCAAGATAATTACTTGAACCCAGGAGGCGGAGCTTGCAGTGAGCCAAGATAGCGCCACTGCACTCCAGACTGGGCGACAGAGCAAGACTCCATCTCAAAAAAAAAAAAAAAAAGAAATATTGTTGTCATGTTAAATGAGGATCATAATAATATCCACTTCTCAGTGTTGTTATGAGGATTAAATAAGATAATGTGTAAAAGCATTTTATTTGATTTATAATTCAATACAAATACACTGTTATTGCATTTGGAGAGTTAAAACTACAACTCAAATCTCCAGGCTCCCTGTCCAGTACTCCCTGCCCTACACCATCCTGGCTCTCAACCTTTCTCATTCTGTTGGTCATTTAATTATTTTGCTACCTTTTAGTCATTTGGCCATTTCAGGTCTGTGTGCCTGTCGGCATCAAGACTAGGTGGGCATGGTAGCTCTCGCCTGTAATGCCAGCACTTTGGGAGGCCAAAGCAGGTGGATCACTTGAGATCAGGAGTTCAAGACCAGCCTGGCCAACACGGCGAAACTCCGTCTCTACTGAAAATATAAAAGTTAGCCAGGTGTGGTGGCACATGCCTGTGATCCCAGCTACTTGGGAGGCTGAGGCAGAAGAATTGCTTGAACCCGGGAGGCGGAGGTTGCAATGAGCCAAGGTCACGCGACTGCACTCCAGCCTGAGCAACAGAGCAAGACTCCGTCTCAATTTAAAAAAAAAAAGAAGAATATAAGTTCTTTCAAGACAGTAATACATCTTCTACATCCACTGTTTCTTCACAGCACCAAGCACAATATTGAATATAAAGTAAGTATTTGAAAAACACTCAATAAATTAAATTTTCCTCTAAAGCCAACTGGAAAATAGTATTCAGTATACAGTAAAAAATTTTTCAGAAATGTACTAATTTCTTAGTCTCTACCTGAATACTAAGAAAGAATTGAAGACAATTCAGTGCCCTAAAAGAAGTATACTATTTACTGAAAAGTTACAAGATCTCTAAATTTGGAAAGGACAGCTTTATTTCTGAATTTCTGAGAAGAGCTGCAATCTGCATGCTGGGAAGCAGAGCCACTGGCTGAGATAGAAAAGGGAAGGGTGGGACAGGAGTTTTATGCTAAACAGGCTGGCTAAACATACATAAAGGGGGTTACCTACATGCGTGATAAGCAAATTTACATGTTACATAAATCCCATGTTCACACGGAGTGAAGACTTAACATTAAAATGCAGCAAAATTAGGCTCTATAGGCTCTGTACATTAGAAGGTGACACTCAGGACACAAAGGCACTACGTGTGCAGCTTCTGTAAACCAGTCAGAACCAGTTCATGGTCAATGGCCATTTGTAAGGGAAGAATGCTTTGTGAAACTGGTTATTTGCCATGTCAAAACCACAAAAAGGGATGGGAGTTGGGCTACAGTATCAGGTGGTGTGCTGAAGTCTGTGGAGGAGTGAGTCTTGTTTCTTTTCCAGGGCTGGTTTCTATTTAACTCTCAGGAAGAAAAAAAAAAAAAAAAAGAAAAGTATAGCAAAGAAGGGGGGTGTACTGAGGTGTGACCAACTTGCCATCCTGTCACTGCCTGGAAATATAGTTTTTAAAGTTTTTCTGGAGTCCCCTTGGCCAAGAGGGGTCTGTTCCATCAGTCCAGGGGGCACTTAGGATTTTATTTTAATTTCAAAATATTCATGCACCAGGGAGTTTCAAAGAAAATGAGATAGATAATTTAAAAGTTTAACCTGTGAAAGGAACGTTTAGGAATATGAGAGTTTTTTAAATTCTCATTATGAAAAATTCTAATTGTGTTTCATAATGACAAGTCCTTGCAAAGTTAAGTTTCTATGCACAGCTTCAAAACACTTTAAACAAATATACATGGACACATATATGTTCCATTTAAACAAATATACATGGGCACATATATGTTCCATTTAAACAAATATACATGGGCACATACATGTTCCATTACTAGTGCTAACAATTACAAATTCTGGGGAGACTAAAAAATTGGCCTTTATGATTTTTTAAATGGGTGGAACATTTAGATTATCTGTAGTCCTAGAACATCTTGTGTTTAAATCATCAGTTTCCAAAATAAGTGGAAAATGTTTCAAAATCTATAGAGAAGAGCCCTCACAATCCCAAGATTTTTTCCTTAATAGTCTATTATTAATACTTGTAAGAGCAAATAATTTATTGCCATTACTATTACAGAATTAAAATTCTACCTGCTTGTATCCCTCAACAGACACTAATTGATAAATTGCTTTGTTTCAGTTTTTGTTTGTTTTTGAGACAGGGTCTTACTCTGTCACCCAGGCTGGAGTGCTGTGGCACAATCTCTGCTCACTACAACTTCTACCTCCCAGGCTCAAGCAATCCTCCCATGTAGCTGGGACCACAGGTGTGCACCACCATGCCAAGCTAATTTTTGTATTTTTTTGTAGAGTGAGGTTTCACCATATTGCCCAGGTTGGTCTTGAACTCCTAAGCTCAGGCAATCCACCTGCCTCAGCTTCCCAAAGTGCTGGGATTACAGGCATGAGCCACCATGCCCAGCTCTGAAATTCTTTTTTGAAGCTAACTTTAAAAATTACCTTTATTCTACTTCTTTGTTTGATATCTCCCTTTATGCAATTCATTAATATATCCAGGTAAATGGATTCATGGAACATTAATGAATGGCATGTTTCCCACAGCCTTTAAAAATTCTGAAAATATTTTAAATATAAGACATGAATTTTTGCCAAAGTTATATTTAAAAGTTTAATTAGTTGAAATACAATTTAATCACATGTATCAGTCAGGATAAGCTAAGTTATGCTACAGTAACAAACCTCTCCTAAATCTCATAAAGCAGCCATTCATTTCTTGCTCTCACTGTGTGTCCAACATGGGTGGTAGGTGGCTCTGTTCATCTTAATCACTCAGGACTCAATCTGATGGAGGCTCCATTTCAACATGTGCTTCCACACTCACCATATGAGTGAATGGGCAAGCTCTAGTGACTTATACTGGCAATTAAATGCTTCCGCCCTTGGCAAAAATGCACATCAGTTCTACTTCCATTTCATTGACTAAAAACAATCTAATCATGTCCAAGTAAATCCTATCAAATTTTTGTTGTTGTTGTTGTTTGATTCTTTCTGGCTTAAACTCTACTCTTGCATAGTCCAATACATCAGTCACTAGCCACATGTGGCTAATGAACTCTTGAAATGTGCTAGTCCCAATTGCTGTAAGTAGAAAACACACACTGTATTTCTAAGACTTACTACAAACAGGAATGCAAAATATTTCATTAATCATTTTTTCTTATTGATTACACATTGAAATAATATTTTAGACATACTGGGACAAATAAAATATATTATTAAAATTAATTTCACATGTTTCATTTTACTTTCATGTCACTCTCAGGAAATGTAAAATGTACCTCACATTGTCTTTCTATTGGAGAGTTTTCTGGCTTATTCAGGATTTTGACGGTCAATTCAAGGGTCTGCTCTTCCCCTTCTCTCATGGACTAACTCCAAGTAGACTAAGTCTACAAGGCATTCAGAGTGAGGGGCTTATCGGGCACAGGCTGTCCTCTGTTCTCCTCTGTTATCTGTGGAGATGTACTTCATCCCACCTAGTCTTTCATGGGCAGCCTCTAGACTCAATGCATCCTCAGCTGAGGTCAGTACTTCTAGCAAGATTTTCAACTTAAGAGTCCATGCCTGAGCACTGACAAGATCATCTCAATGAGACAGAGGGGCTCTGTGAGTCTTCTGTCCACTTCAGGTCCATTTGCCTTTCTCAACAATTGATGGCCCATTGTTCTCTTACTGTAGTGGACACAGCACTTCTTTACAACATTGACAATCTCCTGGAGCCACTCCCTCAAACCTATGTGCATTTTATTTATTGCAATAAAATATATATATAATTTACTATTTTAGCCATTTTTAAGTGAACAGTTCTGTGGCATTAGATACATTTACACTGTTGTACAACCACCACCACCACACACCCCCAGAACTCTTTCATCATGCCAAACTGAAACTCTGTACTCATTAACTATGTGCATTTGTTGCCTTTTGGAGACAGGGTCTCACTGTGTCGCCCAGGCTGGAGTGCAGTGATACAATCTTGGCTCACTGCAACCTCTGCCTCCAGGGCTCAAGCAATCCTTCCATCTCAGTCTCCTGAGCAGCTGGGACTACAGATGCACACCACCGCACCTGCCTAACTTTTGTATGTTTTGTAGAGATGGGGTTTCACCATGTTGCCTAGGCTGGCTTGAACTCCTGAGCTCAAGCGATCTGCCTGCCTCAGCCTCCAAAAGTGCTGGGATTACAGGCATGAGCCACCATACCCAACCAACAATGGGCATTTTATTTTTTTATTTTTTTATTTTTTGAGACAGAGTCTCACTCTGTCGCCCAGGCTGGAGTGCAGTGGCATGATCTTGGCTCACTGCAACCTCCTCCTCCTGGGTTCAAGTGATTCTCCTGCCTCAACCTCCCAAGTAACTAGGACTACAGGCATGTGCCACCATGCCTGGCTACTTTTTTTTATTTTTAGTAAAGACAGGGTTTCACCATGTTGGCCAGGCTGGTCTCGAACTCCTGACCCCAGGTGATCTGCCCGCCTCAGCCTCCCAAAGTGCTGGGATTACAGGGTGAGCTGCCATACCCAGCCATAATGTACATTTTAAAAATCATCTCTTCCTCGCCCCAGTGGAACTCAATTCAGGGCTAGGCCATTGGCTTTTTCTTTCAGAAGGCACACCAGGGATTCAATCTACTCTCAGTTCTTCTCTAAAAACTTCTCTTCCTCAAGATCTGTGAAGGAAAACTGGCTAAGCCAATACTTTTGGCCTGTAGTTTGTAAATAGTGTGTCCATATAATTTTTATTCAAACTTTTAAGAGTAAAGAGGGATGCTTGTAATAACTATATTAGTAGGGACAGCAAACAAACTTGGGCTATCCTAGGCAAATTGAGATATATGAGAATGCTATTTATTAATAAGCAGTCCTCAAAGTGCAGACTGGGGACTCCCAGGGGTTCCTGAGGCTCCCTTGGGAGGTCCATGCTATGGTTCAAATGTTTGTCCTACCCAAAACTGATGTTGAAATTTAATTGCCATTGTAACAGTATTTAAGACATGGGACCTTGGAGAGGTGATTAGTCCATGAGGACTCTACCCTCATAAGAACGATTAATACCTTTATAAAGAAGCAAGTTCAGTTCAGTCCCCTTTGCCTCTTTGCTTGTTGGCCTTCCACCATGGGACAATACATCAAGAAGGCCCTCAGCAGATACCTGCACCTTGACCTTGGACTTAACAGCCTCAAGAACGGTAAGAAAATAAATTTCTGTTTATTATAAATTACCCAGTCTCAGGTATTCTGCTATAGTAGCACAACATGTACTGTAATAGTCCACAATGTCAAAACTACTTTTATAATACAAAGATAATATTTGCCTTTTTCACTCTCATTTTCTCAGAAGTATGCAATAGATGTTTCCAGAGACCACATGACATATGAGGTCATTACTCTGGTACCTAAAAGAATGTATGTTTTGTTTTCTTGAGTTTTTTAGAATGTTTCAAGGTCGTAGGTTTACTGTATGAACAAATATGTTTTCAGACATTAACTCTTTTTCTCAGGGCTTCAAATGAACTTTTACCAGCTACCTTTGGCTATATCTGTTATAATCTCTCATTATTGTCCAATAAATCATTATTTTGAAATTCCAAAATCATTATTTTGAAATGCTCATGTGAAAATTTAAGAAAATATATTTTGTTGTCCTTTGCAATTTTATTTTTTAAGTTCATCACTTTTAATTTCTAATAAAGTAAGTACCTATATATAACCTACCCCACCACCTCCTCCACCCCAAAAAATCGTGGGGTCCTCAATAGTTTTTAAAAGCATAAACGAGTCTTGAAACCAAAAAGTTTTAAAACTGCTGTTAGATATATTTTATGCGTAGTTCTCGGTATACAAAAAGACTTTAATTCTCTCAAAAAAACATACCTCTTACAGTGAAACAAACCTTAGCTTTCAAGACCATCTGCTCTTCTAGGGGCTTTAAGAGTTTATCTTGCATGGCAAAGACCAAGAGTTTGATTCTGTTTTCAGCAGTTCACTTTCCCTAGTGATGCCTTTTTAATAGTAAAGGGGCTGAGGGAATAAATTGACTTGGAGAGAATTAAAAATCATTGTTTAATAGTTCAAAATATTATCCTTACACATCTATAAATCACATTGTGATAGAAAGATGGTATTTGACCAGGACCCGCAGTTCAGAACACCCAAAGTCTGCATTGTCACTCTCAGCATTTTGAAATGGTCAAAAGATATGTGAATTCAGAATACAGCCTGAGAAATGAACGCTTCTAACTGGAAACTTGCCTTCAAACCTCCATAAAGAACCCTAGCCCTGGTAAAGTGAGTTAAGTCACATGCTGCCTGACTGCTATAAGGATTCCTTAACTACAAGACAGCAACTGCTTAACCCTATTCTCTTTAGAGGCAAATAAATATGAGGATCCTCACTTTGTGATCCACATATCTCAGTGGTAGAGAAGCTGAAAGTTTTCTGAGATGGTTACATTTCTGGTATATACACTTCATTATTTCTAGGTTAAAAAAAATAATTCCAAGATAAAGTTAATTTTAAGAAAAAGAAAGGAGGTGGGGAGTAAGGGGGAGCATCATTTGCTCAAGTAAAGTTTACGTTGCCCCAACTAATGTTCCTTTCCACAGTAATCTTGCCCAACATTAATACTGGGGTAACCCAACCTTGCCATTGTAGTGGTGGTGGAGGTGCTTTACCTCTCCAGGTCAAGAGGCTAGCAAAGTTCTCCATTCACTCCTAGACAGTAGCCAACTCAGCCTACTCAGTCCCCGAGACAGTAAGTACCAAGCCTGCCAGGATCTCAGCACCTCCTAATAGCCGATAGGATCTGGAATCAGCTAGCAAGCCTATTAGTAACATGTCCCAGGAGGGCTGTAAGGACCCTATTGGATCTTGCTTTAACCAATCAACCAATCCAAATGGGCTTCAGTGAGACCAACTGACTCCCAACCTCCTGACAGTGAATCATGCCAGTGCCAGGAGATAGTCTGAAAGATCCTTTTAAATAACAAAAGTGAGACCAGTCAGTCCTCACAATTCCACTGCTATTGGAACATTATCATTTGAAAGACTGGGATATCCTTAGAATGAGCTAAAATTAAGTCAGCTTCCTTAGTCCAAGCCACATTTGATCTTGGTTAATTCCCTTCCCCTCCCAGACCACCATTTTGGACCCCAAATTCCTCACTGCATAAGTGCATGTGATCTAGTCTTTTGCTTCCTCATATTCACTCAGCCTCCAGTATTCCCCAGTCCTTGATCCTGCAGAGAGACCTCACTGCAGTTACTGTTGCCTCTTCTCTTGGCACCGCTGGCTGCCTCAGCCCCTCAGCATCAGCATTGGCTATAGTATGACCTCCATCACACCTGCCACACATGACAACAACCATAAAAACTCCAGTCCCCAGGTTCAACCTGTCTAGACACACAGAGACTCTGTCTCCCCATCCCATCTACTTCCAGATTCAGAAGTAGCACTGCACCACTGGACATCAGTCTGCCTCCCCAGAAGTCAGTTCAGGGGTCAGTCAACAAAACACTGAGACAGGGATGAACCTTCAACAAGAGTCAGGATGAGGAGAGGATCCAGTGAATGAGTTTCCCTCCCCTTTTCCCAATAACAAAAAATGTTCTGAGACACAGTACTTGGGATAGCCTGTACTATCCCAAAGGGGGCCATATAACTAAGTAGCTTGCTTCCTTTCCTCTTTTCCTGCCTTACCTCCCTATTTTCCTCACTCTTACAGCCCTGGGATTGCACACCTCTTTGCCCACTTCCCAAGTAAGGCATTACTGCATAAGCTTTGCTTCGAGTTCTGTTTTCTGGGAAGTCTAGGCTAAGATATTAGAATCATGATATAATTTAGATGTGGATAGATTTCAATCAATTGTTCTTCTCAAGGGCTAGATAGAAGATGTTGATGGGAAGGTGTTTGAAGCCACACTTGGTGCACCTAGAGCAAGAAGAGGTCAAAGAACAATGAGAAGTCTTGGAATAGCGTTCATCTGTCTGGCAGCTGTTGGTCTGGCCTCTTGTAAATGCAAATATGCTGGGACTCCTCTTATTTCCACTGTTCAGTCCCACATTTTTTCTGGTCTTTGACTGCTCTCCGACTGCTCTCCTGCCTCTTGACTCATGCGGTTTGTCTCACCTTTACTGGCTCCTGCCATCTCCAGATTTGCCTTGCACCTGTGCCCTATGTTGCTCAGATTGACTTTCTTGGGCTTCTGGCTTCTCTTCCTCACCTGTGGCCCCATGTTCTGGCATGGGACAGCCTTGACCCACTCTAGATGCTCAGCCAGCCAGTTCCATACATCTCAGCATGTGGCCATAATATCCTGTGCCCTTGAGTAGAAAACAAATCTCTAGCCTGTGTCATAATGTGGAGAAAATTTCAATGAGATGATATTATAGGGAATGCAACTACTCCCCTGTGCACATATTAGTTTCATACTGCAATAGGAGGGCCAGGTTAGAAAAATTAAACCCTTAAATTAATGCCAATTGGATACTAGGTTCTCGGTTAAAATTCTGTCAATACACATGAACTATTTGGAAGGGAGAAGAGACTCAATCTTGTGAATCAATAGAATTTTTGTAACATTTGTGCCTACATAGTTTTTCACCAAAAATTTATCAAACAGGCACATTTTAGATGAAATGCAATAATTGCAGTAGGTTTCAGGTTAATCGACTAAAGATAGCAGTATATTTGGGGAACAAATTGCTAGGTGGAAATTGATCTGACTTAGAATATCAAAGCTGGGGGAAAGATTTTTTTTTTTTTTTTTAAGACAGAGTCTCACTCTGTCACCCAGGCTGGAGTGCAGTGGCACAATCTCGGCTCACTACAACCTCCACCTCCCGGGTTCAAGAGATTTTCCTGCCTCAGCCTCCTCAGTAGCTGGGATTACAGGCGTGTGCCACCACACCCAGCTAATTTTTGTATTTTTAATAGAGACAGGTTTTAGCTATGTTGGTCAGGTTGGTCTCAAACTGCTGACCTCATGATCTGCCTGCCTCGGTCTCCCAAAGTGCTGGGATTACAGGCGTGAGCCACTGCATCTGGCCAAAAGATTTTTTTTTTTAAGGGTACAGGAAGTGAAGGTGAAAAGACTGAAGTATAGTGACTGCTGAGTGACCAAACCTGGCCTTGACCCAGGCCTCATGCCTCCCAGGGTAGAGGGTGGGGTTGGTGAAGCCAAAGCCAGGTTAATTTTTTGGGTCAAAGGACATTTGTGTTGTCCCTGGGCTTCTGGGCCATCTCAGCCTATGATGTTCTGTCAGCCACCAAACATGGGACATGAAAATGGATTTGTTCAAGTGATTCCAAGCCTTGGCACCTTTTTAAATGAGCAAGTGACACAGTACCAGGCAAGACGCAACCTCTGCAAATGAATTAATTAGACTTTCAAAAAGAGCAAGCAGGCTTGCAGTGGTGTTTTATTACACAGTTTTCTAAGTGGTAATTGAAAAAGAAGCACTTGCTTTTAAATTCCCTCCTTGAGGTGTTAATTGTAGCAGGGAGGGACTGGGGAGACAGAGAACCCTCTGTAAAGTGAATCGCTTCCTCACTCAGGACCTGATGGGTACAGAGCCTTTTATGCTTGTTTTGGGAAACTGAAGGAGAAGAGCACGTCACAAGGCTGGCCGTGGGAGCTCCAGCCATTGCTGTAATAGAGAAATTTTAAACATGCTCCTACAGTGCTCTGCTTCCAAACTACTATAGACCAGAAGGTTAATATGAATCAAATTTTTAAAAAGCACTGGACTTGATCCTACCATTGCCTTCTACGTAGCCTGCCACCTGTCTTCCAGTTCTCTCCCTTCTCCCTTTTCTTCCATCAAGAAAACCTAGTCTCTGGGCTACTATTCAATCTAATGTTTCAAGTTCCTTAAGATTTGCTGAGTAGCTACAACATATGAGCCATTCAAGAGCTACAGCAGTGAATAGGATAGTCTGTCCTCCTAGAAGATGTAATAAGGGGAAGACAGGCATATGTTATACCACAGCCCCCGTGGTATAAGAAATGAGAAAATGCAGTGGAAGTGATAAACCACAGAAGATGAAAGAGTTATACATGGCACTTTTGACCCACCTAGGGTTAGGGTCAGAGTTGAAAGTTATGAAGAAATCATCCAATCAAATCCCTTCACTAATGCTGGCCAGACACAGTGGCTCACGCCTGTAATCCCAGCACTTTGGGAGGCTGAGGCAGATGGATCACCTTAGGTCAGGAGTTTGAGACCAGCCTGGCCAACATGGCAAAATCCTGTCCTACTAAAAATACAAAAAATAACCAGGCATGGTGGCTGGCGCCTGTAATCCCAGCTACTTGGAAGGCTGAGGCAGGAGAATCACTTGAACTTGGGAGGCAGAGGTTGCAGTGAGCTGAGATTTCATGCCATTGCACTCCAGCTTGGGCAAGACTCTGTCTCAAAAAAAAAAAAAAAAAAAAAAAAAAAGGCAGGGCGCACTGGCTCACGCCTGTAATCCCAGAACTTTGGGAGGCCGAGGCGGGTGGATCACCTGAGGTCAGGAGTTTGAGACCAGCCTGGCCAGCATGGTGAAACTCATCTCTACTAAAAGTACAAACATTAGCCGGGCATGGTGGCAGGCGCCTGTAATCCCAGCTACTCAGGAGGCTGAGACAGGAGAATGCTTGAACCCGAGAGGCGGAGGTTGCAGTGAGCCGAGATCACGCCATTGCACTCCAGCCTGGGGGACAAGAACGAGACTTTGTCTCAAAAAAAAAAAAAAAATCCCAAATCCCTTCACTATTGCTGTGGTGTCCCTGGACACCTGGGATTGCAATTATGTAAGATCAGTAAGAGCGTAGGTCCTGGTGCCAGGTGACATTTTGAGTCATGGCTCTACCACGTGACCCTGAGCAAATTACTTACCCCTTTTCTGTGTCCCAGGGTCCTCATCTGTAAAATGGGATGATAATAACACCCACCTCTTAGGTTTTTCATGAGAACGGGATACATTTATACATGTAAAGCACTTATAATGCAGCCTGGCACATGGGAAATGCTATCTCTATTCAAACTGGCTGAAGGACTGGTGGTAGAGCCTCACAGAGGAGAGGGATGATGGAGAGGGACTCACGGGAGCCTCTGAGGGGTGGCAGAGGACTTTAGGAGACCCAGCATAGGACCAAGCCATGCAGGTGTCCAGCACAACAGGCACACACACATTACCCTGACAATAAGCCCACTCACCACCCAACCTCACTTTTGTACAAGGGAAAAAGAAGAGAAGAAAAAGGAGCTGGGATCAAATGAGAATTTCTATCAAAGGCATAGAGGAAAAAAAATCTGGTAATGACCATTTATCTGAAAGTAACTAAGTTTTTTTGCTATGGACACAAGAGAGCTTAAGAGCTAAGTCCAGCTCAGTTGCAGAGAAAAAATTCTATTTTGCACAACTGAGTTGGTGGCTGAAATTCATACCCAAGAATCAGATCAATGAAATTGCCCCATGCCTTGCTCACTACATTCCTGCTTTCTGTTTCCGCAGCTGCTTCCTCTGGTCATTGATGTGTCAGCTCCCGCTGTGCATCAGCCCTGCTGCTCCCCGGAAGCCCCGCCTTGCAAATCACAAAATGTACCCAGCACTCCCTCACCCAGCCTGGATTGGCAATGGCCCCACAGGACACATGGGAATGATGATCTTTAAGTCTCAGATGCCTCATGAATAAAGTGGATGTGATGGTGCCAAATCTGACTGAAAAGTGGGGAATCAGCTGACCTTTCCCAGGGATTAAAGCATCACCTGCTGTGCAGGGGTTTTGTGATACATGAAGGCGGTAGTGCATGTACGGTACCAGGAGTAACATTATGTTATTTTAAATAACAAGATAAGTGCTCAGGAGACAAAGTATGTTGTAATTATTATTTTGTTCCTTTGGTTCTAAGATCTCTGATGTTGCAAAATACATATACGCGTGGGTTTCTATGAGGGCACTTCCATGGAAATGAATGTAGAGTTGTACATAGGAAAGCTGGGAGAGATGGGGGCAGCTAGAAAGTATTCTAGCTAAACATAAGAACAGCCTGGAAGACCAGACATGGTGGCTCATGCCTGTAATCCCAGTGTTTCAGGGGTCTGAGGAAGGAGGATTGCTTAAGCCCAGGAGTTTGAGGCTGCAGTGAGCCATAATCATGCCACTGCACTCCAGCCTGAGCAACAAAGCAAGAACCTAAAAGTAAAAATAACAAATAAAAAAACTGCCTGCATGAAGTTTCAAAAACTCCCATTGTCCAGGGCACTCCACGACAATTACATCAGAATTTCTAGGGATAGACTCCAAACATGAGTAATTTTTTAAACCCCCAGGTAATTCCAATGTGCTGACAAGGTTAGGACCCAGCTCTGCAGTTTAGACCTTTGCTTCTCAAAATGTGATTGTGGACAAGCAGCATCGGCAGCCCATGGAGGGTGTTTGTTAGAAATGTGAAGTCTAATTTACATTCTCACCAACTACCTATTGGGTACTATGCTTACTACCTGGGTGACGGATCCATAGCCCAAACCTCAGCATCACACAATATACCCATGTAGCAAACCTGCACATGTACCCCGTGTATCTAAAAGTTGAAATTATTTTAAAAATAAATAAATAAGAAATGCAAAAATCTCGGGTGTCAACCCAGATCTACTAAATCAGATCTGCATGGGAACAAGTTCTCATCCTCCTAGGTTTTCGTGAGAACTAAATGAGCCTATGCATGTCAAGGACTGTTGCAGACATGACCCTGCTGGGACATGGGAGCTGTACTCTCTGTGGCTGGCTAAGCTTTGGTGATCCCTGGGCCTCGGTTTCCTCTCTGATAAAACAGGATGCTGAGCTAGACGATCACAGCCCTGGCATCTGATCAGTCTGTGGCCTTCTGCCCAAAGCAGCCCCTGATAAGCCATGGTCCCTCCCCCACCCCCGGCCCTGGCCGGGATCCCCAGGGTGTCCTACTGAGGAGTCCAACCCAGGAGCAACTGAATCTGGCAAGAGCTAAAAATTAATTCCCTTCAAATCAATAATTTGCAATTAAGCACAGAAGACACTAAAGCCAAGGGGGGCCGGCTTCTGGAGAGAGGACAGC
Source organism: Homo sapiens (assembly GCF_000001405.40). NCBI lineage: Eukaryota > Metazoa > Chordata > Mammalia > Primates > Hominidae > Homo > Homo sapiens. The sequence continues at coordinate 25,688,941 of NC_000008.11, read as the reverse complement.
TGAGCACTTCAAGCCTTTGGAAATGAGAAGGGGGGGATGCCCAACCAGTTCCAAGCAAACAAATGAACATTCGGTTCCATTGTTTGTGAGGAAGCAAGCAGAGGGACTTAAGTGGTACTTGGAGAGTGGGGAAAAAAAAAAATCAAGAGATTATATCAGCAGGACTCAAAGCCAGGAGCTAATTTACTCTCAGCAGCCCTCTTTGCTCACACACTTCCCGTGGCTCGGTGCCCCCACCCCGCCATGCTGGGGCCCTCTGAAGCCTTTACAACAGGGCTTCACAGTTCACTGGCTTCAGGCAGCACCCAGCTCATGAAAGAATTGGAAGCCTGCCTGGGTCCCCGCCCCATCCTCAGCAGCAAGTGTCAGACCAGACTGGGTGAGCGCCAGGCGGGCAGTGCCAATGGGGAGCGCAGATATGACAGAAGCAGAAGCTCAATGGAGCCAGGATGGAGAGATGGTTGCTGCTCCACAGTGATCGCTGCAATCTGGAGCCCAGAGCCATCCCATAGATCTCCAGAGATGCAGAAATTCTTGAAACAAAATGGAAATGTGTTTAATTTTAGAAGTAAATGGATGCCATGCAGCCCTGGGAGGTGGAAGAGGCAAAAATACAGTATAAAGAACCACAGTTCTGAAAAGACAGGAAATTCAATTTATAGAGATTGTAAAACCGAACGCTGCTTTTTTTTGAGTTTCCACAAACCACAGTAAAACAAGGAAGGCAATGCCATTTTTTCCTCCCATAACAATTAAAAAATGACTTGCCTATGAGTCCTTAATAAGTCAAAGCTAAACTCCTTGCCAGAAAGGACAGGGAAGGGAATGATACCTATTGAAGACCTACTGTGTGCTGGGGTCTCGGGGCTTTAAAACAGCATCTCATCTGGTCCTCACAGTCCCATCTGGAGGTAGATTTTAGTATTGCCTTCATTTTACCTGGGAAGAAATTGCCCAGCATTGATGGCTCAAATCTGAAATAGGAATTGAGCTCCACTCTATGGAAAACACTCATCTGAAACATGAAGAAAGACACAAAGTACTACAAGACACCACTCCTACTTGTGCTGTAGTTGGGAAAGCAAAATTCCCAAAGCAAAAAAGGTAACATCATCTGGCAAGCGCCACATGGGTAGAGCTGAAAAGAATAGTGGCATAAGTGTGAATAGGGAGAGATCAGCCAGGACTTGAGTGGACAGAAAGACACAGTGCACATTAGGGTTGAGGGGACCTTGAAAGAAAACATGGTTTGAAGGGTGAAGGGGAGGAGAAATATGCCAAGTGAAGGTAGCAGCCAGAACAAAGCCACAGGAATGAGGGTAAACTGGATCTGTTAGATGGTATGAAGACCATTCATGATGCATTTTTCTTTGAGGATGTTGTGATAACCTGGAATAAAAAGAATTGGCCCTATAAAGTTGTTGTCCAAATCTTTTTAATTGTGAAAGGAATTCTAAACCTAAGATTTAATAAGGAAACAGAACTATTCAGTCATCTGACAATTATTTGCTTGTCTTAGGCCAAGACTCTAGGGCACAGCTGCTGGCTTGGCACATTGTTAAGAGCTCAACCTCCTGCAGAAAACATGGGACCAGGTTCCAGTCTCTTAATAGGTGATATAGAACTACAGACTGAGACTCCCACCCACCTATACCTATATCAGATCATGGTGCGCTGTGCTGTTCTCCTAAATGCAGAGCTAGGCTCGGGGGAAGGTTTCAAGCATCTCATTCTAGTCCACTGTAGTTATTTCTGTGAGCACCCCTGGAGAAGAGCCAGAGGTACCACAAGTCAACTTTACATACTGGCCAAACCCAAGTCATTATCCCAAGAGAAAAGAAGCAAGAGGAACGAGGAAGAAGCTGAAACACTCTATGGGAGAAGTTTTGCATCTCTATTCTCTGTGTGGGGTAGAGAGGAGGCTGGTTGAGACTTCTCTTTTCTCTTCTTCCTCCTCCCTCTGGAGCAAGACATTCCATCTCCAAGGAGGAAAAATTCTGGTCTGGATTGTTTAAATTCCAGAAAATTGCATTGGATGGAGCACTGTTCTACTGGGTGTAGCACCTAATAGAACAAAACATTCCAGGGCACATGAATGCTGTATCTTAATACCAATGTAGCAGTCACATGAGCGATATCCCAGGTTCAAGGTCCGTTCATCTTTTCTCTTCTCCTCCTTCTTCCTTCCATGTCAGAGTAGTAAAGATCCCTGAACTGCTCTGAATGGTTCTATTTTCCCTATTTATATTCTATTTTCACTCCCCTTTGGATGCACACTCTCTCTTTCTCTTGGGTAAAGGAGTCCTGGGAGGGACAGCATAGGCCAACTCTACTCTCATCACGGAAGCACTTAACTCTGTCTCTTCAGGGCTCCTTTTTGCTGAGTTTGACTTGTTTTTCCATTGCAGATGTAACGTTAAGACTTATATTTGGCTGTGGAGAGGAAAATACAGGAGTTCACATGATTTATTTATTTATTTTTATTTATTTAGAGACAGAGTCTTGCTCTGTTACCCAGGCTGGAGTGCAGTGGTGTGATCTTGGCTCACTGCAACTTCCGCCTCCAGGGTTCAAGCAATTCTCCTGCCTCAGACTCTCCAGTAGCTAGGATTACAGGCATGTGACACCATGCCCAGCTAATTTTTGTATTTTTCGTAGAGACGGGGTTTCACCATGTTGGCCAGGCTGGTCTCGAACTCCTGACCTCAAGTGATCCACCCACCTCCACCTCCCAATTATTTCTTTTTGAGGCCATGTTGCCCTTCCTGGTATAGGGGAAACTGTGGAGGGGACTCAGCCCAGTTCCTGGAGTCCTACACCGGGGTAGGAAATGCTAAGCGGAGTCTTACTCACTGCCATGCTTTGTCTCCCCATGCACCTCCCTCCTCTGAGGAAGACCTAGTGAGAAGGAGAATTACCTAGACCAAGGCAGGATTCAAGTATTTCGGAGTACCCTAGGCAAATATAATGGTCACTGCTTCCTAACCCAAGCCCTTAATAAGACTCAGTGTCTGACATGCAATACTCACCTGAAATCATCAACTCCCTAGGAAATAAGGAAAATTGGAGGTTCTATGCAAATCCCCTCTTCCCACTTCTCACCCCCTTCTGTGACTGAAGCACACACACAGACGTGCACACACGCAACGCGACTCTACACAAATTAGATTGAGACGTTTTCTGGAAAAACAATCCATGGTTCTGTTTCCATGGAAGCAGTCGCAGGTCCCCAGTGGCAGCAAATGGCAGGCAGACGGCGGTGAGGGAGCTCGCGGTGCCGCTCTGGGCCAGCTCCTCGCCGCCCAGCTGAGCAGAATGCGCGGCAGGAAAGAGGGAGGCAGCCTTGAGCTGCACCAGAAAAACCAGCCCTCCAGGGAGACAGTGAACCCCAGCTGTGCCCCCTCTTTTGGGGCAAATGTACATCTGGGCACTCTGGGCACGGCTCCAGCCAATCAGCCAGGCTTACCCTCCCACAGCTTCTCACAAAAGCCTGCTCGCTCAGAGCAGATGGCAGTGCCAAGACGGAGGCTCCACCGAGATGGAGGCCACCCATGGGGCTGGCGCTGCGAGAACGTTGCTGCTCCTTGCAAACGCCCTTTGTCCCACCCCCATCTGTAAGGTACCCTGCTCGCCTCAGCTCCTAAAGCGAGTACCCCAAATGTGGTTCGTGTCCTATGAGTGGTCCCCAAGGTGATGTGAGGTGGGGCATTCATGAATATTCTCTAAAAATTTTAAGTGACATATTTATTGTAATGTGTGCTCGAGGAAAAAAAAAAAAAGGGAGACTGGGCATGATGGCTCATGCCTAGTCCCAGCACTTGGGGAGGCCGAGGTGAGAGGACCTCTTGAGGCCAGGAGTTCAAGTCCAGTCTGGGCAACACAGGGAGACCTCATCTCTACAAAAAAAAAATAATAATTTTTTAAAAATGAAGATAAACACAGACTCTAATTTCGTTAATAGTATTGCTTAACATAAAACTAAAGTATATGTTTAAATAAAATGAGTCCATTTTGAGGCATTATGAAATAAATGATAGGATGGACATTTCACAGATACAACAACTAAAGAATGTGACAATTGGGTGTGAACAAATAAAGATTGGGAAACCTGTGTTAAGGAAAAGATTACAACATCCAATGTCCTCTTTTAGAACTGCACAACCTTCCAAGCAAGAGGAAAAAATGCTTGAGGTGACAGGTACAAGATCAGGGCTCTGGAAAGGGGACACCACAAAATTCTCCCTTGGGGCCAATATATTGGGGGTTCCCTTTGCCTCCCCTAGTTGACACCCAATGCCAATGCCCAGCACACTTTGCTGGGGCTCCCAAGAGTGGTGTCAGATAGGACACTCAGCTTGTGGAATTCTGTTTCATACTGACTCCAAGCCTACCCTAAATCAATTTTCTGGTAAGCAAGACCAGACAATGCAGAAGGCCCACTTAGAACCATGACCTTGGAGCCAGCTCTAAGCAGCCAGCAGTGTGCTCCTTTCTCCCCAGCCACACCCTGGCTGCTCTCAGCATTTAAGACTCAAATGCAACTTCTACAAAGAGGGTACCCCCACCCCACCCTGCCCAAACTGCACTTCCCAAGGTCTCACCACCCCAAAATGTAGTCACAAAAGAAGCAATAAAAGTAGACAAGAAGTAGAAGCTTCTAACTCCCTGTTCAAACCCAGGTCTATATTAGCTCCGGCTGCCATAACAAAATTCAACAGACTGAGTGCTTAAACAACAAGCATTCATATTCTCACAGTTCTGGAGGCTGGAAGGCTGAGATCAGGACACCAGCATGGCTGGGTTCTGCTGAGGGCTCTTTTTCTGGCTTTCAGACAGCAGCCTTCTCTCTGTCTTCCCATGACACTAATTCTTCAAGGCCACAAATCCCCTCATGAGTGCCCCACCCTCATCACCTCAGGAAACCTAACTATCTCTTAAGGCCCCACCTGCAAATACCACCACACTGGGGAATACTGTGATATTCCTCAAAACAGGAATTTTGAGGCCACACAGTTCAGTTTATAGCAACTGCTTTGACACTTCAGGAGAAAAAAGTAAGAACTGGACCATCAAGTCCCCATTGTAAGCTACAGTTGGCCCTCCATATCCATGGGTTCCACATTCAAGAATACAACCAACCTCAGAAAATAGTGGCCAGGCATGCTGGCTAACGCCTGTGATCCCAGTGCTTTGGGGGGCTGAGGTAGGAGGATCGCTTGAGCCCAGGAATTCAAGACTAGCTTAGGCAACATAGCAAGAATCCATCTCTACAAAAAAATAAAAATAAAGAAATTAGCCAGGCATGGTAGCACGTTCCAGTAATTCCAGCTACTAGAAAGGCTGAGGCAAAAGGATGATTTGAGCTCAGGAGTTTGAGTCTGCAGTGAGCTATGATTGCACCACTGCACTCCAGCCTAGGTGACAGAGTGAGAGAGACCCTGTCTCTAAAAAAATTTTAAAAATAAAAAATAAATTAAAAAAAATATTCGGCCGGGTGTGGTGGCTCATGCCTGTAATCCGAGTACTTTGGGAGGCCAGGGCAGATGGATTACCTGAGGTCAGGAGTTTGAGACCAGCCTGGCCAACATGGTGAAAACCCATCTCTAGTAAAAATACAAAAATTAGCCGGGAATGGTGATGCACGCCTATAATTCCAGCTGCCCAGGAGGCTGAGGTGGGAGAATTGCTTGAACCTGGGAGGTGGTGGTTGCAGTGACCAGAGATTACACCACTCACTCTAGCCTGGGTGGCAGAGCGAAACCCCATCTCAAAAAAACAAACAAACAAAGAAACAGTAGGACAATAAAAAAATAACAAATAAAAAACAATAACAATTTATATAGCATTTACATTGTATTAGGTATTATAAGTAATCTAGAGATGACAAGGTATACAGGAAGATATGCATAGATCATGTGTAAATACTACATCATTTTATACAAGGGACTTGAGCATTCTCAGATTTGGGCATCCTGATGGGGAGGCCTGGAACCAATCCCTCATGGATACAAAAGTAATCATACTTGTGACTGAATCTATCTAAATTCACTATAATTCTATAAGGCAAGTATCATTTTTCCCATTGTATAGAAAACCATTTTAAGACTCAGATAGGTTAAGTGATTTGGCCAGGACTCTACCCAAGTCTATGTGACTCCAAATCTTGTTCTAGTTCATCACTCAGCCACCCCCTTTTCCTGGTCTTCCTCAAACTCCATGGTGTCCTTCTGTGCCTCTTCAGGCCCCTCCCTACTTCCTCTGCGCATGTAGTCAGAAGGGGTCCCTAGAGAGCCCATCAATCTGAACCCCTGTAAAAGGCCATTTCCTCATAACACACCCTGAACATCTGTAAAAACAATTTCTCCTCAAGCTCACAACTCAACCTCATAATAAAAACTCAACATCCAATAGAACCTTAAAAAAAAAAAAAAAAAAAAAAAAGTCCTGATGGCATTTTAACTCCTAGAAGGACTTAGTGATGTTTATTTCCCAGTTATTCTGGGAAGATGCTTGTCTCTTTGGGATAGGGTTATCTATGAGGCACTGGGATTTTTCTTTTTTTACACTGGGAAGAGTTTGTTGGTGTTCAACTGTATAAACTAGATCATGCTGCTGTAACAATCTCCAGATATCAGGCATTTTAATTTATTTCTCACTCACTCAAAGTTGGCTCCAGGTTTAGGCAACTTTCCAGGCAGCTAGCCTCCTGGTGTTAGTTGACATTCCAGCAGCTTCCATCCCTTTCTCTTCCAAAATAGCCCAGACAGTAGAAGACAAGACTGTGAAGAACTGCACATCAGCTCATGCTGCATTGTCCAAAGCAAGTCAGATGGTCATGCCTAACCCAAGGGCATGGCAATATACAACCCTCCAGGTTCCAGGAGGGAGCAGAGAACCAGAAATATGGGGGAGATGCACTGTTTATCTGCCACACTGCTGAAAGGCTGTCCTCTCATCCACAAGTGCAGGGAGAAGCCTCATTGTCGACCGGACTGTTCATCTAAGAGTCAAGATGAGAGTCTGAGGCCCTTCTTGGCCATTTCTTAGCTATGTGGCATCATGGAAGTTGCTTGGCCTTGCTGAGGCTGCGTTTGCTTATCAATGGAATGAGAAAAAAGCTGATTCTGCCAACCTCACAGGGTCATTGTGGTGGAAAATTCAAAGTAGGCAATGAATGGGAGTGTTTCTCCACAAAAATGTGTTACTCTTAAGTGGTAGTTTTTCAAGTCATGTTTTCCCTCGTGTGGAAGGCAACGAATAAAAACAAACAACAAAATCCTAACCAGTTTCAGGCATCCTGAGTTCATATCCTCGGTCTCCCCTCTCTAATAAAGTCATTTGATCTCTGTGAGCCTCAGTTTACCCATCTATCAAATGGGTGGTGATGTTGGTCCCACATATCCCTATATGAGACATTGAATGCAAAAGCACTGTATAAACTGTAACAATCTCTACAAATGCAGAGAATCTTTATCCTCCCTTCCTTCTTGTACCCGGGATCTCTCCCCTTCTATTCACCTTGCAGTCTTTCAACTTCTCAACAAGGTCTCCAACCCTTCAAAGGGCCTTTATTCAGGCTTAATCCCTCTCCCTCACACATGTGCTTAACTTTCCACAGCATCTCTTCTTTGTTGACCATCAGACGTGCTGAAAATAAGGCTACACCCATGCCTGGTCTCCATTCCTACCTTCCACTGACTCTCCAGACACTTCCTATTTAGCTTCTGCCCTATTTGTGAAGAGTGCTTTCTAAAGGTTGCAGAATCTCTCCATTAAGTTTCTGTGAGTTTTACATGTCCTTGACCTATCTGCAACATTTGACAGCAGGGACCACCATCAAGCCCCACCTAATCTGACTCATTCTACATCCTATCAGCTCTATTCAGGTCCTGCTGGTTGTCTCTACAACACGTCTCTGTCTTATTAATTCATTCACTGAGACTTTGCTCATGCCCATCTTGGACTTTCCTCACTAGCCCACTTGATGTTTTAATGTTTCCATTTGTTATTGGCTTTATTCCTGAAACAGCTGTCATCCATCTCTTCCTCTCCATCCTCATTGCTCCTGCCCTGCCCAAGCCCCCAGTCATTTCTGGTGTGAACTTGCTCCCGTAGTTACCTGACTGGTTGTTCTTCATTCTGCTATGAAATGAGAGTGTAATATTTTATCTATCTACCATCAAGGCTTATTGTAAGAAGAAAATTGATCTGTGAATTTAAAGAAAATAAACTATATTTATTAAATATAGTTCCTTTCCTTCTCCCTGATTAAAACACTGTCTAGTTTCCTTTCCAGGATTTGATTGGTTACCATTCACCTGTGAAAAAAAAAAAAAAAAAAAAAAAAAAAACCCTTTCAAGCTTCTCTGTTTTCTTCAAACTCTGGTCCAAATATCTCTTTCCAGCCTCATATTTAGGGACTCTCACACCACTTCCTCATGTCTCTATCTATAAGAGACTATGCAGTGCTCCCCAAAAATGCCACCCACCTGTATCTAGATTGCACTCTTTCCTCCCTCTGGAATTTATTTCTTCTGTTCTCTGAGGGAAAAAAAAAAAAATCCTTTTGTCCCCTCCGCATCTCGATGTAAACATTAAATCCCGTACAAAGCTTTCTCCAACCCAAAGCTCCTACTCCCAGGAGCAAATCATTCCTCCTTAGCTGTATTTTCCTGCACTTGATCCCAATTTCTGTGGAAATGTAGCATTGGTCCCTTCTTACTAGAGTTACTGTGTGACTTGGAGAGTGAGAATAGAGCCAGGCTACCAATAAGGAGACAATTCACTAAAATGCATCACAGGAGGCAAGGGGGCCTGGAAACAGAAGAGCAAGGTAAATGAGATAAGAAGGCCACATTGAAGAGGAGCAGAAGAAAACAGGTCGACAGCTCAGGGGTAAATGGAGTATTTTCTGCTAGAAGGCTGGGGTCACGGGGGGAGCAAAATGGAAAGCGGAAAGGGATTAGTGAGAAAGGAATCTGCCAGTTGTGAATGAAGTGGTATTCATCCCTGATTTCTTGTCTGCCTATTAAATAATGTCATATGTGATTTTTGCTGTTAATTAAAGATCCTCTTATAACTAGAGTTTGCCAGCCCATGCCTGCGGGGAGGGGGTTAGACTGTCCATTGTAATGTAGATCATGCTAGATGGGCTTCATGAGCTAATGTAAGTGAAGTAAGATCCCTCCAGCCAAGGCTCCTGTGAGAGGGCAGATATGTGAGTTGAGACTGCTTTAGCCTGCAAGCTCCCATAAACAAACAGCAGCTGAAATGATAAGGGGTTTATTTCTCTCACAAAGCAATATCAGCATAGCAGTCCAGGGCTGGAGTGTGCACCGAGGAACCAAGCTCTCCCCTCTCTTTCTCTTCCAGCCTTGGAGAGGGCTGCCAAGCTCAAGCCCCACACTCACAACAGGGAGGAGGAAGAAAGAAGAAAAGAGGCCTCACTTCTGTGATGTTTCACCGACAACAACTGCAGCCAGAACACAGTCACTCCAGACTGCTGGGGAATTTGGAAGGCGTGTTCGGATCTTTCCAGACTTTATATCAGAGAAAAGCAAATGAAGAATACACTGGAAGTGTAAGCTACCCTACATCACTGCCACAGCTGGCTTGAGACAAATTCTAGGATTGCCTGTCTTTCCTCTATGTTCTGCATCCCCTGAATACAGGGGTACTGGTTTAGTAATCACAAAACAAAATAAGCAACACCAGAGACCCAGTGGTATGTATTAATGTTCAATTAAGTATTTGTTGAGTTAACATCTCCTTGAAGGAAGTTATGGGAATTAGTGCTCTATAGGTAAAAGTTCATGGCCAAGATGAGTCCCGCTGAACAGAGAATGTTCCTAAAAGCCACTGAGCAAAGCTACAGTGGAATCACTATTTCAGTGGGGATTTATTTCTACCTAAGCCTACTTCTAAAGAGATTGAGATCATATTGCATGATTAAAACAATCTATGAGCCATGCCAAGTAGAAAGACAAGTATCAAAGAGGGGGTATGTGTAGCTGCAGATTCTGGACATTAAAATAAATGTGATCATGGGAGAAGATGAAAAAAGTCAAATGCATACCAAGAAGTCATGTAATGGAGCTTGATGTGGGCATTAAGATTCTTTGACGGACTGTGGCCCAACTGAGGCCAAGCTGCTGGAGTCTCCCCATTAAAAACCTCCAGAGCCATAGGAAGTTACTGAACACCTAATTCTTTTTTGTGCATCTTCCCATTGGACCTTCCTCAGGGATTTAAGCAAGCATAAACAGCTACTATGCAGAAGGCATGGGAATAGGCAATTCCATGTGTCTCATCTCATCTGATTTCTGAACCAAGAGAGGGATTGGTAAAATTAATTTTAGTTCTGCAACTGGCCTGCCTGGATATTATACCAGGAACAGGCCTGGAGTAAGAAAGCAAGAAAGGCTGCCTTGAAAGAACACAACAAAATATTATCTTGTGATTATGATAATTTTATAAAGTACTTAACTTTATACAGTACTTTCCCTCACACTGTCATATTTGTCATTCAAAATAAGTACTGAGCAGTTTTCTGGTGATTGATGAAAAAGAAAGGAAAAAGTTCATTCCTACCAATAATGAGCTCAGAGATGAAAGAAAGAAAGGAAAGAGGGAGAGAGAGAGAAGGAAAGGAAAGGAGAGAAAGAAAAGAGGGGAGAGGGGAGGGGAGAGGGGAGACGAGGGGGGAGACGAGAGAAGAGAGACGAGAAGAGAAGAGAGACGAGAAGAGAAGAGAGATGAGAAGACAGACGAGAAGAGAAGAGAGACGAGAAGAGAAGAGAGACAAGAGGAGAAGAGAGACGAGAGGAGAAGTGAGACGAGAAGCAAGAAGAGAGAAGACAGAAGAGAAAAGAAAAGAGAAGAGAAGAGAGAAAAGAAGAGAGAGGAGAAGAGAGAAGAGAAGAGAGAAGAGAAGAGAAGAGAGAAGAGAAGAGAGATGAGAGAGAAAGAGAGAAAACTGCAGCACAGTGGAATGTGCTATGGAAGCTCAGGGTAGGAGAGGCTGGCTCTCCCTGCTGTTATCAAGGAGGGAGCTTTGGAGTTCACACAGACATCTGAGCTGCAGAAAGAAGTAAGGAGAGGCCACCCAGATCCAGAGACAGAGTAGCAGGCCGTAGTTATACAGTTAGGGGTCAATGTGATGTCCCTGTATCCTTTTATGGAGCCTTCTTTGTAAACTTTAAGCTTGAAGGAATTTCTGTCCTTGCAACCAAATGACTCCTGATTACAACAGCAATGTAGGCATCTCCTGTTTCTTGGCAATCAGACAGAAAGCCCCGTTCTCTATCAGGATCTGTGAACCCTGGATTCGCCTGCTTGGCTCCTTTATCTGGCCCTTTAACCTTTCTAATTGGTGCTCTCTTCTCTCGTCTCATTGATGTCACCCCCTGCTTGCTATACAACAACAGTCTGGCCCTTATGCAGCCATATTATCATTGCTCTAACACTCCTCTTTTAAAGGCCAAGAAGATAAACAAGATATTTAACTAATCAGATAGGCTAAATCTTACAAATCCACTAATCCACACAAGTCCAAACAGCCCTCTTGTCCTGATAACTCATGCATAATCAATTATACAAGCAAAAAGCAGAAAATAAAATGCACTTATAATCCCATTCCCCAAATATAACCATTGTTATCATTTTTAGGGTATACACTTCCAGGCTTTGTTTTATAGACATTTACACACAATTTTCTTTCACAAAAATAGGGTCATATTAAAGTAACTACTTTGTAACTTGCTATTTTCACAACTGTATTAGTAATGGTCATTTAATTACAAGTACCTAGTAGAAATCAACTTCAAGATGGCTAAAGCAAAAAATGAAATTAAAGCATCAGATGGAATTCAAGGAAGAATTGACCAGACAGGCAGCAGGAGGGACAAGCCTGGCTTCCTCCTCCTCCTCCTCCCATTCCCTCACTTTTCCTTCATATCTCTCTGAACATCTGCCTCATCTTTCCCCAATAATTTAAAAGTTTCTTCATTTGTGTCTATAGGTTTTAGCTCAGGCCTGATGTTAAATGTTTTCTTAATTCAATTCTTTTTCAAAGTTTACATTTCTCCCCCTTTCAAAGAACCATGTATGGTTTTAAATCAATTCTACCATATTTCTGTGTTACAGTTTGTTAATTGTTTGAAACACATTTATTCCTTTCTTCTAGTTTCCTTGGGTTCATTTATTGTTTTTCTAGTCTCTGTTATTTTAAATCTCCCTTTTAAAAACTCATAAAAGCAACTGTGACTTCCCCAAGCCTCCTTCTCTACATGATGCTCATCCTTTCTTACTCAAAGGTGTGGAATTGATGAGGCACATTAGAGAGATGGCTACTGAGAAGACTTATTGCCCCTGGAGCAGCACTTCTGGAAACACAGGCACAGAGTCCTTTGGACTCTGCCAATGCTTTATGATTTTAGAGGGTCCTGAATTTAAAACCAAGAAATGGCCAGCTGTGGTGGCACACCTATAATCCCAACACTTTGGGAGGCCGAAGCAGGTGGATCACTTGAGGCCAGGAGATCGGGACCAGCCATGGCCAACATGATGAAACCCTGTCTCTACTAAAAATACAAAAAATTAGCCGGGTGTGGTGGCACGTTCCTGTAATCCCAGCTACTCTGGAGGCTGAGGCAGGAGAATTGTTTAAACCCGGGAGGCAGAGGTTGCAGTGAGCCGAGATCGCACCGCTGCACTCCAGCCTGGGTGACAAAGTAGGACCCTGTCTCAAAAAATAAAATATAAAATAAAGAAATGGTTGCAGGTCTACTATTTGCCAAACATTGAGCTAGCCACGCTGACATATATCCAGAAAGGAAGAAAGTATTATCTTCATCTTACCAATAACGTAACATATGGGCAGAGAACTCACATGATCTACCCACTTACACAGCTAGTCTGTGACAGAGCTCAAAGGTGGGCCTAGATTTAACTAATCCCAAATTGCGTGCTCTTTCCATGACTAAATATGTTTCCCAAACAATTCTGAAAAGAACCAAAATCATAAAGAAAAGCCTCCCTGAAGTAGCACTATCTAAACCCAACAAAACTTTTTAGGATGCTTATATTCAAGATCTCTGGCATCACAGAAGTGGGTATTTTATCTTTATCCATATCCATTTATAGATATATAGATAGTATCTCTATCTATAATAGCCAGGTATTTTTCCATCATCTGTCAAGGTATTTTTCTTGATTTTCTGAGAGATGAGCTATGAGGATGCAGCAGAAGCAGCTGTTTTGGAAATACTGCCTTTTCTTTGTTCTGAATGCTATTTAAACATTGGCAGGGGGCCTCATTAAAGATGAATCGTTGAATTAGCAAGTAGTGTTGTAGCTAGAAGAGACAGCATGTGCTCCTGTGGCGAAAACAGATTTGCACAAAGGAGGGAAGGTTCGGGGGTAGGTGGGGGCGGGAGGTGGACGGAGGATGAAAAGACCCAAGACATGGCAAAGTCGTGTGTTTTACCGTGTTCTCTAACCTACCCACTACCAGAAGAAAGCACAAAGAGGCCAAAAAGGGGCCCATGAGCAGCTCCATCTTTCGAATATATGAATATGAAAAGGAAGCCCTTCACTCTAGGGCAATTCTGGTTATTAATAATCCTGACTCCCTTCCCTTTATGGTAAATGAGTGACCTGCAGTCTCAGACGACCTAAACACTTGGACACCTAACCCGGTGCAGTAGCTCACACCTGTAATCCCAGCACTTTGGGAGGCCAAGGTGGGAGGATCACCTGAGCTCAGGAGTTCAAGACAAGCCTGGACAACATAGCGAGACCCCAATCTCTACTAAAAATAAAAAAATTGGCCAGGTGTGGTGTTGTGCACCTATAGTCTCAGCTATTCGGGAGGCTGAGCCAGGAGTATTGCTTGAGTCTGACAGGTTGAGGCTGCAGTGAACTATGATCATGCCACTACACTCCGGCCTGGGCAACAGAGTGAGACTGTGTCTCAAAAAAAAAAAAAAAAAAAAAAAAAAGACTTGAGTGCCAACACTGCTTTTCAGTTTGAAGTGCCAGGAGTGCTATTTAACAACAATAGCAACAAGAGGTGAATGATTCTAAGATATCCCCTCTCCCCACTCTCTTCCCCATGAGCCCTCTCTGATATTGGAGGTGGCGAAGAGGTATTGGTAGTTTTATTTCTTCGAATATTTGTTGCAATTTCTACATTATCTCTCATACTTATGATGGCTTCAATTTGCCTCTGGGTTTAGAAATGCAATAGACAAGCCAAGGGGATCTCCTGTGGGGTGAGTGATCCCACCCCAGAAGTTGAGACTCATCCCTCAAGCAATGTTTCACTGGTGTGTCATTTCCCTTGGCCCTCTTCTTCTTTCCCCTGAATTTCTGATGCCTTGTAATTTGGGGAGGGAAAAGTCGAGAGTGGGAAACTGATGGAGAAAGAAGAGGTGAAAGAAACTGGTATTGAGTCTCTACTAAGTTCCATCTATTATTTGTTATTAATAGGAACCCCAAAGGAGAGAGTTTTATTCTCATTTCTCAGGAAAAACAAAAAACAAACAAACAAAAAAAAACTGAGTGTCAGAGAGAATAACTTGCCCAAAGTTGCGCAGCTGAGAAATAGCCCAATTGGAACTCAAAGTCACATGTTTGACTCCAATGCCTACACTCTCAATTTGCTAATTCTCATAAATAATCATGGCTATGTTAAGAGAAAGGATTTGTGTATGAGTCAGTAGCCTAAACTGGGGATCCTAGAAGGCCTTGTCTCCAATGACCTCTCCCCCACGGGGACCTGAAGAAATTCCTGGCATGAGTCACCAACAGGAACTCATCTTGCTCCCTTTCCTTAACTCCTGCCATCCCAGCTCCCGGGGCCACTGACCATTTGGGCAGAAAGTACAAAAGAGTCAAGATCCAAACAGCCAGGGCCTGGAGAGCAGCTGCATCCCAAACTGTTCTGGTTGCAAAGGTCAAGCTTCCTGCCTTGCTGAACTTCTGTGCTCCAGACCTTCAGCCCAGACTAGGCCCTAACATAGGCCCCTCCCTCCCCAGGGAGGCTTCCTCCTTTATTTGTCCTCCAGAAGCCTGTGCTCTTGAAGTACAGATGGGGATTGATTTACAAAGGACCAAGTGGGTAAGCTACACTAATATGTGAGTTGAGAGGATGCTGGACGAAGTCCCCTGTCCCCAGACTTCCATCACATTGTCTATCATGCAACCTTCTCTCTCCAAAGGTTTGAGACGTCTTTGAAGCCTTTTTTTTTTTTTTTTTTTTTTTTTGAGATGTTGTCTCACTCTGTCACCCAGGCTGGAGTGCAGTGGCGTGATCTTGGCTCACTGCAACCTCCATCCCCAGGGTTCAAGTGATTCTCCTGCCTCAGCCTCCCAAGTAGCTGTGACTACACGCATGCTCCACCATGCCCAGCTAATATTTTTTTTAGTAGAAACGGGGTTTCACCATGTTGAGCAGACTGGTTGTGAACTCCTCACCTCAGGTGATCCACACACCTTGGCCTCCCAAAGTGCTGGGATTACAGGCGTGAGCCACCATGCCCGGCCCTTTGAAGCCTTTTATACCAATGAGAATACAGCCGCGAGATGGATCACACCATAGGTTATCATCCAGGCTCTTGGGTCACTAGGATTCAGCTGAGGTCGCTGAAGTGGAGGCAAACAGAGATACAGACCAAAAGACAAATTCCAATTTCCTACCAACGTGCACAGAGATGGTCTTGCTGATTACTCTCTTTTAAGGTTCAAGCACGAGCCCTAATAAGCAGTAAGTATCCTGCACCTTTCTCAAAAGCAGCAGAAATTACACAGTATTGGAGCCAGCCGCCGTGGGAGGCTCAGAGTAAATAGTCTGTGGCCGCCGCTGATAAGGCCTTTATATACCTGTAGTCCTTACCCTGAGTCTGCTAACACAGCCTCTTTAAATTAGCAGCGTCAGGGATGTCATGGCCCCCACTCCACCCAGAACAAACCAAAAAGCCAGTTAACATAGCTGAAATATCCGGAATAACCCTGCGTACCGGAAATCTGAACACCTCCAACAGATGTAACTCCATTCATCCCCTCAGACTTCTGGCCTTGAGCTCTCTACTTCTCAGGCCAATGTCTTCACTTTTGCTCATGCATTGAAAACATCTGCCTGTCCTCTAATTCCCTCTTTTCAGGTGGCCTAATAGCTAACTGCTGCCTTCACTGGGCCCCAGGTGCAGACCAGCCTGGCGTCTGCTGCCCCTAGAATCGGTTTCCCTGGGGAGTCACCAAAGACTCCTCTGGCACTGTGTTTCTTTGTCCATACGTTGTGATGTGATGTCCTCACCAAAAGACATTTTGTAAAGGCATCTCCGAGGGCCTCCCTGCTCTGAGCTTCCCACTCCCTTTAAACTCACTGGCTTGGCCATACCATTCGAATGGTAAAATGAAACAATACACCCTTCTGTCCAAAGTCGACAGAGCTGAGTGGAGTCTTTGCTCTTCCATCTTTATCAGCTGTGTGACCTTGGCCGAGTTCACCTGTTTGAGTCTCAGTTTTTTCATATTTAAAATAGGAGGATACTACAAAGTGCACAGAAGCAGTATGAGTCTTAAATGACTAATGTACAGAAATGCATCTATCCATTTATGCCTGGCACACGGTAAATAATCAGTCAGAGTGTCCTTCCCCTAAGCCCCAAGCAAAAATTGGCTGCCATTTCTACTGAACAATGGACCCAATTAAATTGGTTTATTAGCCCAGCTGAATTAATGCACATTGTCAAATCAGAACATCAGCACAACCTGAAAACAATGAAGAAGCATTTTTAAGAGCAAACTACATAAGAACTTGGCTATGGTTATGGAGTAGAAATAGGTAACCATTTGTCACCTTCTGTAGTTAGCATAGAGATGCAAACACCAAAATGGTCTCCTTTTGAAAACAAGTTATAGTATTAAACTTATACTTTGACTTTTTTTTTTTTTTTTAACACAAAAACCATTTACTTCGCTGTGTGGCATCACTGACTGTTGCTTTAAATTTCTCAGTGTTTCAACTGATGCTTGGTCTTATTTTTTAAAACGCAACCAACTCATTTTCTGTCCATAGGGAGAAAGGAGCAGAAAAGGGCCAAATGCCTGGAAAGAAATGCCTGGATATTAATCTCCTCTCTTTAGAGATTTAATACTGCACAACTTTATAGCCAATAATTAGTCAAGGTGCTGCCTTAATCAGGAAATACGGGGAGAAGGACCAGTTCATGCTTTAAACAAAAAGGCTTTACCTATGACCGAAAGCACTCCAGGACCAAGACCTCGCTCCAGCTGCCCGGTTGTGTGGCTCAGATAAAGAACGCGTCTCTCCTAAACTGACGTTGCATGACATGTCTAAATAGGCCTTCGGTTAAGGAGGTTTTGTTTCCTACTGTTCTGTACCTCTGCCTTCCCTGTACTTTCTCAGGTTAGGTCATTAAAAAAAAATTGTACCAAAAAATGTACTAGAAACTATTGATTTCTGTTGTGCTAAAGCCCCTGACATTCTGGCGCGATGAAGATATTGCTGTGGACCTTGTGAGCTTTCTCATACTTCTCTTCTGCTTATGAGGGTCTCTGAGGATGGTATTAAAGATATTGTAGTTCCCACTTTCTGACTGTGGGATATCAGCAGGGTCTCTCCTGTGTAAAGAATAATTATCAGCACTGCTGTTACCTCTAGTAAGTGTGTAATTACATGCTCGGTTTTGTGGGCTCTAGGCTGTGCAATTTTAAATTATACAATGTCAAATTCTCTCTCCCTCCCTCTCCCTCTCTTTTTTTATTTGAAAGGGGAGGTGGGTGATTTTTTTTTTTAAGAGACAGAAGGAGGAGTGAGTGTGGGAGCCTTTCCATCCACACCAGCCGAATCGACAGTGTGGTAACCAAGGAAGGTCAAACGCTGCCTCTTCATGCTAGGATGTCAACCTAGAGGACGCCTCTTTAAAATCAGAATGTACTTGGCAGTGGATGGGGTGACATTAAGAGGGGGAAGTGTTGCCCCCCCTCCCCCGCAAAATGGTGGAGATGGGGAGATCAGGGGGCTGAGGGGAGTAATGTAGGAAAAGGAGGTGTTTGTTGGGTGTGTGGTGATCGACAGCAACATCTACAGGAAAGGGGCATGGGGGCAGCACAGCCTCCTCTCTAATTCCCAGCCAGAAATTAAAGTGGCTGGAGCCTGACTGCGTGTGAGGCTTAGGGCTGATCAGCATTAGCTCTCAGAGTGGGAAATTAGCCTGAGCGTGATGAACAACCTGAGGTGAGGCAGGCAGCCACGCAGGCGGCCACCCGTTGGGATCCCGAGGTGCCAGACCGCACCTGCCTGCACGGATGGCCAATCAGCGAGCGCCGAAGAAGCCCCGCCTCCACCCCGCCCACCTGGGGCCAGCCCCCGTGCGGCAGGTGCAGCCCCCAGCCCAGTGGATTTGGGTTGTCCTGGGCTTCCTTGCTCACTGCAGAGCTGCTGTCCTCCTCCCACTACCCCTCCAGGGGTTAGGGGAGGCTAACTCTTGTACCTACCTCCACCCTTGAAACCATCCAGACTCCTCCCGCTGCAGACCCTGGCTTACATGTCTATTTTATGATCAACTCGGCCATCCAGGTGTTAACTTATTCAACAGTGTTGGGACTCAGAAAACACAACATCCCCAAACAAAGCCTTCAGAGGCAGCCTCAGAAGCAAGTTTTTCTCTCACCTCCTGCACTCCTCTCTCTCCCCTCAAGGTTAGCCATGGAAACTAGAATCCCTTTTCCCCGAGGCCAGTCATAGAAACCAGAACCCCTTCTTCCAAGTCAGCCATAAAACCTAAAAATATTACTCTAAACTTCCTCTGCCTTTCTGTGTAAAAATAGGCCATAAAGAAATTATCTGACCTACCTTATTTGACTGTAGGTCATAGGACCCTCATTCCAGAGAGGGCCTGCCCCACACCCAGAAGGAAGGAATGCACACTCAGAGAGGCCAGGAAGGAGCTAGACAGATAGGCCTCGCTGGGTTTCCTAACTCAGTCTGTTAGCATTAGAACACATCCATTTTGTCCAATCGTATTTCTACATGGCTATCCATACTTTGTTGCACCTAAGCATAAAAATAAACAATTTTCCCTGTATATTTGGGTATTCATTCTGAAGGCTCCTGTGCATACATGTTAAATCAATTTGTATGCCTTTTCTCCAATTAATCTGTCTATTATAAGTTGATTTTTCAGTGAAACTTCAGAGTTCACTGAAGTTCCCCTTAGCCCCTACACCTGCATTCTCCATTTCCTCCTACACCCTGGAAGAGGGTACCTACAAACTCTCAGTCCTGCCCCCTCACTGGGGTTTCGCATGTGGACTCCCCTATCTCTGCCAATCCCCACCAACCCCCTTTTCCACATTGGCCATCACTTCTGCAGCTGCCACTTCTTCGAGTCATTCACATGTCTTGAACATCCAGGGTGTTCAATAGGTATTTGTTGACAACGTGCAACCCTCTTTTTTTTTTTTTTTGAGGCAGAGTTTCACTCTTATTGCCCAGGCTGGAGTGCAATGGTGCGATCTTGGCTCACTGCAACCTCTGCCTCCTGCGTTCAAGAGATTCTCCTGCCTCAGCCTCCCAAGTAGCTAGGATTACAGGGGTGCCCGCCACCAGGCCCAGCTAACTTTTTGTACTTTTTATTTTTTAGTAGAGATGGGGTTTCACCATATTGACCAGGCTGGTCTCGAACTCCTGACCTCAGGTGATCCACCCGCCTTGGCCTACCAAAGTGCTAGCATAACAAGCATGAGCCACTGCGCCTGGCCTGCAACCTTTTTTACTGTCCAGGAAAACAAGGCTGGAAAAGTTAAGTAACTTGCCCAAGGTCACAGAGCTGTTACTGGCACATCCAACAGAACCCTATTCTTTATGGAATCTACTCCCAGTTCACCATGCTGCTTCTGAGAACTCTGAGATTAGAAAGTGCCAATGACTTCAAACAACTAAAAGGCTTGAACTAATAATACAGAAGATGTTGTGCCCATAGTAATAAAAAGAAACTAACATTTATTGAATGCCCATATATCATCACAATAATCATTGGAGATAGGGACTTCATCTTCCCACGCAGATAGGAAACTAAGGCACAGAGAGGAAGAGTAACTTACCCTGGGCTCCTGGGTAGAGGCAAAATTTGAACTCAAACCTGCCTGACTACAAATCCTACATGTTTAACTCCTCTGCTTAGGGCTTCTGGTAAGATACATCAACAAGACTGTTGCACTGATGCTTAAGAATGAGCTCATGGTCTTTGGTGAGCATTTCTCTCCCCGTCTATCTTATTCTTTCCTGTCCTGCAAAATACAGTTCACCATTTCTCCCCTGCACAGTCCCAGATCAATTTTTGGTTTGGGGCAATTGAAGTGCAGGGTCACTAAATCCTCTGAAACTGACAAGGAATCCATCTGCAGGCCTAACCAAAGCTAGGCCCCCCTTTCTGAAGGCACACACTCCCACCAGCTCACCTGGACTTCCTCCTTATGGTCCATCTATAAAGCTTCCTCAGTCCTAAGCAAGAAAACGGCACAGAGAGATTGCCAACCCAAAGAGATCAGGTCAGATTGAGTTTCTGAATTTAATCATCACTTTATGTGGTTTTTGTAGTTTCCACAGTTTCTGTGGGATGTGTTAAAAGTAAACAACCAGAGCTGGGCAAATATCATTTAAAGACTGTAAATAACAACCTCTTGAATTTAAATAGATGTTTTCATTTCATGGTGTTTTCACATTTATTATCCCAGTTGATGCTTCATCAACTCTGCAGAGAGAAGGCAGTTATTTCTATTCACCTCTACCCCATCGCAGCATCATCTTTTGCAAAAAGAAAAAAAAAAGAGACAGATCTAATTACTTGGTCCAAATTGCAAAAAGAAATGGAAGCCTGCATCCAGAACCCTGGCAAGTGTTGAATATTATTGGATTCCTTGAAATGATCATCTTCTACCCATGTATTGTGCCATAGCTCACCGGGCACTACCCCATCTATTGCATTGTGTGGAAGGAAAAGGACCAAAGCCTGGGGAGGTTGCGTAGCCTCCACGGAATGCAGACAGTGTGGACTCAGGCCTAAAACCCCAAGACCAACCCTTCTCCCGTGAGCTTCCTCATCCCGATGCTGTCCCTAGACAGTGTCCTGTTGTGAGAACCTCCTGTGGCCTTAAGCCAGGGTGAATGTTTCCTTTTCATTTCTCTTCCCACATCTATCTACAACTCTGATGTTCAATAATAACTTCCCTTCTATATGGGAAGTTTGAGATGCAGCAAGGACCCCCTCTTAGGGACCTAACAGGCCCTCCCAAACATGGAAATAAAGGAAAATCGTGAGTTCCCTGAAGGGAAATTACAGGCACCTAGCTAGCCCTGAGAAGTAAATGAGCAACTTGGTAAGCAAGAAAGTAATAGTAGCTTAAAACAATAGCCAAGGAAATTAGTCACAAGATATTTGGCTCCCTATGGAAACTAAAGAGAACATCTTAACATATGCCTCTGAAGTGTTTTTCAGAAAGCTAGGCCCCCACTAAATGAATCCCCTGGCACATAGACCTCAAGGGGAAACTGAGGACTGAACTCTGCCATTCTTTGTTCTGTATTTCTTCCTGAGGGGCCTGGAGGAAGGCACATCCATAGGCCAGAACTCAACATTTCTTTCTGCTGACCGAAGTTTTTAGACAGAGCTTCCATTCCTTAACCAATCACAAATCAGAATCTCTGAATCCACCTGTGGCCTGTAAGCCTCCATTTCCAGATATCCCACCTAAACCCACCTTTTTAGGTGGGATAAACTAATGTTTAACAAATATTAAACTAATGTTTAACATCCACGTATTAATTTACAGTTTTGCCTGTAACTTCTGCTTTCCTGAAATTTACCCCTGCCCTTAAAAGCCTTCGCTTGTAAGTCATCGGGGAGGTCGGGTCTTAAGCATGAGTGGCCCAATTCTCCTTGCTTGGTGCCCTGCAAATAAACGCTTTCCTTTCTTTCCCTGCAAAATCTTGGTGTGGGTGTTTAGCCTTGCTGGGCCTGCAAGCGGATCCCAGTTCAGTTCAGTAAAATGTTCAGGAAGAAGTCTCCTTCACAGTTCATATGGTGTAAATTCAGACTAATGATCAAATAATGTCTCCTACAACTGAAACACCAAATTGACGTATATTTATTCAGAACAGTGCTGGACTGTGAAGGAACAACAGAAAGATGGAACTGCCTTCAAGGAGGATGCAAATCAGCTCAAGAGAAAAGATCTTTAGGCAAGTAATCAGTGTTTACATAAATGTTCAAGAGAGTAAACAAGGTTCAAGAGAGTATATGGGTGTTACCTTACTGGACCTTGGAGAATACAGTAGTGAGTGGAAGAGACCAGATTCTGTCCTCATGGGAGAGTGTTGGGAATCAATTCTTCATTCAAATAAACATTTAATTAACAACCTACTAATTGGAATTAAAGAAAAGTAACAGGGGTTCATGAGCATCTAAACAGAGGGATCTGGCCTGTTTGTGTAGCCAGGGAGGGCTTCCTGGAGGAAGAGTGATTTTTGGTTGAGATCTGAAGAAATGGGAATTAATTGGGCTATGTGTAGAGTGGGGAGGCTACAGATAGTATGTGGCATGCCATTTCAGAGGAGGGGAGACCACTTAGTCTTGTGACCTGAGCCGATAAGGCTTGACATGGCTCTCAGAGGATGGGTAGATGAAGAATGGGAAAGGGGGGTGTGGAAGACATCTCTGGTGCCAGTGGAGTGCAGAGGCAGTAAAGCGTAAGTCCTGTTAAAGCCTGCCAAAGTGTACTAGTATCCTGGGAGAGCTAGACAACATTAATAAGACAACAGAGTCTGCTTCATCTCCATTTCCTCCTCCCTGTGTAGCTATTCCTTACCACCCTAATTTATATAGGCCACCCAAGGCAACCTCAACTTTTGTCAAAACAGTGGCTCAAACTAAGTAACTCAGGAAGCTGGTTAGATGGGATGGGTAAAAAGAGCCAGGACCCAGGAGCAACCAGTGGAGGAAAGTCTAATCAGGCAAGCAGAGGATATGTGATGTGATGACTAGGCCTTTAACCAGGAAAGAACATGGCCACAGAAATCTGCATGCAACAGGATCTGGAGTTCCAGGCAAACCATGCTGGAGGGTGTAGACCCCCTGATGCAGACTTTGGGTAGGACTCTACTCCCCAAGAGAGGAAGGGGTTAGCAAAAGCAAGGAGGGACTGGAGCCAGGCCAAAAGTCCAAGCCATGCCTAGGAGCAGTCCCCCTCCCACAAAAGGGACATATGCTAACATGGATAATGCATATGCAAATAGACCCTTGGCAGGTGCTTGTGATCATAGTAAAGATAAAAATACACATTCTAGACATGTTTATGAGTTCTGTTAAAGAGCTCATTAGCTAGCTGGGCATGGTGGTTCATGCCTGTAGTCTGAGCATTTTGGGAGGCTGAGGCGGGAGGATCGCTTGAGCCCAGGAGTTTGATACTAGCCTGGACAACACAGTGTCACTCCATGACTACAGAAAATGAAGAAAAAAAAATAGCCAGACATCGTGGTGCCTGTGGTCTCAGTTACTTAGGAGGCTGAGGTGGGAGGATCACTTGAAGGCACCCTGAGCTATGATCACACCGCTGCACTCCCATCTGGGTGACAGACTGAGACCCTTTCTCAAAGAAAAAAAAAAAAAGCTTATTACAATATTTTGGCACTGAAAAGGACATTAGAGATTATCTGATGTACCCATTCTTTTTTCAAATGAAGAAACAAAGATTCAAAGACTGAGTCACTTCGAAGTGTCACACAGCTCATTAGCCACAGAGCAAGGATGAAAACCCAGGTCTCTTAGCTCTTAATCTACTTCTCTTTCCACACATACTTCTAATTTTTAATTTTAAAGAGTTAGGTTTAAATTAGGAAAGAAGCAGTCTACGATCAATCCCATAATGAGCAGTGAATTTTCTCCTGACAAGGGCTTTTATTCTGAGACTAGTTCATTTTTTGTCTATGATCATTACATGTCATCTTACAAAGTCATATAGATAATTTGTTTCAATTGTTAACAGAATTGCTTTCACATGTCATTATGAGCTGTTCCTTTATCTACAACCATATTTATTAAAGCTTTCATTTTTCCATGACTTTGGGAGGGTGGAGTGTGGACATCTATATATGTGCATATTCACCTTGTGCATATCAGGTTAGAGACACAGCTGTGAATAGACAGTTACCCGAAGAGTTCAATTGATCCACAGCCAGGAGATCTGTCTTTGAAACCCAGGTTTGCCTTTTTACCAACTGAGTAAGCTTAGGTAGCTAATTTAAGTCCTCACTACTAAATGGTGATAGGAGACCCTGCCCTGCCTAGCTCGCAGGATCGTAACTTGACATAACCCTTCTCCTTTTTTTACATAACATTCTGTGGACACCGATGGAGAAGAGCTGTCCTAGACTCCATCTTTGTTGTCACACTTGACTTTCCAAGGAAAAAGGCATTTTGCCAACAGAAGTTGCCCCTGGACTGCTGCAAGTACATGACGGGAGAAGCAAGAAGGGAGAGATAGGGACATAGGTGATAGAAAAGGGAGAAAGCCTATCCATGTCTACTTCTAATCCCATTAGTCCTATGTGATGCAGCCAATGCCACAGTCCCCTTCCTCCTGTGCACCCTTCAGTGGGCTCCTAACCCCGGATCCCATTTCTTACCACTAGCAAAGGCCTCGCCCTCTGCCTGGGGGCCCTGCTCTTTCTGTCCTACCCAGCCCTTCACCATGGACCTGTGTCTAGCTGTCAGCCTCCTCCCTGGGTCTTGATGTTCCACTCTTCTCTGGGGCTCCCTATCCAGGATGCATATCCCATTTCCTCTGATACTAAACGTGGTAGCTAAAGGACCCCTGGGACCCACTGGTGTGGGAAAGCCCAGCCTGGCTCTAATCTCCCAGGGCACCCTGTGGTATGGCCCCATTATCCAGCTTTGGCCAATTTGCATGTAGCTACAAACTCAAACTCTCGCTTTCACCCTACTTGTCTCCTATTTGGTCCCTGAGGGAGGATCTCAAACACAGGCCTGGGATATTCATGTTCACCTTCCAGCATTCCATGGTGGCTACGGATGGACATGACAACTGGCAACAGACCCCTGTCCTTTGTCCATAATCCTCTCCCTTGGCCTAACAGCACTTCCACTCACAGGCAATACAGCCATAGCCACAGAGCTGCCATTTGAACCTAGAGCCAACATATCGTGGTCCAGCAGCCCCCACTTCTTCCCTGTAGACCTTCCTGTCCTCCTACAGACTCACTTTTATCTGGAAGTTCACAATACACAGGTGGCTTTCCAGGGTTCACATTTCTTGGAGGTAGGCAGATCTTCTCCCCTAGCCCCATTTCTGATGTCCCACAGCATGGTCAAGATGCTTTTGCAAATATATACTATTCACTCCTGAAAACAGTCTTGCAAAGTGGATATTATTAACCCTGTCTTATAGGTAAGAAAAGTGAAGGCATGGCAATTTTCAAAAGACACACAGGTGGTTAGGGGTAGAAGTGTGGGTCAAGCCCAGACCCCGACTCCAAATGCCGTGCTCACTCCACCATGCCAAGCTACAGGAAGCCTGTGATCAGTCCTCGTCAGCCAGGGCCCCCACATGCCAATCACATCACAGATTCAGAATGCCATCCCCATGTTCCCTATTCCTAAGCTAATTCTAAACAGAGGGAGCTACTGTCTGCTGATCATGAGAGACCTTCCAGCTGTCAGAATGACTTCCCAAGAGAAATCCAGGGAAGTCCCACTGACTTGTGCATTTAAAGTGGGGTGAGATAAACCTTCCAGAAACATTCCAAAGGAACAAATCTGTAATTGAGAAGGAAAGGAACAACCAAAATGGTCTTTCCAAATTCACATGTCTGTCATTAAGTGTCTCCTGGGGAAAGGGGGCAGAGAAACCAGGACAGTTCTAAGGAAAGGTTAGTCTAATTCTTTTATTTCCTCATTATAGGAGTTATCAAGTTCTGAGTCAGTGGAGAGATAGCAGTGTTAACTGCCAGAAGAGGAGCTGGTTCACCACTGTGCTGTCCCTTCCACATGTCAATTTCTGAGAGGAAATTCAAGGTGAGGATGACTTTGCAACCCCAGAGAATGGAAAGGGGGTTAGTCTCCTGGCGTGGATCTGTAGTCTCAAATATGGCCTTAGGATACTGGTCTACTGTGGTCCACCATGGTATATGAGGAGAGTAATTTGTTATTGTTAATGTATACCAAGTTTTGCAAATGGTTTTTTCCTATAAATAACAGAAATTTCAAAAAGCATTGGCCAGGCACAGTAGCTCATGCCTGTAATCCCAGCACTTTGGGAGGCCGAGGCGGGTGGATCATGAGGTCAGGAGATCGAGACCATCCCGGCTAACATGGTGAAACCCCGTCTCTACTAAAAAAAAAAAAAGAAAAAAAAAATTAGCCAGGTGTGGTGGCAGGCGCCTGTAGTCCCAGCTACTCAGGAGGCTGAGGCAGGAGAATGGCATGAACCCGGGAGGCGGAGCTTGCAGTGAGCCAAGGTCACGCCACTGCACTCCAGCCTGGGCGACTGAGCAAGACCCCGTCTCAGGAAAAAAAAAAAAGAAAAAATGAAAAACACACACACACACACACACACACACACACACACACACACGAAAGTGTCCCATCATTCTCACTATAACATGCTTTCAAGAGTAGGATAGAGAGGAGTCGAGAAAAGGTCAATGATACGGAGACACCCAAAGCTTTGTCCTGGATGCTTAGATGTGACTATATCTTTTTTGTTCAGATGGGAAAACATTTGCCACTGCATATTCTTAAAACTACCTCTTTCCCCAATACCATTATAGTAGCCCCTCTTTAGATTTTTGAGATTGAATAGAATTTATTTTTTAGTTAGCTTCATTTCTGAATAAATAAAAACCAAGAATAAGGGTTTCCATCAAGGCAATAGTTTAGAGCCGCTGCCTATACTGATTCATTGGGTGACTTTGGGCAACTCATTTAACACCTCTGACTGTAGTTATTTCATGTAAAAGATGTGGATAATTTATTATCCTGCTCTGTGTCTCTTATAAGGATTTTTCTGATGTTCAGATGCAAAATAATAAGAACTGGTGTTATTAAGCACCTACTGCATGCAAAACATACAACATCTCAGTTAATTCACACAATGGTGCCATGAAACAGGGTTTATTATCCAATTTTACAGAGGGAAACTAAAGAAAGAGGTGACCTGTGCAGAAGTGCTTTTAAAGGTATAGGGAATAATTTGCTGTGCATGGTAGCATGCACCTGTAGTCACAGCCACTCAGGAGGTGAGACGAGCACCTAAGCATGGGGAGATTGAGCCTGCAGTGAGCCATGATCACACCACTGCACTCCAACCTGGGTGACAGATTGAGACCTCGTCTCAAAAGAAAAATAAAAGAAAAGATACACGGAGCTGTAATCAATCATAAAAATTTAAAATGTTTTACTGTTAGAACTGTCAACTACAGACACTTTAAAAACAAGAATTAAATATAGATAGTTTTAAAACACAAACCAGTCTGAGAAACCAGTAAGACACACAATCTTTGGAAAAATATTTGCAGGGGTGAGAGGGTTCCTGTATTCTTTCCTTTATTCTTGGCACAGGGACACAATAGTGAACAAAAGGCCGCAAACTCTCTGCTCTTATGAAGCTTATATTCTTGTGGTAGACACAGATGATGAACAAATACATTAGTAAAAAACAGAGTACAGTCATCCCTAAGTATCAGTGGAGGATCAGTTCCAGGAACCCCATGGATACCAAAGTCTGAAGATGCTCAAGTCCCTGATATAAAATGGCATAATTACACCTGAAATCCCCACACTTTGGGAGGCTGAGGCAGGCAGATCAGTTGAGCTCAGGAGTTCAAGACCAGTCTAAGCAACATGGCGAAACCCCGTCTGTACAAAAAATAATTTTAAAAATGGCATAGTGAGGCAGCCAAGATGGCTGAATAGGAAGAGCTCCAGTCTACAGCTCCCAGTGTGAGTGACGCAGAAGACGGGTGATTTCTGCATTTCCATCTGAGGTACCGGGTTCATCTCACTAGGGAGTGCCAGACAGTGGGTGCAGGACAGTGGGTGTAGTGTACCATGCGCGAGTCGAAGCAGGGTGAGGCACTGTCTCACTCAGGAAGCACAAGGGGTCAGGGAGTTCCCTTTCCTAGTCAAAGAAAGCAGTGACAGACGGCACCTGGAAAATCGGGTCACTCCCACCCTAATACTGCACTTTTCCGATGGGCTTAATAAATGCTGCACAAGGAGATTATATCCCGCACCTGGCTCAGAGGGTCCTACACCCACGGAGTCTCACTGATTGCTAGCACAGCAGTCTGAGATCAAACTGCAAGGCGGCAGCGAGGCTGGGGGAGGGGCACACGCCATTGCCCAGGCTTGCTTAGGTAAACAAAGCAGCCAGGAAGCTCAAACTGGGTGGAGCCAACCACAGCTCAAGGAGGCCTGCCTGTCTCTGTAGGCTCCACCTCTTGGGGAAGGGCACAGACAAACAAAAAGAAAGCAGTAACCTCTGCAGACTTAAATGTCCCTGTCTGACAGATTTGAAGAGAGCAGTGGTTCTCCCAGCATGCAGCTGGAGATCTGAGAACAGGCAGACTGCCTCTGCAAATGGGTTCCTGACCCCTGACCCCCGAGGAGCCTAACTGGGAGGCACCCCCCAGTAGGGGCAGACTGACACCTCACACGGCAGGGTATTCCAACAGTCCTGTAGCTGAGGGTCCTGTCCATTAGAAGGAAAACTAACAAACAGAAAGGACATCCACACCAAAAACCCATCTGTACATCACCATCATCAAAGACCAAAAGTAGATAAAACCACAAAGATGGGGAAAAAACAGAGCAGAAAAACTGGAAACTCTAAAAAGCAGAGCGCCTCTCCTCCTCCAAAGGAATGCAGTTCCTCACCAGCAATGGAACAAAGCTGGACGGAGAATGACTTTGATGAGGTGAGAGAAGAAGGCTTCAAACGATCAAACTACTCCAAGCTACAGGAGGAAATTCAAACCAAAGGCAAAGAAGTTAAAAACTTTGAAAAAAATTTAGATGAATATAACTAGAATAACCAATATAGAGAAGTGCTTAAAGGAGCTGATGGAGCTGAAAGCCAAGGCTCGAGAAGTACGTGAAGAATGCAGAAGCCTCAGGAGCCGATGTGATCAATTGGAAGAATGGGTATCTGTGATGGAAGATGAAATGAATCAAATGAAACAAGAAGGGAAGTTTAGAGAAAAAAGAATAAAAAGAAATGAACAAAGCCTCCAGGAATTATGGGACTATGTGAAAAGACCAAATCTACGTCTGATTGGTGTACCTGAAAGTGATGGGGAGAATGGAACCAAGTTGGAAAACACTCTGCAGGATATTACCAGGAGAACTTCCCCAATCTAGCAAGGCAGGCCAACATTCAGATTCAGGAAATACAGAGAATGCCACAAAGATACTCCTCAAGAAGAGCAACTCCAAGATACATAATTGTCAGATTCACCAAAGTTGAAATGAAGGAAAAAATGTTAAGGGCAGCCAGAGAGAAAGGTTGGGTTACCCACAAAGGGAAGCCCATCAGATTAACAGCGGATCTCTTGGCAGAAACTCTACAAGCCAGAAGAGAGTGGGGGCCAATATTCAACGTTCTTAAAGAAAAGGATTTTCAACCCAGAATTTCATATCCAGCCAAACTAAGCTTCATAAGTGAAGGAGAAATAAAATACTTTACAGACAAGCAAATGCTGAGAGATTTTGTCACCACCAGGCCTGCCCTAAAAGAGCTCCTGAAGGAAGCACTAAACATGGAAAGGAACAACAGGTACCAGCCACTGCAAAATCGTGCCAAATTGTAAAGACCATCGAGGCTAGGAAGAAACTGCATCAACTAACCAGCAAAATAACCAGCTAACATCATAATGACAGGATCAAATTCACACATAACAATATTAACCTTAAATGTAAATGGACTAAATGCTCCAATTAAAAGACACAGACTGACAAATTGGATAAAGAGTCAAGACCCATCAGTGTGCTGTATTCAGGAAACCCATCTCACGTGCAGAGACACACATAGGCTCAAAATAAAAGGATGGAGGAAGATCTACCAAGCAAATGGAAAACAAAAAAAGGCAGGGGTTGCAATCTTAGTCTCTGATAAAATAGACTTTAAACCAACAAAGATCAAAAGAGACAAAGAAGGCCACTGCATAATGATAAAGGGATCAATTCAACAAGAAGAGCTAACTATCCTAAATGTATAGGCACCCAATACAGGAGCACCCAGATTCATAAAGCAAGTCCTGAGTGACTTACAAAGAGACTTAGACTCCCACACAATAATAATGGGAGACTTTAACACCCCACTGTCAACATTAGACAGATCAATGAGACAGACCCAGGAATTGAACTCAGCTCTGCACCAAGTGGACCTAATAGACATCTACAGAACTCTCCACCCCAAATCAACAGAATACACATTTTTTTCAGCACCACACCACATCTATTCCAAAATTGACCACATAGTTGGAAGTAAAGCTCTCCTCAGCAAATGTAAAAGAACAGAAATTATAACAAACTGTCTCTCAGACCACAGTGCAATCAAACTGGAACTCAGGATTAAGCAACTCACTCAAAACCGCTCAACTACATGGAAACTGAACAACCTGCTCCTGAATGACTACTGGGTACATAACAAAATGAAGGCAGAAATAAAGATGTTCTTTGAAACCAACGAGAACAAAGACACAACATACCAGAATCTCTGGGACACATTCAAAGCAGTGTGTGGAGGGAAATTTATAGCACTAAATGCCCACAAGAGAAAGCAGGAAAGATCTAAAATTGACACCCTAACATCACAATTAAAAGAACTAGAAAAGCAAGAGCAAACACATTCAAAAGCTAGCAGAAGACAAGAAATAACTAAAATCAGAGCAGAAATGAAGGAAATAGAGACACAAAAAACCCTTCAAAAAATTAATGAATCCAGGAGCTGGTTTTTTGAAAGGATCAGCAAAAGTGATAGACCACTAGCAAGACTAATAAAGAAGAAAAGAGAGAAGAATCAAATAGACACAATAAAAAATGATAAAGGGGATATCACCACCGATCCCACAGAAATACAAACTACCATCAGAGAATACTACAAACACCTCTATGCAAATAAACTAGAAAATCTAGAAGAAATGGATAAATTCCTCGACACATACACCCCCCCACCCAAGACTAAACCAGGAAGAAGTTGAATCTCTGAATAGACCAATAACAGGAGCTGAAATTGTGGCAATAATCAATAGCTTACCAACCAAAAAGAGTCCAGGACCAGATGGATTCACAGCCGAATTCTACCAGAAGTACAAGGAGGAATTGGTACCATTCCTTCTGAAACTATTCTAATCAATAGAAAAAGAGGGAATCCTCCCTAACTCATTTGATGAGGCCAGAATCATCCTGATACCAAAGCTGGGCAGAGACACAACCGAAAAAGAGAATTTTAGACCAATATCCTTGATGAACATTGATGCAAAAATCCTCAATAAAATACTGGCAAACCAAATCCAGAAGCACATCAAAAAGCTTATCCACCATGATCAAGTGGGCTTCATCCCTGGGATGCAAGGCTGGTTCAATATACACAAATCAATAAATGTAATCCAGCATATAAACAGAACCAAAGACAAAAACTACATGATTATCTCAATAGATGCAGAAAAGGCCTTTGACAAAATTCAACAACCCTTCAAGCTAAAAACTCTCAATAAATCAGGTATTGATGGGACATATCTCAAAATAATAAGAGCTATCTATGACAAACCCACAGCCAATATCATACTGAATGGGCAAAAACTAGAAGCATTCCCTTTGAAAACTGGCACAACACAGGGATGCCCTCTCTCACCACTCCTATTCAACATAGTGTTGGAAGTTCTGGCCAGGGCAATCAGGCAGGAGAAGGAAATAAAGGGTATTCAATTAGGAAAAGAGGAAGTCAAATTGTCCCTGTTTGCAGACGACATGATTGTATATCTAGAAAACCCCAGCGTCTCAGCCCAAAATCTCCTTAAGCTGATAAGCAACTTCAGCAAAGTCTCAGGATACAAAATCAATGTGCAAAAATCACAAGCATTCTTATACACCAATAACAGACAAACAGAGAGCCAAATCATGAGTGAACTCCCATTCACAATTGCTTCAAAGAGAATAAAATACCTAGGAATCCAACTTACAAGGGACATGAAGGACCTCTTCAAGGAGAACTACAAACCACTGCTCAATGAAATAAAAGAGGACACAAACAAATGGAAGAACATTCCATGCTCATGGGTAGGAAGAATCAATATCGTGAAAATGGCCATACTGCCCAAGGTAATTTACAGATTCAATGCCATCCCCATCAAGCTACCAATGACTTTCTTCACAGAATTGGAAAAAACTACTTTAAAGTTCATATGGAACCAAAAAAGAGCCCACATCGCCAAGTCAATCCTAAGCCAAAAGAACAAAGCTGGAGGCATCACACTACCTGACTTCAAACTATACTACAAGGCTACAGTAACCAAAACAGCATGGTACTGGTACCAAAACAGAGATATAGATCAATGGAACAGAACAGAGCCCTCAGAAATAACGCTGCATATCTACAACTATGTGATCTTTGACAAACCTGAGAAAAACAAGAAATGGGGAAAGGATTCCCTATTTAATAAATGGTGCTGGGAAAACTGGCTAGCCATATGTAGAAAGCTGAAACTGGATCCCTTCCTTACACCTTATACAAAAATCAATTCAAGATGGATTAAAGACTTAAACGTTAGACCTAAAACCATAAAAACCCTAGAAGAAAACCTAGGCATTACCATTCAGGACATAGGCATGGGCAAGGACTTCATGTCTAAAACACCAAAAGCAATGGAAACAGAAGCAAAAATTGACAAATGGGATCTAATTAAACTAAAGAGCTTCTGCACAGCAAAAGAAACTACCATCAGAGTGAACAGGCAACCTACAAAATGGGAGAAAATTTTCACAACCTACTCATCTGACAAAGGGCTAATATCCAGAATCTACAATGAACTCAAACAAATTTACAAGAAAAAAACAACCCCATCAAAAAGTGGACGAAGGATATGAACAGACACTTCACAAAAGAAGACATTTATGCAGCCAAAAGACACATGAAAAAATGCTCACCATCACTGGCCATCAGAGAAATGCAAATCAAAACCACAATGAGATACCATCTCACACCAGTTAAAATGGCAATCATTAAAAAGTCAGGAAACAACAGGTGCTGGAGAGCATGTGGAGAAATAGGAACAACTTTTACACTGTTGGTGGGACTGTAAACTAGGTCAACCATTGTGGAAGTCAGTGTGGCGATTCCTCAGGGATCTAGAACTAGAAATACCATTTGACCCAGCCATCCCATTATTGGGTATATACCCAAAGGACTATAAATCATGCTGCTATAAAGACACATGCACACGTATGTTTATTGCGGCATTATTCACGATAGCAAAGACTTGGAACCAACCCAAATGTCCAACAATGATAGACTGGATTAAGAAAATGTGGCACATATACACCATGGAATACTATGCAGCCATAAAAAAGGATGAGTTCATGTCCTTTGTAGGGACATGGATGAAATTGGAAATCATCATTCTCAGTAAACTATCGCAAGGACAAAAAACCAAACACTGCATGTTCTCACTCATAGGTGGGAACTGAACAATGAGAACACATGGACACAGGAAGGGGAACATCACACTCTGGGGACTGTTGTGGGGTGGGGGGAGAGGGGATAGCATTAGGAGATATACCTAATGCTAAATGACGAGTTAATGTGTGCAGCACACCAGCATGACACATGTATACATATGTAACTAACCTGCACATTGTGCACATGTACCCTAAAACTTAAAGTATAATAATAATAAAATTTTTTAAAAAATGGCATAGTATTTGCATATAATTGATGAACATCCTCCTGTATAGTTTAAGTCATCTCCAGATTACTGACAATGCTATATAAATTGTGGTTACACTATATATTTTAAATTTGTATTTTAAAAGTATTAAATTGTTATTTTTTATTTTTCAAATATTTTCAATCAGCAGTCAGTGGAATCCCTAGATGTGGAAACTACAGATACAGAAAGCTGTCTCTATGTCAGATGGCGATGAAAGCTAAAGAGAAAAATAAAACCAGAAAGGGGAAAGGGGAGCTGCAAGTTGAATACGTGGTCAAGGAAGGCCTTGCTAAGAAGGTGCCACTTGAGCAAAGACCAGAAGGAGTTGAGGGGTGATCTATGCTGGTATTGGAGGAAGAACCTTCCAGAGAATGCAATAGACCAGGGGATGAAATCCCAAATCCTTTGATGTTCTTGTGGACATTCCCAAAGGTGAGACCATACTGCTGAGGTGTTCTAAGAGTCCTGAGATTGAGAACAGAAAGAAAGGAAGCCCCTCAATATGACTGACTAGAGGCGTCTGGTACTCGCCTCCTCCATAAAGAACCACTGAAGTATTGAGAAGATAATCACACTTCAAATATACCATCTAAGAGAGAACGCTGGAATTCAACAGAGAAGTGACAGGAAACACCTAAAGCAAAGAAAGAGAGGGAAGTGAGGCAGCCTGCTCAGCTGCCTCACCAGACTTGGCTGCCTTGGGCCTGAGGATCAGCCCACCCCTTCCTACCACAGCCAACACATGCATGCACCACCAGGGAGCCTGAGGATAGAGCCACCTGGCCTGGCTCTGCACTGCCAGTGCCTGAGCACATTGTCTGGGGACCTGGGGACCACCCAGCTCAATCCACCACCATTGACACTTGAGCACTCCTCCCAGGGGCCTGAAGTTGGGCCCACCAAACCTGCTGCTACCACCACAGCAGGCACCCACCCATGGGCCTGGGGGTTGAACTACCCGGTCTGTCACAGCCACCACTAACACCAGCATGGAACACTTGGAACCCAGAGGTTAGTCCCACAACTACTCTGCCATTGTCCATGCCACACCTGCTGCCCAGGAGCCTGAGAACCTGTTCATCTGCTTAGCCTACCACTGGCACTACCTATACCTGAGCAAGCCACCTGGAGGTCCACGAATTGACCCACTTGAACTCAGTAGCACTGGTGCCAGCATATGCTACCCTGTGGCGCAAGGATAGGCATACTTGGCCCACCACTGCCACCACTAGGGTCCAAAGACAGCCCCCCGCACCCAGTATTCCCATATCCAGCAAAACTTTGCCGCAGGCTTCATTAACAACTGCACTCTAAGTCATTGAGGAAATCAGAAACCACCAACATTATTTACAGCAAAAGAAATCATACAGAGACTATACTACTACACGCACGCAGAATCAAAGCCAATGTGTCCTATCCAACCAACACTATATCAATATCTTCAGGAAAAAAAGTGCTCCCCTACAAAAGCAAATTCAAAATATCAAAAGAAGCAACTCTTACATCAGATGCATAGACAGCAATGTAAGGTCACATGAAACATGAAGGAAGCTATCATACAAAAGCATGACACCTCTAAAAGAACACAATGATTCACCAGCAACAGACTTCAATCAAGAAATTTATGAAACCTCAAAAAGAGAATTCAAAATAATGATATTAAGAAGCTTAAGAAAATACAGAAGAACAATATAAAGAAATTAGAAAAACAATTTGGGATATGAATGAGAAATTTTCCAAAAAGATAAATGTCATTTAAAAAATGAAACAAATTCTAGAACTGAAGGATTAAATGAAATACAAAATACATGCAAAAGCTTCAAAAATAGATTAGAGCAAGCAGAAGGAAGACTTTCAGAGCTCTAAGTTCTTTTGAAATAACCCAGGCAGACAAAAATACAGAGAAAAGAATTTTTTTAAATGAAAAAAGCCTACATGACATATGAGATACCATAAAGCAACCAAATATTCAAATTTTTGGTATCACAGAAGGTGAAGAGAAAATGAAGGGGTTAGAAAACCTATTTAATGAAATAATAGCTGAAAACCTCCCAAGACTAAAAACAAATTTAGACATCAAGATGCAGGAAGCTCAGAGATTCCCAAACAGATACAATGCAAAAAGGTCTTCTCTACTGTACATTATAGCCAAGGTGTTAACAGTCAAAGATAAAGAGACAATTCTAAAAACAGCAAGAGAAAGGCATCTAGTCACTTAGAACTCCCAACAGACTAACAGTGGATTTCTCAGCAGAAATGTTACAAGCTAGGAAAGAATGAGATGATATATTCCAAGTGCTGAAAGAAAAAAATGTCAGCCAAAGATACCATATTTAGCTAAGTTATGCTTCATAAATGATGGTCAAATAAAGTCTTTCCTAGACAAGCAAAAGGTGACAGAATTCATCACCATTAGACTGGTCCTACAAGAAATGCTTAAGGGAGTTCTATACCTAGAAGCAAAGGGATAATATCTACCATCATGAAAACACATGAAACTATAAAACCCACCGGTGGAGCAAACACATAAATAAGCAAGAAAATGGAATCAAATGCTACCACTACCAAAGAAAACTACCAAACCACAATGATACACAATGAGAGAAAGAAAGGAACAAAGGACATACAAAACAACAAGAAATCAATTAACAAAATGATAGGAATAAATCTTCACATACCAATAACGACCTTGAATGTAAACAGATTAAACTTTCCACTTAAAAGATATAGACTGGATGAATGGATGAAAATACAAGACCCAACTCTAGACTGCCTACAAGAAACTCATCCCACCTGTAAACATACACATAGACTGAAAGAAAAAGGATGGAAAGAGATATTCTATGCAAATGAAAACCAAAAGTAAGCAGGAGTAGCTATACTTAGATTGAAAGACAAAACAGTACAAAGAGATAAAGGTCATTATATAATAATAACGGGATTAATTCAGCAAAATGATATAACAGTTCTAAACAAATATGCACCCAGCAGTGAAGCACCTAGATATATAAAGCAAATATTAGATTTAAAGGAAGAGAGATACTTCAATACAATAATTGGGAACTTCAACACCCTACTCACAGCATTAGACAGATCATCTACCAGGGGTGTCCAACCTTTTGGCTTCTGTGGGCCACATTGGAATAATTGTCTTGGACCATCCATAAAATACACTAATGATAGCTGATGAACTTAAAAAAAAAAATCACAAAAAAAATCTCAATTTTTTATTTTTATTTTTTTTAATTAAGTCTTGCTCTGTCACCCAGGCTAGGCTAGAGTAGAGTGGCGCGATCTTGGATCACTGCAACTTCTGCCTTCCGGGTTCAAGCAATTCTCCTGCCTCAGCCTCTTGAGTAGCTGAGACTACAGGTGTGGGCCACCACGCCTGGCTAATTTTTGTATTTTTAGTAGAGATGGGGTTTCACCATGTTGCTCAGGCTGGTCTTGACCGCTTGACCTTGTGATCCGCCTGCCTCTGCCTCCCAAAGTGCTGGGATTACAGGCGTGAGCCACCACGCCCAGCCAAAAATCTCAATGTTTTCATAAAGTTTATGAATTTATGTTGGGCCACATTCAAAGCTGTCCTGGGCTGCACACAGCCCTTGAGTTGGACAAGCTTGATTGGTCTAGACAGGAAATTCAAAAAAAAACACTGGAATTCAACTGCACATTAGACCAAATGGACCTAACAGACATTTACAGTACATTTCACCCAGCTACACAACACACACTCCTCTCATTAGTACTTGGAACATTCTCCAGGATCAACCATATGTCAGAACACAAAAACAAGTTTTAACAAAATTTTAAAGTCAAAATTATGTCAAGTACCTTCTCAGACCACAGTGGAATAAAACTAAAAATTAACAACAAGAGGAACTTGAGTAATTGCACAAATACATGGAATTTAAACAACATGCTCCTAAATGACAATTGGGTCAAGGAAGAAATTAAGGAGGAAATAGAAACATTTCTTAAAACAAATGAAAATTGAAACACAATATACTAAAACCTATGGGATACAGCAAAAGCAGTGCTAAGAGGAAAGTTTATAGCAGTAAATGTCTACATCAAAAAAGTAAAAATATTTCAAATGAACAATCTAACAATGTACCTTGAGGAACTAGGAAAATAAGAATAAAGCAAACTCAAAATTAGTAAAAGGAAAGAAATAATAAAGATCAGAACAGAACTAGATAAAATTTAGACTTAAAAAAATACAAAGGATCAGCAGGGAGCGGTGGCTCACGCCTGTAATCCCAGCACTTTGGGAGGCCAAGGCGGGTGGATCACAAGGTCAGGCATTTGAGACCAGCCTGGCCAACATGGCAAAATTCTGTCCCTACTAAAAATACAAAAAATTAGCCAGGCGTCGTGGCAGGTGCCTGTAGTCGCAGCTACTCAGGAGGCTGAGGCAGGAGAATCACTTGAATCCGGGAGGCAGAGGTTGCAGTGAGCCGACATCATGCCACTGCACTCCAGCCTGGGTGACAGAGTAACACGCCATCTCAAAGCAAACAAACCAAAAAAAACAAACAAAAACAAAACAAAAAACAAAAATACAAACGATCAATAAAACAAAAAGTTGTTTTTTTAAAAAAAGATAAACAAAACCAACAAACAGGGATTACTTTGAATCTGTAGATTGCTTTAGACAGCTAGGCTAACCAAGAAAAAAAGAGAGAAGACCCAAATAAAATCAGATATGAAAATGGAAACATTAAAAACTGACACCACAGAGATACAAAAAGTTACAGACCATTATGAACAACTATACACTAATAAAATAGAAAATCTACAGGCAATGGATAAATTCCTGGATACATACAATCACCAAGAGTGAATCAGGAAGAAACAGAAAACCACAGCAGACCAATAATGAATAATGAGATTGAATCAGTAATAAAAAGTCTCCCAACAAAGCAAAGTTCAGGACTGGATGACTTCAGTGTGAAATTCAACCAAACTTTCATCAAGAACTAATACCAATTCTCCTCAAACTATTCTAAAAAGTTAAAGAGGAGGGAATTTTCCATAACTCATTCTATGAGGCTGGCATTACCCTGATACCAAAACCAGACAATGATGCAACAACAAAAAAAAAACTGCAGACCAATATCCCTGATAAA
The DNA here is from genome assembly GCF_000001405.40 of Homo sapiens. NCBI lineage: Eukaryota > Metazoa > Chordata > Mammalia > Primates > Hominidae > Homo > Homo sapiens. The sequence goes on along the minus strand of NC_000008.11, from coordinate 25,649,779 downwards.
CATAGACACAAAAATCCTCAACAAAATAACAGCAAAAAAAATCCAACAACACATCAAAAAGATAAGACACCATGATCAAGTCCTCAGGAGGCAAGGATGGGTCAAAAAAAGCAAATCAATAAACGTGATACATCACATCAACAGAATGAAGGACAAAAACCATATGGTCATCTCAACAGTTGCAGAGAAAGCATTTGATAAAATTCAACATCCTTTTATGATGAAAAGTCTCAACAACTAGTTATTGAGGGAACATAACACAACATAATAAAGACCACAGATGACAAACCCACAGCTAACATGATACTGAATGGAGAAAAACTGAAAGCCTTTCCTCTAAGAACTGGAACAAGACAAGGATGCCCACTTTAGCCACTCCTATTCAACAGAGTGCTGGAAGTCCTAGCCAGAGCAGTCAAGCAAGAGAAAGAAATAACAGGCATCCAAATTGTAAAGGAGGAAGTCAAATTTTCCCTCTTTGCAGATGATATAATGGTACATATTTTTAATTTTTGGATCTCATATTGAAGGAATGATATTATATATAGAAAAACCTAAAGATTATACCAGAAAACTCTTAGATATGATAAATTCAGTAAAGCTGCAGGATACAAAATTAACATACACTATTCTATACACCAATAGTGTACTGGCTGAGAAAGAAATCAAGAAGCCAATTCCATTTACAATGCCTACCAATAAATTAAAATATCTAAATATAAATTTAACCAAAAAGATGAAAGACCTCTATAAGAAAAACTGCAAAACACTGATAAAAGAAATTGAAGAGGACACAAATGGAAAGATATCCCATGCTCATGGATTAGAAGAATTAATATTGTTAAATACCCATACTGCCCAAAGCAATCTACAGATTCAAAGTAATCTGTATGAAAGTACCAACATAATTTTTCACAGAAATAGAAAAAACAATCTTACAATTCATATGGAACCAAAGAGAGCCAGAATAGACACAGCAATCCTGAGCAAAAAGAACAAAGTTGGAGACATCCCACTACCTGGAATCAAAACATATTACAAGGCTATAGTAAGCAAAACAGCATGGTATTGGTATTAAAAACAGACACATACACCAATGGAATAGAGAACCCAGAAATAAATCCATATATTTACAGCTAGCTGATTTTCAACAAAGGGGCCAAGAACAAACATTGGGGAAAGGACATCATGTTCAATAAATGGTGCTGGGAAAATTGAATATTCATACACAGAAGCATAAAACTGGACCCCTATCTCTCATCATATAGAAAAATCAACTCAAGTTAGATAAAAGACTTAAATCTAAGACGAAACTATAAAACTACTAGAAGAAAACACAGGGGAAACACTTCAGGACATTGGTCTGGGCAAAAATTTTATGCCTAAGACCTCGAAAGCACAGGCAACGAAAACACAAATGGGACTATATTAAAGTAAAAAGCTTCTACACAGCAAAGAAAATAATCAACAGAGCGAAGAGACAACTTGTTGAACGGGTGAAAATATTTGCCAACTATTCATCTGAGAAGGTACTAATATCCGGAATATACAAAAACTCATACAACTCAATAGCAAAAACAAAAACAAATAATGCCTAAAAAGTGGGGAAAGGACAGGAATAGATATTTCTCAAAAGAAGACATACAAATGGCCAACAGATATACAACAAAATGTTCCCCATCACTAAACATCAGAGAAATGCAAATCAAAACCACAATGAGGCTGGGCACAGTGGCTCACGCATGTAATCCCAGCACTTTAGTAGGCCAAGGTGGGTGGATTACCTGAGGTCAGGAGTTCGAGACCAGCCTGACCAATATGGTGAAACCCCATCTCTCCTAAAAATACAAAAAGTTAGCCTGTGCCTGTAGTCTCAGCTACTCAGGAGGCTGGGACAGGAGAATTGCTTGAAACCAGGAGGCAGAGGTTGCAGTGAGCTGAGATCATAACACTGAACTCCAGCCTAAACGATAGAGTGAGACTCCGTCTCAAAAAAACAAACAAAACACAATGAAATATCATTTTACCCCCAGTTAGAATGGCTGTTATTAAAAAGATAAAAAGTAACAGATGCTGGTGAGGATATGGAGAAAAGTGAACTCTTACACACTGTGAGTGGGAATGTAAATTAGTACAACCACGGAAAATAGTATGGAGATTTCTCAGAAAACTAAAAATGGAACTACCATATGATCCTGCCACCTTGCTACTCTGTGTTTATCTACGAAAGAAATCAGTATGTCAAAGAGATATCTGCGCTTTCATGTTCACTGCAGCACTACTCACAATAGTTAAGATATGGAAACAATGTACAATCCACTAATGAATGAAGAAAATGTGAGATGTATAAACACACACTATGAAATACTGTTCACACATTAAAAAGGATGAAATAATGTAATTTGAAGCAACATGGATGGAACTGCACATCATTATATTAAGTGAGATGATGCCCAGGCTCAGAAAGACAAATACCATATGTTCTCGCTCACATGTGGGAGCTAAAAATATTGATATCACAGAGGTAGAGAATAGAATAATAGATACCAGAGGCTGGGAATGGTGTGGATCTGTAGAGGGGAGGGAATACAGACAGACTGGCTAACAGGTACAAAGAGACAAACATACACTTAGAAGAAATAAATTATAATGTTCAACAGCAGAGTTGCGTGACTAAAGTTAACAGTATTGTATTGTATATTTCAAAACAGCTAGGAGGGGACTTGAAATATTCTCAACACATAGAAATAATAAATACTAGAGGTGGGCCGGGCACGGTGGCTCACGCCTGTAATCCCAGCACTTTGGGAGGCCAAGGCGGGTGGATCACAAGGTCAGGCATTTGAGACCAGCCTGGCCAACATGGCAAAATTCCATCCCTACTAAAAATACAAAAAAAAAATTAGCTGGGCATGGTGGCGGACGCCTGTAGTCCCAGCTACTCAGAAGGCTGAGGCAGGAGAATGGCGTGAACCTGGGAGGCAGAGCTTGCAGTGAGCCTAGATCGTGACACTGTACTCCAGCCTGGGTGACAGAGCAAGACTCCGTCTCAAAAAAAAAAAATAAATAATAAATATTAGAGGTGGTAGATATCTCAAATACCCTGACTTGATCATCACAGTCTATGCATGTAACAAAATATCACATGTACCCCACAAATATGTATGAATGTTGATATCAATAAAAAATGCAAACCAAATAATAATAATCATAGGAAGAAACATGACTTACCCACTACATATTCTTGACCATCCCTGAAAAGTCTCGTTCTTGCCTTAGTATTTTTTATACAGGTATCAACCCATCGTGTTACACTGAGATGCTAATAATCCTTGTTTGAAAAGCCCCCAGCACCAGGCTCGGTGGCTCATGCCTGTAATCCCAACACTTTGGGAAGCCAAGGCAGGCAGATCACCTGAGGTCGGGAGTTTGAGACCAGTCTGGCCAACATGGAGAAACCCCATCTCTACTAAAAATACAAAATTAGCCGGGTGTGGTGGTGCATGCCTGTAATCCCACCTACTAGGGAGGCTGACGCAGGAGAATCATTTGAACCCGGGAGGCAGAGGTTGAGGTGAGCCTAGATGGCGCCATTGCACTCCAGCCTGGGCAACAAGAAGGAAACTCTGTCTCCAAAGAAAAAAAAAAAAAGAAAAAGAAAAGCCCCCAAATGCAAGTGACTCATGTTGAAATCCCACTTCAGAGGCCCGTGCAAGAAATTATCATCACTTTAAGAATACACAGAAACTACTAAGTTTTTCCTGCAGCTCTCTCATGTCTACAAAACTGAGTAGAAGAGTGTGCCCTTTGGGGCCAACAAAGCGACCCCTTCAAGATTCTGTTGCCAAGCAGGGTAACGTGCTTTCAAACCCAAAGCATTTTAGTCCTCAAAGGAAAGCCCAGCCCCTCCACAGCTTGGGTGTCCCGCTGGCCACAGAGCCACTGTCCCGGGCTGCTACCCTCTGCGCTCAGCCCCTCCCCTCCACCGCCCCTGCCCTCATTCCATTATTAGGTATGCATTTCAGATTTTGAATGGATCTCCTTGTCTGGCGTTAATTGACAGTGAAAGCCCGGTTTTCAAAGCCAAGGTACAAGCACTGAAGGTAAGTGATCAGAGGACTGCCCTCGCAATAAATCACTGCAGCGCAGGTCACTGTTTGGAGTGTGAATGCAGTGTTCAATAAAGAAACACACTCCACCTTTCAGCTTCAAGCCGACCCTAGCTAATTGACCTCATTGTAGTCCCCCCATTAATCATTCTGGCACATGGGGCAAGAGGCAGTTTCACTGCTTAGGTTTGCAGGGAGGAGGGGGACCGCGTCCATGTAGGGGTGGTTGAGGGTTGAGGGGGCAGTTATAATGTAAAAGGAAATCATAGACAATTCTGTCTTAATTAACTCATTGGATTTCCAGGTTGACCAGATATGGTTAACTTTGCTAAAGGAATGTGGGGAATAGTGCAAGGGCCTTCATTAACTTCATGCCAGGTCGCAGGAGTTTGAGGCTGTAACAAAAGCAGATGTGAGCATCTGTAGCCCATCCAGAGAGCAGCATTGCCAAAGGAGCGGGGCGTTCGCCTAATGCTACATAATCATTCAGTGTCATCGATCTCCCCAGACCCTGATTAATAAATTGCAGCAGAAGTCTTTTACGGTGGTGACTACAATTTTATTTCACCTATTAGAAGCCCGTCACAGTGCACACCAGTCATGCAGGACGAGCTTACACACCCCTCCCTCCCACCCCTCCAGGCCTCTCCATTGCTCTGAATTTGCTTTGCTTGTGCACCTCCATGGGCCTGTTTTGGTTGAGAAACATGGGGTGCCTTTTGCAGGTCCCTCCATCATGCCAAGCTAACCCCAAGCTGACCACAGGGAACAGAAAGGGAGCGTCAACAAAGGGGTCAGTTCAAACAGCAGCTTGAGGTTTGTTTTTTTTAATGCAACACAGCAAACATAATTTAGGCAGCCATGGTGTGCCAAGCACCAGAAAGAAACACACGCGTGCACACACACATGATTTGCGTGCACACACACAACATGATTTGGTTATGGAACTTGGAATCTGCATTGATCCATTTATATTTTCAAAATGCGAGATCTGCCTTTTTGTACCAAGCTGCTTTAAAAGGTCTGTTTCCCCATGATTAGTCACAATTATTCAAGAATGCAATAGTTTCACAGTTCACAGGGGTAAACAAAGCCCCACAGGTCAGCAACTTTCATTTTGAGAGGAAGAAAATGAAAAAGAGAGGAGGGTGAAGGGAGAGCCAATGCTCATTTTATACTGAGTATCTCTCGCTGCTGCTGTCTTCCCTGTGTTTCATTACTGTTAATGAACTTAATTGTTTGGTTTCAAAACCCCAGCCTGAAGGCATCACTCTCCATCCCCCTCAGTGCTGAGATTCAGTCTTGCTGATCTCCAAATTGACTTGTAAGCAAATATTTCAAGTCTGTGACCTTCCCTGACATGCACCTGGGGGAGAAAATTCAGGCCAAGACTCCAGGACAAATTCAGATGGAGCGTCAAGAAAGACAGAGAGGGTGCATTCAGATCCCCACTTGGTACTGTGTGTAATTCAATTCCACTTAACTATATTTACGGCGTATCTACTATATGGTCCAGTAATCATGCCAGTCTTTGGGTTTAGAAAGTTGATAAAACACAGTCACTGACCTCCAGGAGGGCATGGTTTCTTACCAGCCCAGCAAACATATCACATTTCCTTGGCTCTATTATCAACAACACAACCACACCTACGGGACCTGCGAGCTAAAGCAGCTCTACTCAGGGAGAAGCTCACAGGCTTTGGAATCACAGATGTAGGTAGACTTTGAAGTTTGTCTATTTGCAAGCTATGCAGGCTTGTCCACATCATTTAACCTCATCAAGATGCAGTCATATCTACCCCTCTTGCATTACTATAATATGTGCAAAGTGCTGGTTCTGCCCCACTGTAAAGGCTAGGCTTTCTATAAGAAAATTCTGATGAATTATTGCAAATACTAAAGATATAGTTTGGATATCTTGTCCTCACCCAAATCTCATGTTGAATTGTAATCCCCAATGCTGGAGGTGGGGCCTGGTGGGAGGTGTTTGGATCATGAGGTTGGATACCTCATGAATGGCATGAGCCAGCCCCTTCATGATAAGTGAGCTCTTGCTCTGAGTTCACACAGGTTAGGGTGGTTTAAAAGTGTGTGGCACCTCCCCCGCCCAATATCCAATATTCTTTCTTTCTCTCTCTCTCTCGCTCCTGCTTGCGCCATGTCCTATGCCTGCTCTCCCTTACCTTTTGCCATGAATGGAAGCTTCCTGAGGCCTCCCAAACAGATGCTGGCACCATGCTTCCTGTACAGCTTGCAGAACTGTGAGCCAATTAAACCTTTCTTATAAAATACCCAGTCTCTGTTTTTTGTTTATATAGCAGTGCAAAAACAGTCTACTACAACTACTCACAAAGATTATAATACATCAGACTAAAATAAAAACAAATCCATTCTAGTATGTCCTTTTTTTACTCCTTCTTCTAGAAACAAAACATTGTGTCAACCTTAGCACACAAACCAGGAACAGCAACCCCCCACCTTCAACAGGAAGCCCTTGGAGGCTTCACTGCCCTCTCCATTCAAATCTGATTTTCTTCCAAGCCCATCACACACTCCACCTGCTTCAAGTCAATCTTCGACTGCACTCAGAGCCCACACCATTCATTTTTACATATGGAATGATCAAAACCAAAAATGTCAGATAGTCTCAAGAACTATAGATCTTTCTTGACCTTTTCACGTAGGTGCGTTAGTCAGGGTTCCCCAGAGAAACAAAACCACCAGGAAAATCTGTCTTATAGATACAGAAGAGGGTATGTATTATTGGAATTGGCTCACAAAATTATGGAGGTCAAGTCCCATGATCTTCCAACTGCAAGAGGAATAACCTTAAGGACCAGTGGTATAATTCAGTCTAAGTCTGAAGGCTTGAGAACTAGAGGAGCCAGCAATGTAACTCTCAGTCTAAGGCTTAAGGCTCAAGAACTGGGAGCACCAGTGTCTGAGTGCAGGATAAGACAACTGTCCAGTTCAAGGAGAGAGCGAGGAAATTCACTCTTCTGCCTTTTTGTTCTATCTGGGCCCTTAGTTGGATGACTCTCATCCACGCTGATGAAGGCAGATCCACACTACTCAGTCCACCAATTCAGATACAAATCTCTCCTGGAAACACCCTCATGGACACATCCAGAAAGCATGTTTACCAGCTGTCTGGGCATCCCCTAGACCAGTCATGTTGACATCTTGGTTTAACTGTGATTAATTTCAGATTTAAAGAAGTTAAAAGAGTTGTTCAAGTTTGCACAGCTGGTTAATGTTAGTTAGAGCTAAAGCTCAGTGCTTTTGATAGCAAGCCCAGTGATCTTTCTATTACATGAGATTGGTTATATCCAATGACATTCAGATTAGTACCTTATTTTATGCTGCATTAACATGTCCTCCAGGCTGGGTGTGGTGGCTCATGTCGATAATCCCAGCATTTTGGGAGGCCAAGGCAGGTGGATTGCTTGAGCCCAGGAGTTTGAGACCAGCCTGGGCCACACGGTAAAACCTCATCTCTACTAAAAATACCAAAATTGGCTGAGTGTGGTGGCAAATGCCTGTAGTCCCAGCTACTCAGGAGGCTAAGGTGGGAGGAACACCTAAGCCTGGGGAGGTCGAGGCTGCAGTGAGCTGTGATTGTGTCACTGCCCTCCAGCCTGGGTGACAGAGTGAGACCTTGTCTCAAAAAAAAGAAAAGTGTCCTCCAACAATTTAATGTGCTATCATAGCTTCCCTTACTGGTCTCTAGGCTTCCTCTCTTATCTTCATTTTAGTCCAGATCTGCACATCACTCTCCTGATTAAAATAGTATTAGGCTTCTGGTTTAAAATAGTATCTGAATCTAAGCCTTAATTCAATCTTTTCCAACATCCCGCTAAAATATCCTTTTTTTTTTTTTTTTTTTTTTTGAGATGGAGTCTCACTCTGTCACCAAGGCTAGAGTGCAGCAGTGCAATCTAGGCTCACTGCATCCTCCACCTCCCGGGTTTAAGCAATTCTCTGCCTCAGCCTCCCGAGTAGCTGGAATTACAGGTGCCCACCACCATGCCCAGCTAATTTTTTTTTTTTTTGTATTTTTAGTAGACACCAGGTTTCACCATCTTGGCCACGCTGATCTTGAACTTCTGACCTCGTGATCCACCTGCCTTGGCCTCCCAAAGTGCTGGGATTACAGGTGTGAGCCACCGTGCCTGGCCTAAAATATATTTTAAAAAACTTTTAAAAAGTTAAAACCCAACTCAATTAAAAGATTAAAAACCACCAGAGGAAAAGAAAATCTTCCAGACAACATAATGCCAAACCCAGAAGGAATCCCCAGAATCTACAGAAAAACAGAGTTTTGTTAAATAAAATCTGGCCAATTATTGCCTCATGAATCTCAGTCTGTGCTTCATAAAATGGAGATCATTTAAAAAGAAAGGAAGACAGGAGAGAAAGAAAACAAAGAGAAAAAGAGAGAAAAGAGAAAGGAAGATAAGTCATCCCTTCCTTACCGTTGTCTCCTGACTCAGACCCGGAAGCTGTAAGACCCAGAAACCTGGGGTGCAGGTGCCACCTTTTAGTCTCGGCAGGTACTATTCCCCTCTGTCACATGTTCTCACCCAACATTTGTTTTACAACCAATCAGATATAGCAATGCCCAGAAACATCTAAACAGGAAATGTGGGGAAACAGTAGTAACACATCACAGCCTAGGCCAAACCCCAGCAAAAAGTCTCTTTAGATAGGAGCAGAGGTAGAAATAAACAAGGTGGCTGTATCTTTTAGGAGCAGAGCAGCTATGTACTCCATCAGTCCAGAGAGTCATCTGTCCAAGCGGAGGGGAAGAACACATAACCATTAGAAAGCAGCTCTAACCCATGGTTTCAATGCTAGCAAATATCCACTAATATGCCTCAAGGTAGCTTTTGGGCAAAGCAGATAAGGATGTCATAAATGTCAGCATCCATTGATAATTCAACATACATTTTACGAAATGTGTTAGTGAAATGAATAGGAAATACATTCGTAATTCGATTTCTATGAAAAATCATCTGTGCTTACTTCAGGAAAATATATACTAAAATTTCAAAAGACACAGGCATGGATAAAATGTAACCTCTTCAGATGATCCCTACTTTTATATCTTGCTCAAGAAATGCACAGTAAGAAAAAGAAAATCTCTTTGAAAACAGCATCTAATATACCTAAAGCAAAAGCATTCTTTTAAAATCAAGAACAAAACAAAGATGTATTTAGCATTGTTGAGGAAATTTTGGTCAATGCGATAAGTCCAAAACACATTAACGAGGTGTAAATATAGAAAAGAATAGAAAATGATTCTTTGCAGATGATATTATTTGTCTAAAACATCCATGTGCATCAACTAAACAATGATTGAGTCTAATACCTTTGTCAACCTTTACTTCATTTTACAATCACCTGGAAAGCTTTTAAAAACTATCAATACCTGGGGCTCACCCCAGAAATTCTGATATAATTGTTCTTGACTGAGGCCTGGCTCCATGTCTGTTTTAAAAGCTGCCAGATGCCTTTAATATGCATCCAAGCTTGAGAACCACTAATAAAAAACACAGGAAATACACAAAATCCAATAGATTTTTCTTTATGCCACCAAGGACCAATTACAAAATATCATGCAGAGAAAATTCCACTAATAACTGTATAAAACATTCATAATAATAGAATTACCATGTGATCCAGCACTTCTACTTCTATATATATACCCCAAATAATTTAAATCAGGATCTCAAAGAGATATTTTTACACTCAAGTTTATATCAGTATTATTCATGATACCGAGTTGGCAGCCAAATAAGCATTCATGGATGAATGAATGGATAAACAAAATGTGATATACACATATGATAGAATATTACTCAATCTTTAAAAGGAAAGAAATTCTGACTCACACTACAACATGAATGAACCTTAAGGATTTTAAGTGAAATAAGCCAGTCACAAAAAGAAAAATACTTTATATAATTCCATAAAGAAAAGTACTTTATGTGAAGTACCTAGGGTAGTCAAATTCACAGAAATAGAAAGTAGAATGGCGGCTGCCAGAGGCTGGAGTAAGTGGGAATGAGGAGTTGTTCAATGAGTACAGAGTTTTCCTTTTGCAACATGAAAAGAGTCCTGAACATGGGTTATATTAAAATATGAATGAGCTGAAAATGAGCTTTACTGCTGAACTATATGCTTAAAAATAGTTAGGATGGTAAATTTTATGTTATGTCTATTTTACCACAACTTAAAGCATTTTAAAGTCATTTAAAAGAAAAAAACAAAAAAATAAGTTTTAAAACAAATGCTATATGAAGAAATATCATATGAGGAAATACTTCTTCATGAGATGGCTCAATGTCATAAAGATGCCCATTATTTTTAAATTAATTTATAAATGTGTTTCATTTCAATCAAATCTTAAACATGTTTTGTGTAGCTGAACAAAATAATTCTTCAGCTTGTTAAAAAGAATAAACATCTGCTACCAGACAAGAAAAAACAGGACTTCAAGGTGGCCTGAATTTCCCAATATTAAAATGTATTAGAAAGATACACTACTTAAAAGAATATGATAATAGCACAGGGAATGACAGACAGACCATTAAAGTGAAACAGAAAGCTCTGAAATTCACCCCATATGCATAAGAATTCGTGATAAAGGTGAACAGAGAGTAACAACGAATTACTTAATAAGATATGTTTAGACAACTGTTTAGCCATTTGGGAGAAAAGTAAAGTTAGATATCTACCTTACACCATGTACCAAAATAAATTTCACATGACCTATAACTTTCAATGTAAAAAAAAATAAGTAATTTTTTAAAACCTAGAAAAAGTACAGATGGAGATTTTTTAATCTCAAGGCAAGAAAAAACTTTCTAAGCAGTCTCTGGAAGACAAAGATAAAGCAAGGAGCTTGAAAGCTGATTCCTCAGGGCTGAGGATGGTGGAAGGCTGGGAGAGAGAGGACTCAAAGAATACACAGCTAAGAGTGAAGGGTGGGGCTTCACACATACTATGACTCCTGTAGGGACCCTGAAGGACCCTGCAGTTCACCCAGGGACCCTGAAAAGGCTGCACTGTCAGTAAAGAGTGAACTTTAAAACTCCATTTAACACCTCAGTGAAGAAAAAAGTGTCATTATCTCTGACTAGGTTTCTGGGGAGCAAAAAAGGAAATAAAAACCTACTGGAAGAAGGTGAAAACTCAAGTCTATGCCTTATGCGGGCACAAAGTACAAATTAGCACTGTTTTTTTTTGGTGTTGTTTTTTGTTTTTGTTTTTTTTGGTAAAAGAAGTCCCAAGCCAATGATTTTTTTTGAAAGAGCACATGTGGCTCTAACAAGAATACTTTTTTAATGCTCACTGTGGCTGAGCTTCCAAAAATATTATAAATCACAAGAGAAAATAATCTGTGAGCAACAGTCATAAGTTTTAAAAAGGTGGCAGTTACCAGCCGGGCGTGGTGGTGTCTCACGCCTGTAATCCCAGCACTTTGGGAGGCCGAGGCGGGAGGATCATGAAGTCAGGAGATCGAGACCATCCTGGCTAACATGGTGAAACCCCATCTCTACTAAAAATACAAAAAATTGCAGGGTGTGGTGGCGGGCACCTGTAGTTCCAGCTACTCAGGAGGCTGAGGCAGGAGAATGGAGTGAACCCGGGAGGCGGAGCTTGCAGTGAGCTGAGATCATGCCACTGCACTCCAGCCTGGGCAACAGAGCGAGACTCCCATCTCAAAAAAAAAAAAAAGTGGCAGTTACCATCTCCCAAAACGTCAGATAATATTCTTCCAACAGAAAAACATAAACTAAATATGTTTTAATTTGTCAAAATGATAAAGGATGGTATAAAAAAACATACTGAAGAAAAGCACATTCTGAAAATAGGCACATTTGAAAAAAGAGTAGAATAGAATTTAAAGAAATAAAACATATAGTCATTGGAATAAAACCTAAAAAAAATATATCCACAATGAAGAATTTGGGGATTTAAAGAAATGGAAAATATAAAAGAGTGGTTAAGAGAGAATGAGAAAGTCCAACATACATCTAATAGGAGTTCCAGGAAAAGGCAATAGAGAAAAAGAGGAGAGGCAATATTTAAAGGGAAAATGACTAAGAATTTTCTAGCATATATTAATTAATACCATATATATTTATGAAGCTCTACCATGTACCCCACACTATTTTAGGTATGAAAAAGAAAGCAATGAATGAAGACAAAAATCCCTGCTTTCACAGCATTTACTTTCTAAAAGAAAGAGATAATTTTGTGGTTGTTGTTTTTCTTCTTCTTTTTTTTAAATGGTCCACTTGCTAGAGAAAGACAAGAGAGATAGTTTTTTAAGTAAAATTTGATATATTACTAAGTGTTTGCTGCGGTAACCAGACAATCCTCACATCTCAATGATTTATAATGATAATTGTTTTTCATGTCAAATGAGGGTTGCAGGTTCCCTGTGGCTCTACTCCAGGCTGGGGGTTGACTATGGGTCTAATCTGTGAGTTCCAGGAGGCAGACTGAAGAACAAGTCCCCATCTGGGACATGCTCTTATAGCGGCAGAGGGCAAAAATGCAAGACATCAAGCCAATCATACTGTTGTACTGAAAGCTTTCGCTTAGAAGCGACCTGTGTCATGCTTGCTCACATTCTATTAATATAAACAAATCACATACCCAAAGTTGCCAATGGTATGCACTAGAGACAAGCACGGCAAGAGTGCGTATGCATAATCCTCCTACAGAGAAGGGAATAAGTAATCGTGAATGAAAAATAAAACCTACCATAATATAGTCAGTGGTGGTAATTGCTATGGAGAAAACCAAAGCAGGGAATGGGGTAGGAATTATTAGGGAGCATGCCATTTTAAATAGGCAGGCTAGGGCAGGCACAAAGTAATCTGTGATTAAGACCTGAAGGATATCATGCGGAAATAAATCTTGGAGAAGAATGTTTTGAGAAGATGAACAACAAATGTAAAAGCTCCAAGTCAAGGGCCGGCCTGATGGGTTTGAGGAGCAGCAAGGAGGCCCTTGTGGCTGTCAGGAGGTGAGAGAGGGAGTATGGCAGGGAAACAGACCAGGCAGACCTCAGAGGCCAGACTGTGGCTCTGCGAGGCCACTGTGGGGCTTAGTTTCACCAGGGGTGAGATGAAAAACCGTGTGAGGGTTTTGAGCAAAGGAATGACATAATCTAATTTATATTTTAACTCAGAGATATGCAGAGAATGAGCTGAAGGCAGACCAGAAAGACCGGTAGGGGGCCTTCATGATAAACAGATGAGAGACTATAAACAGGAGGCTCCACCACATAGTGAAAGTGGTTAGAATCTGGATGTATTTTGAACATGATTTGCTGAAATGGAATGTGGGGTACAAATGAGAAAAGAATCTGCCATGATGCTTGGGTTTGGGGGCAAGTATTGCAAAGATGGTGTTCCCACTGACTATGATGAGACTGTGGCACGAGCAGGTAGGCAGAACTCAAAAGCTCTGTTTGGGTCATGTCAAGTTTGAGGTGCATAGAAGACATTCATGTGGAGATATCCAGTGAACAGTTGAATAAATTCATCTGGAATTCAGCGGAGGGGTTTGAACCACCACCTTGCGTAGTGAGGTAGGAGGATCACTTGAGCTGGGGAGGCAGAGGTTGCAGTGAGCCAAGACTGTACCACTGCACTCCAGCCTGGGCAACAAAGGGAGACACTGTCTTAAGAAAAAAAAGAAAAAAGCAGCCAACTAAACCAAGAAGGAAAAAGTGAGAAGCAAAAGCACTGGTGAGCAAAGACACCCAGGAAGTATTAACATCACATATGTATGAAGTGTAATGTCATTAAGAATGCTGGGGGCCTCAAAAAGAGGATAGAAGTAAAATACTAGGCCTCAATACCATGAAAGAGGTCAGGATGATCAGAATTAAAGTGGTATATGAGTCCTGATCATTCTGAAGTTTATTTTAAAAACCTAAGTTGTCCTTAAGTAACATATGCATGTTACTAATTCGAGGCTAGAACAATTGGACATCCACATGGCAAAAAATGAATTTTGACCCTGCCTTATACCATACACAAAAATTAATTCAAATGGACAACAGATATAAATGTTATGAGCTGAATCTACTAAACTCTTAGAAGAAAACGTAGGAGTAAATTTAGTGAACTTGGGTTAGACATGACACCAAAAGCACAAGTGACAAAGGAAAAAAAAAAATAGAGAAATTGGACTTCACCAAAATTGAAAACTTCAGTGCTATAAATGATACCATCAAGAAAGCAAAACACAACATATAGAAGGGGAAAAAACATTTACAAATCATATATCTGATATGCAACCTGTATCCCAAAGCTATAAAGAACTATTACAACCCCGTAATAAAAAGATAAATAACCCAACTTACAAATAGTCGAAGAACCTGAGTAGACCTTTCTCCAAGGAAGATATAGGAATGACCAACCAGCACATGAAGGGCGGGGGCAGTGGCTCATGTCTGTGGTCCCAGCACTTTGGGAGGTTGAGGCAGGCGGATCACGAGGTCAGGAGATTGAGACCATCCTGGCCAACATGGTGAAACCCCATCTTTACTAAAATACAAAAAATTAGCCGGACGTGGTGGTACACGCCTGTAGTCCCAGCTACTCAGGAGGCTGAGGCAGGGTAATCGTTTGAACCGGGTAGGCAGAGGTTGCAGTGAGCCAAGATAGCGCCACTGCACTCCAGCCTGGCAACAGAGCAAGACTCTGTCTCATTAAAAAAAAAAAAAAAAGGCACATGAAAAGATGCTCAACATCATTAGTCATTAGGGAAATGTAAAGTCAAACCACAATAAATACCACTTCACATCTACAAGGATCATTCTTAAAAAAAAAAAAAAAAAAAGACTATTACAGTGTTAGTGAGGATGTGGAGAAACAGGAACTTCATACATTCCTGGTGGGAATGTAAAATGGGGCAGCCACTTTGGAAAGCAGTTTTGCAGTTCCTTTAAAAGCTAACTATTGATTTATCACATTATCTACCAATTTCATTTCTCTGTATCTATCCAGAGAACTTGAAAACATATGTCCACATAAAAACTCATACATGACTGTTCTTTATATCATCACTCATAATGTCAAAAAGTGGAAACACCCAAATGTTCATCAGCTGATGAATGGATATGACTTATGCATATAATTATTATTTGGCCATAAAAAGTAATGAAGTATGGATCCATGGTACGACATCAATGAATCTTGAAAACATTACATTAAGTGAAAGAAGCCAGTCACAACACTTACTGAATGATTCCATTTATGTGAAATGTCTAGAATAGACAAATCCACAGAGACAGAAAATAGATTAGTGGTTTCCAAGGGCAGAGGGGAAGGGAGAATGGGGAGTGACTGATAATGGCTCTGAGGTTTCTTTTGGGGATGATAAAAATATTAACATAAATTGTGGTGATGGTTGCCGCACCCTGTGAATACATTAAAATCCATTGACTTGTACACATCACATGGGTGAACTGTATAGTATGAAAATTATATCCCAATAAAGCTGTTTAAAATATTTTAAGGATAACTCCTAAAAGAGTAGAAATAAATTATCTGTATAACTTCTAAACCAATAGAGGTGAAGGAGGGACTAACAAAAGCTGTTCAGTCCAAGGAATGGTAGGAGAGAGAGGCGGGAGAAGCAAAGGAAAAGCAAAGCAAATAAAACATTTTAGAAGAAAGTAAAAATCAATGTTTAAAGAAAATTACAGCCGGGCACGGTAGCTCACGCCTATAATCCCGGCACTTTGGGAGGCTGACGTGGGCAGATCACTTGAGGTCCGGAGTTCGAGACCAGCCTAGCCAACATGGCAAAACCCCATCTCTACTAAAAATACAAAAATTAGCTGGGCATGGTGTGGGCGCCTGTAATCCCAGCTACGCAGGAGGCTGAGGCATGAGAATCACTTGAACCTAGGAGGCAGAGGTTGCAGTGAGCCGAGATCACACCACTGCACTCCAGCCTGGTGACAGAGCAAGAGACTCTGTCTCAGAAAAAAGAAAATTACAATAACTATGCTCAGTATGATAGCTATTTTAAGAAGTACATTATTATATATTGTTGGAGACATCTGTGAGTGGTAAAAGTATGAAAATATCCACTTAAAAACCCTTGGGGGCCAATCCCCGGTAGTATAGTGATTAGGAAAAACATATATATTGGGGGCCAGGCACAGTGGCACACTCCTATAATCCCAGCACTTTGGGAGGCCAAAGCTGGAGGATTGTTTGAGCCCAGGAGTTCAAGACCAGCCTGGGCAACATCGTGAGACCCTTTCTCTACAAAAGGAAGGAAAGAAAAGGAAAAAATGTTGGGTATTGGGGGAGGGAAGGAGATGAATGAGATGGGAAGGAAAGAGTGGGCTTCTGCTGTCCCTATCACACACACTTTATTTCTTTATTAAGATATGAAAAACACTATGGCAAATTGTCATATATATTAAATATAGGTAAATAAGCTCATAGGCATCTATTTTCTGTATCAATTTATATTTAAAATATTTCTTAATTAAAAGGCAATACAAATAGCATTGGCAAGAGTTCAGGGAAATGGTACTCCACCTCTGTTGGTAATAAGCCTGTATAAATTTGGAGAGGGAATTTTGACAATATGTACCCAAAGGTTTTTAAAGTGTTCACATACTTTGATGACGCAATAACGTTTCTAAAATTTAAAAAGAAAACACGTGCACAAAGATTTAACTACATAAATGTTTGCTATAGTTCCACACATATAGAAGCAAATATATACACATAGAAACGAAAATAGAATGTCTATTATTTGGACATCAGTAAAATATTCAGAAGTATTGCACAGTTAACATAAATCATTAATTAGGGATAGAAAAGGTCTTAGGCCTCTAAGAATCTGATAAGTTATGTGTCCCCTCCGGAGAAAGGCAGATGTACATAACGTAACATAACACAACATAACATAACATAACACACCAATTTGCAGACAATTTCAGTGGGTCCCAGAGTACTTAAATCTCACACCTTTTATTGTGGAAGGAAAACCAGCTAACTCACTCCTAATTCTCCTTCAGGAACCCCATCCTCTAGGCAGATTTTCCATACCCTGCCTTCTCCATCTTCCTCAGCCTGGGACAGGTACCCCTTCCTTAAGAACCTATGCAAATCTGTACCCTGAACGGCATATATCTTGTATCATGATTTTCTATTTATTTTCTGTCTTCATCAGTGTCTTTGAGAACCAGGTACACAACTCAATTGGCTTCACGTCCCAGGACAGCACAGATATAAATATTTGTTGGCCAGATTGAGGCAGGAGGTAGGACTTGACTCCAGAGGCAGAGCTCGGACACCTGACCAAATTGAGGATTAGCTAAAACAGGGATAAGGTGGAAGTGGTTTTCCATAAGACACACCTACCAGTGTGCCATGTGAGTTTACCATTGTCATGGCAACATCTGAGAGTTACTGCCCCTTTCCATGGCAATGACTTGACATCTAAAAGTTATTACCCCTTCCCTAAAAATTTCTGCATGTACTGCCCCTTAATCTGCATGTAACTAAAAGTAGGTATAAATATAACTGCAAAACTACCCTGAGCTGCTACCGTCAACACACTGCCAACGGGGCAGCCCTGCTGTGCAGGAAACAGTCATGGACTTGTAACGCTGCCACTTGAATAAAACTGTTTTCTTCTACCCTACCACTAGCTCACCCTTAAATTCTTTCCTGGGTGAAGCCAAGAAACCTCGTGGGCTAAGCCCCACTTTGGGGCTCACCTGCCCTGCATCAAGATGATCAAATGAATGTTCCTTAAGGAGAGCGACACGGCCATGTATTGCTTCTAGATAATGCTTCACATAGGGAAACATTTCTCATCTATTTCTTGATCCACAATCAGTATCAACCACCTCTCTAACCAGGTCATACACACACCCCAGCCTCTGCAGCTTGTCTTTTGAAACACACTGGATTCTAAATGCAGCCTTATCTGAAAGAATGAGACGTAACATTGGCTGCATATAAATTGCAAAGAGGAGCCAGAAAAGCAGGGCTGCAGCTTCCTGCACGGCTCAGCTGCCGCTCAGCTCGCACCCAGACTCAGCAGTAACTTAGTCAAATTAGCAGCAGCTTGTTTTCATTCCAGAGGACAAGCTTTCCAATCCTTTCTGAAGTTATTTCCCTTCCTCTCCCTTCCCGTTATTCCCTATTTTCATCAAGCAGAGCCCTTGAATGCGTTTCCCCGCCAGCTATTCAAGAGGCCGTTCCCCCTGGAGCTGGCGACACAGAACTTATTAACAAGCAAACAGAATGAACTGGCTCGCTCTCCTCATAGTGAAATTCCTCTGCCACCGATTTCTCAGACACTTCCCTTTAGGGTTTTCCTGCGGAGTCCCATTCATTTAGAGGAAATGTGGAAAACTGTTTAATGTTTCTTGTTGTAAGCAAATGCTGGTAAATGCCGATTACATGTGGAGAGTGAAATGCCTCTCTCTGACTTGGCTTCCAAGCCCATCTGGTGGGCCTGGCAAAGCGTGTTTGTCGCTCCCCACACATGCAACTGTCATCATCATCGTGTGGGGAACAGCGAGGACTTTAAGATGGAAACCTTTAGCTCTGTTAGCATGCCTAGCCTTTATTTTGCACGTCAGTGAAGTCACTTTCCCATTCCTTGCCTTGGTTTCCCCAAATGTAAGGTGGTGACAAGTATCTTGGTTTTTTTACCTATATGATTCAACACGAGTCAATGGAACACACTTTTTTGCATCTATTTTGGGCTGCAAAACATTGTGCAGACTACAGAGTAAGCACGGAAGAATTCCTATCATTATAGATTCCAAAGAGAGACTGGGAAATAACAGTGGTAGAAAACTCTGAGCTTGAAATGATGAGATAAGAGAAGTATAAAATACTTGGGTCTGCTGTCCCCATGTAGGGGAGAGACAAGTTAATTACTCAGAGGAGAAAAGGGTAAGTCTATCCCATCCTGGGTTTTGTTTTTATTTTTTAATAAAAATACCAAAAGGATCTTATGTTTACACTTCCTTCTCTAATATACTTCAGAGAATAGGGCTTTAGAGAGCCTTCGTCCTGAGAAGGGGCTATTATTCCGAGGGTAAAAGAAAAATGGGAAAGGACCCTTTCCCAAGCCTCTCCTTTCAGTAAACGAAGCAAAGAGAGTCATATAACCAAGTATTTTTGACATCTTAACAGGCATGAAAACACAATGAGAGAGCCACCCAGCTGAATCCTTTCAGTCTATGGATGCACAAATTGAAGCCCAGAGAGTTGGAATGACTTACCCAGGGTCACACAGCTGATGGGGGCGCCAAGGCAAGGGTGAGATCACGAGTTTCTTATTCCAAAGCTCCTTCCACTGTAGGAATTCTCAGCATCTAGGACCGTAATCCAAACATTAACACCAACACCCCGTTCTCACACCAGTCTTCTTACTCCACTAAATGTCCCATCTGTGGCAGTCAAACAAGGCCTTCTTCCTGTATTACAAAGACAATTTGCTCATTCCTGCCCATGTGGTTTCCCCTGCTGGCAGGGCTGCTCTCTATGACCACACAGGTTGTGCACTGCACAACTCTAAAGACACATACACACAAACACACCTCATTCACACTGTACCAGCCCAAGATGAACCATGTACCATTCCATGTACCAGCCCAAGATGTTCTTCTCATCTTCATCTTACTCAAGATATTTTTCAAGTCACATTTTCACAAAGCCTTCCTTGAGTGGCTTAGACCACACTGGTTTCTCCTGTCTCTAAGTTCCCAAGATTCTTATTCTTTACCACTTATAAGCTGTGAATCCTTCAGCAAGGCAATGATTCTGAGTCTCTGTTTTCCACTAAGTAAAATCTGTAATGTGCTTTTTCGAGATGTTGAAAAGATGAAACATACCTGGGTACACGGAGGAACTCTATGAAGTACCACGTGCTCTGTGATGCTTGTTCTTATCACTCCAGCTCATCAATACTGCTTTATGATGTTTGCTAATAGTTTCTTACTCTTAGCCTAGTTTTCACCAAAAAGAAGTTTGTTTCTGGAGAGCAGGCAGACACCTCTGCTAATACCACGTCCCTCGTAACAGGTGATCAAAATAATGATAACGGCTCACGCGCCACCAGGTGGTCTTCTGAGTCCTTTATCATGCCTACTCATTTCACCTTTATAACAAATTATAATGCAGTACCAATAGTACATTGGTTTTAGATGAGGCAATTGAACACAGAGGAAAATAATTTACTCAAGAGGCAAAAAGCTTATATATGCTGGAGCCAGGATTCACGCTGAGACAACCTGGCCCCAAAGTCTGTACTCCTACCATCCCGCCACCCCACTCCTCTTTTGTATATATACAGTGGGGCAGAGAGTGGGAGCTCCACGTATTTTTGATAATCGATTATTTGATCTTTGGGGTTACACTTCCTTTAGACAGGGTTAGGCCTTAGAAAGGAAAACTTGTTTTGTTTTTTTTTGGAGAGACAAGGAGACAAGGTCTTACTCTGCCACACAGACTGAAGTGCAGTGGTGCAATCACAGCTCCCTGCAGCCTCTAACTCCGAGGCTCAAGCAATCTCCCCATCTCAGCCTCCCGAGTGGTTGGGATTACAGGCATAGGCTACCACACCCAGCTAATTTTTAAATTTTTTGTAGAGACGAGGTCTCGCCATGTTGCCCAGGCTGGTCTTGAAGTCTTAACCTCAAGCAATCCTGCTTTGACCTCCCAAAGAGCCGAAATTACAAGGCATGAGCCACCATGCCTAGCCAGACAGAAAAACTTAAGTCTGTGTTTTACCAATTGGTAAATGATCTGCGGACATATTCAACTCAGGCTAGCTCCCTAGCCTACCTTCTCAAACCACAGCTTACTGGAGCCTCAACTGGTTTGCAACAAAGAAAGGCATAAAAATTTTTTCAGTTTTAAAAATTGTAGTGAAATACGCACAATTTAAAATTTATCAATTTAATATTTTTACGGATACAATTCGTTAAGTACATTCACATTGATGTACAACCATTACCACTATCCTTTTTAGAGCTTGTTTTATTTATCACCCCAAACAGAAACTTTGGACCCATTTAACTGTAATTCTCCTCTCCATCCTCCTTCCAGCCCCTAGAAACCTCTGTTCTTTCCATCTCTATGAATTTGCCTGTTCTAGGTACCTCATGTAAGGGGAATTATTCAATATATGTCCTTTATGTCTGGTTTATTTCACTTAGCACGATGTTTTGAGGTCTATCCATGTTGTAGCATGTACCAGTATGTTTCTTTCTTTTTTTTTTTTTTTATTGAGACAGAGTCTCGCTCTGTCTCCCAGGCTGGAGTGCAGTGGTGCAATCTCGGCTCACTGCAACCTCCACCTCCCAGGTTCAAGCCATTCTCCTACCTCAGCCTCCTGAGTAGCTGTGACTACAGGTGCGCACCACTATGCCCAGCTAATTTTTCTATTTTTTTCGTAGAGATGGGGGTTTCACCATGTTGGCCAGGCTGGCCTCGAACTCCTTAACTCGTGATCCACCCGCCTTGGCCTCCCAAAGTGCTGGGATTACAGGCATGAGCCACTGTGCCCAGCCATCTTTCCTTTTTAACACTGAATAATATTCCATATATACACCATGTTTTGTTCATCTGTTGATGGATATTGGGTTATTTCCACATTTTGACTACTGTGGATAATGCTATGACAACTGGTGTACAAGAAGAAAAAGAAATGTTAATACCAGCCCATAATAAGCAGAACTGGACACAGATAAATCAACATCCAAACAACAATCCCATGATGTTTCTCAAAGGCAAACTTGGTGGCCACTCAGGACAGTAGAGAGGGCTTTCGGGGGTCGGATCAGGACCCTCCTCTAATCAGCTTTGTGATCTTTGGGATTGAGTTTCTTGACCTGTAAAATAAGGGAATAAGAGTAGACGACTTGTGAGGTTCTTTCTAGCACAAATGTTCCAGGATTCTATATCTCAAATCAGTTTCCTTAGTGCCTGCAGGTGAATGTGTTCTGTTCACTCACTTTCCTGGAGTTTTAGCATTTGTATGCATGAGCAGGTGGCTTTCTGGGTCTGTTTTTCTTGGATGCAGAATGGCTTCTCAAACAGGCTACCATTTCCCCAGATCTTCAAAAAAACTAGGCCGGGCGCAGTGGCTCATACCTGTAATCCCAGCACTTTGGGAGGCCGAGGAGGGTGGATCACAAGGTCAGGAGATCGAGACCATCCTGGCTAACATAGTGAAACCCCGTCTCTACTAAAAATACAAAAAAATTAGCCAGGCATGGTGGCACATGCCTGTAGTCCCAGCTCCTCGGGAGGCTGAGGCAGGAGAATGGCGTGAACCCAGAAGGCAGAGCTTGCAGTGAGCTGACATTGTGCCACTGCACTCCAGCCTGGGCGACTGAGCGAGACTCCATCTCAAAAAAAAAAAAAAAAACCAAAAAAACAAAAACAAAACAAAACTAGAGTAGAGATACTAAACCATTACCTCTTTGCCACCTGTATTACTTCCTTCGTTTCCACACACATTCAGCTAGCAAGGCCGACTGCACTGGCTCCCTCCTGGGAGACCCTCATTTCTCACAGAAACCAAGCCACTCCCATCTCTGGGCCTCTGTTTTCTCATTTTGCTCATTTGCAACCTGAGAATGCTGGGCCACTTGTGTTCCTTAAGCTCCAGCCTCTGTGATTCCAAGGAGAGAACTAGGGAAAGGAGGCTTTTGTTTGAAAGAAAGAGGAAGCCTAAGACCCAGGGCAAGGAACCTGGAAACCAGCTGCCGGTGGGGTAAGTGGATAGGACGGGTGGAGATTGGGACATCCTGTGCTCTTGTAACAACCCAATGAATACATCAGCATCACAAAGAAAAAATTAATTTGTAGTTTTCGTAAATATAAGGGAAATGAAACTATATAATTGCAAAATAAAAGTCATGGCTCTATTCCACAACAGTATGAAACTACACATTTGATCAAGAAAACAAAACAAGACTAAAATACCATGGCGTTAAGAAAAACAAACAAATAAAAACAGTCCCAACTTCTGAGCCCCCTCAGCCATTTTTTTCACACTGCCTTTGTTTTCTTACCCACAGTTTCCGCCTAGCTGAGCTCCTGACTCGTGGATAATGGGGTCCCTTTAGCTAATGTGTAACACACAAACTTACCCACAGTTCAGCCTTCAAGACTTTATTCAGTAGGGTAAAGCCGATTCAGGATGGAACATTGAGAAAAATCTTACCTTTTAGATTGCAAGTACAACACAGAGTTTCCCTGTCCTTTTCTTTATCTACCTCTGGGTATTTTATCTGGTTTACTTTCTGGCTGAATTGTTATCCCGAAGCAAATTTCTCACTTGAGCCCATGTGGACTTACCGTGTTTCACATTTGGCTTTGTAGCTTAGGAGTGTGTGTGTGTGTGTGTGTGTGTGTGTGTGTGTATTTTACCTCCCATGACTTGATGCTTCTCTTGGTTCTCCCTATACCAAAGGTGTGTATATACACATATACACACACACACATTATATACACACACACACATATATATATATGAAAACTCTTGAAATACAAGAAAACTCAAGGCTTTTTTTCTTATGTTGGCAAAAACAAAGTGTCTCCCTGTTACCTTCCCACCTCTTCCCCCAATCCATTATTGCCACATACGTGCTAATTTCTTATCCTGATGAACTCATTTTGCCCAAATTTCAACCTCATCATTTATGTATGGACTGACATCTATGACATCTCCCCTGAAAATATGGCTGTGGTATGTTTTGGCAATAAGAATAGAGAAGTGATAGATTTTTTTTTCTGATTATTTTTCAGGAATCATCCATTAAGCAATATCTGGAATTCTTTGCAATGCCAGTTATCAATAATGACCTTTGCTGGCTGGACACAGTGGTTCATGCCTGTAATCCCAGTACTTTGGGAGGCTGAGGCAGGTAGATCGCTTGAGCTCAGGGGTTTAAGACCAGCCTAGGCAACATGGCAAAACCCTGTCTGTACAAAAAATTCAAAACACTAGCCAAGCATGATGGCGTATGCCTGTAGTCCCAGCTACTCTGGAGGCTGAAGTAGGAGGAAGACTTGACCCCAGGAGGTGGAGGTTGCAGTGAGCCGGGATCACGCCACTACACTCCAGACTGGGGGACAGAGCCAGATCCTGTCTCAAAAAAAAAAAAAAAAAAAAAAAGAAGTTACTTTTTCTGCACATCCTTTAGAATCAACTCTGAAGCT
This sequence comes from Homo sapiens, assembly GCF_000001405.40. NCBI lineage: Eukaryota > Metazoa > Chordata > Mammalia > Primates > Hominidae > Homo > Homo sapiens. Next base: position 25,625,418 of record NC_000008.11, on the reverse strand, counting down.
TAAAAACAAATACATATGTCTGGGCCCCACCTCAAACTTACTGAATTGGAATCTTGGGGATAGCTCCAGGACATCTGTATACTTTTCATGTTTCAGAAAAGATTTCTGATATGCATTGGGTTGGGGACCAGTAGCAGAGCAAGGGAGGTGTGTGTAATCAGAGAAGGGTAACTTCAAAGATGTAGAACACTATGAATACCATGACCTAATTCCTCACCAAAGAAGCAAGCAGACATCCTGTTTTGGAGGTGGCACACTCTCACTCCCTCATTTGCCAACGATTTATTCAATGCAACTTTCCTAAGCATGTGCTGAGAAAGATGCGGAAGTGGATAAGGACATTACGCAGCCTGTCTCTTAGTAAAGAAGAAAAGACACAGAGACAATTAACCATAATATAAGAGCTGTGCAGACGAGATGCTATAGGAATTCAGAAGAGTGAAAGTCCTTTCACGGCTGGAGACTTCATAAAGGCTTCATGGAGATGTTCTTTGAGATTTCTCAACAGGCAGATATGGGAGGAGGTAGTCATGGGAGAGAACCACTTGAGCAAAGATTCAGAACTGGGAAAGCCCAGGTACATTCAACTGATTTCCTACAAGAGAGAGAAGTGAGACAGAGATGGAAAGATGAATGGAGGGGGCCTATGAGTGGTCATGAATGCCAGACCAGGAAGCCCACGCTCTTAGTCTGTTTTGTGATGCTGTAGCAGAATACCTGAATCCAGATAATTTATAAAGAAAAGAGATTTATTTTACTCACAGTTCTGCAGGCTGGGAATTTCCAGGGCATGGCCCTGGCTTTTGTTAAGGGCTTCCATGCTGTGTCATCATATGGTGGGGAAGGTCAAAGGGGAAGCAGACATGTGTGAAGAGACGAAAATCCAAGGGGCATCCTGGCTTTATAACAACCCACTCTTGAGGGAATTAATCAAATCTTGCCAGAACAAGAACTCACTACTGCACTAACAACACCAAGCCATTCATGACAGATCTGTGCCTATGCCCCAAATACCTTCCACTAGGCCACATCTCAACACCATCACATTGGAGATAACATTTCACATGAGCTTTGGTGGGAACAAGCAAACCATATTCAAACCATAGCACTCTTTATGATGAAGCCCTCCAGCCCACAGCTGCTTTGACACAATTCAAGCCCAGACATCTCTGTGTAGGACTCCTGGAGCCTTTCTATAATTTTTGTCTTGCCATACTTGGCCTCTCATCTCAAACAAATGTGAATCCCTGAATTTTAACCTTCAATTCTTTTTGCTAATAACCAGGCATATCTCTTTAGTAACAGGTAACACTTACTGAGTGCTCATTATGTGCCCAGAATTAACTTGTTTAGTTCTCATAACAGTTTGGGTACTATCTTTATTATTGCCATTTGCAGATGAAGAAACTGACATAAAGGGAGGATAAATAGCTTACCCAAGATTGTGCATGATGAGCAGGAGAGCAGGGGCTGGAACTCAGGTACCCTGCTTCCAAAGCCCACAGTCAGCCTTCACATTATACTGCCTTCATGTAAGATAACCATGGTCTTTTTGTTTGCTTTTGGTATTGAACCACCTTGAAACCATCTACCATTTTTTCAGTTAGTCACCTCTCACCACCAGATTGATTGAAAGCATAAAGAGTGAAGCACAGGGGGAAAATGAAACAAACACACAGCAATCCTTAAGGGGATCAGGACCACATTCTATATCTAAATCAGGACCACATTCTAGATCCAATCTAACTTTGAATATGAATCAGTAATCCACTGTAGTGGGCAGAACCATGGTCCCCAATGATGTTCATGTGCTGATCCCCAGAACCTGTAACTATGTTAGGCTACATGGCAAAGGGGCATTAAGGCAGCGGATGGGATAAAGATTCCTAATGCTGACTTAAAATAAAGAGATTATCCTAGATTATCTCGGTAGGTCAAAGGTCATCACAGGGGTCTTTAAAACTGAAAAATGGAGGCAGAAGAGAAGGTCAGAGAGGGAGATGTAACTACAGAACAGATCAGAATGATGCAATGTGAGGATGCAATCTGCCATTGCTAGTTCTGAAAATGGTGAAGGGGCCATGAGCCAAGGGATGCAGGAGGCCTCTAGAAGCTGGAAAAGGGAAGGGAATAAACTCACTCTTATTCCAGAAGGAACACAGCTCCAACAACACCTTCATTTTAATGCAGTGAGATCAGGGCCAGACTTCTGGTCTACAGACTGTAATACAGATAGTAAATTTGTGCCATTTAAGCCACTAAGGCTGTCTGATAGTTTGTTATAGCAATAAAGCAGAAAAATACAGCCACTGTGTTAGCCCACTCAGCTGTGAGTGCTTGCATACGGCTTTGTGGGACTAATGATGCTTTTGCTGATGATAACAAGTTAACATTGCTGAGTCCCTTTTTAGTAGAGACCATCCTGTTGTCCAGATGAGCCCCTGAGGTAGGGGCAGAAGACGGAAGTCTAATATTTATGGGAAGACTGTAGACTTTGGAGGCCAGGAGATGTATGTTCAAATCGCAGTTGTGCTGCAAACTCACTGTGAGAACCTGAAAATTTTACTTAATTTGGCTTAATTTAACTTTCATTATAAGTGAAACAGGAATAACTGGAAAAAAATATGGAATAAGATGGAATAAAAACTGGAATAATAACATGTATCAGACATGGCGGTTAAGAGTCAAGCTAATGTGTATAGAGTAACTGGCACATAGGCTAATGTGTGTAGAGTAACTGGCACATAGTAGGTGCTCAGTGCAAAGTAAGTGTTGTTTTGTTACTGAAGTGCCAGAAAACTTTACCAATTATGATACTGAGTGGTTCGATGCATATGTGAGATAGTCACTGGTAGAAATGTATGATATTTTTTAAAAGCCAATACAAAATTCTGGCCATCACTTTGGGAGGCTGAGGCAAGAGGATCACTTGAGGCCAGGAGTTTGAGACCAGCCTGGGCAACATAGCTGAGACCCCCATCTCTTGAAATGGAAGCATTTTCATATCCATTTTTCTCAGCTGGTAAAGATGTCTAACTTCTGCCTTTTTAAAGACCTAAGTGTGACCCAGATATCCACACATTCCCCAGTCTTCATGGATTTCCCGTCACATGATGCCAAGTCACAACACAGCAGAACTCCATTCCCTGGACTGGGAATTCCATTCTTCTTACAAGTACCCTCCCCATATAAATTATTGACAGATTGATTGATTGATTGATTTGAGATGGAGTCTCGCTCTGTCGCCCAGGCTGGAGTGCAGTGGCACGGTCTCAGCTCACTGCAAGCTCCGCCTCCCAGGTTCACACCATTCTCCTGCCTCAGCCTCCCCAGTAGCTGGGACTACAGGTGCCCGCCACCACACCCGGCTAATTTTTTGTATTTTTATTAGAGACAGGGTTTCACTGTGTTAGTCAGGATGGTCTCGATTTCCGGACCTCGTGATCTGCCCGCCTCGGCCTCCCAAAATGCTGGGATTACAGGAGTGAGCCACCATACCCAGCCCCCTCCGCACATAATTTCTGCAAAAATTGGAGAAATTTACCCTGTCGTCACTGTAGTCTTTTTATTTTTCCTGACTTCTGCCACTGCCTCTCTAAATTTAGCCTGCTGCATGGAGTCAGAACCCTTCCTTAAATCCTAGAAGCACAAACAAGCCTGGTTGCAGTGTTATCAGAACATCACAGAAGAAAATTAGAACACAAAAAGTAAGCCTTAAAACTGGTTGTTACCTGTCACTGCTTCTAGTTGTGGGCTCTGGTTTTCACGGGATCTTCTCCAGGACCTGAACACCTTTTTCTCATTTTCTTCTGACCTACTGCCATGTTATAAGGGCCAGACCTTCTTCAAATGTCCCCCTATCCAAATTCCCAGTTCAATCACTCCTGGTCCAGTGGAAAGATACAGATCTCCCACCCCCAGCCCAAGGCTTACCTCCTTCCTCCTCCAGATGATTAACAATGGAGTTGTCTGGACCATGTAGCCCATTGATAGTTAACACTAAATTTCGACAAAGTTTGATTTAGTCAACAAGAAAACACCTCATGGAGTACTTGAGATCAAGTAGCTTTTAGCTTTTTCATCGAGTCCTTTTCGGGTCCTACTGCCAAATGGGGAAAATATACAGCCTTGTCTTCCCTATTCTCAATTTCCTGCACACACACACACACACACACACACACACACATACACACTCCGCCCTATAAGAACAAAGAATAAATTTTTCAGATATGATACTTCCTATTCCCCTTATAAACAACATGTGGTAGATATTACCAGTGGTCCCCAATATCGAGTTCTTTCTTTCCCGGGAATATTTTTTTTATCTTTTCAAAAACCTAACTCTTAGTTTTATTTTTTATCTACTATTTTTCTATTTTCTACTTAATAGTACTAATCTCTTCTCTAGTCCTTATTATTTTCTTCTTTCTAGTAGCTATAGTTTAGTTTGTTCTTCTTTTCCTAGTTCCTTGAAGTATAAAGTTAAATAGTTAAGCTATTTTTGCTTTTTTGCCTGTGGTTTTGGTATGATAGCCAAGAAATCATTGCCAAATCCCATGTCATGAATCTTTAACCCTATGATAACTTCTAGGAGTTTTATAACTTTGGATCTTACTTTTAGGTCCTTAATCTATTTCGAGTTAATATTTTGTGTATGATTTAAGAATCCAGTTTTATTCTTTTACATGTAGATATACTGTTTTCTCAACACCATTTGTTGAAGAGACTGTCTTTTCTCCCAATGAGTGGTCTTGGCACCTTTTTCAAAAATTATTTGACCATATATGTGAGCATTTATTTCTAGACTCCCTATTCTATTCCATTGGTCTATCTGTCTTTATGCCAGTACCACATTGTTTGATCACTGTAGCTTTGTTATATGCTTTGAATTCAGAAAGTGTGGGTCCTCCATTTATAATTTGTTCTTCTTTTTCAAAAAAATGTTTGGCTACTTGAAGTCCCTTGAAATTCCACATAAATTTTAGGATTTTTCTTATTTCTGCAAAATATGCTGTTGAGATTTTGATAGGTATTGTGGTTAAACTGTAAATCACTTTGGTAGCATTTACATCTCATAAATATAGTCTTCCAATCCATAAATATGGGATATCTTTCTATTTATTTGTATCTTATTAAATTTCTTTTGGCAATGGCTTATAGTTTTCAGTATATGAATTTTTCACCTCCTTGGTTAGACTTATTGCTAAGAATTATATTTGTTTTGATGCTATTGTAAATCAAATTGTTTTCTTAATTTTGTAATTCTTCATTGTAAGTGTATAGAAATATGTATTGATTTTGTATCCCACAACTTTGCTAAATTTATTAGTTCTAATAGCTTTTCATGGAATCTCTAGGGTTTTCTACATATAAGATCATAGGTTTGTGAGGAGAGATAATTGTAGGGTTTTTTTCCTATTTGATGCTTTTAATTTATTTTTCTTGCCTAACTGCTCTGGCTAGGATTTCCAATACTATGTTGAATAGAAGCAGCAAAGAACAGGCAACCTGCCTTTTTCTTGATCTTAGAGGAAAAGTGTTAGTCTTTCACCGTTGAGTATGATGTTAGCTGTGGATTTGTTATATATGGCTTTTATTATGCTGTGAAAGCTTCCTTCTATTCCTACTTTGTTAAGTGTTTTTAATGATGAAGTGGTATTGAATCTTATCAAATGCTTTTCTGCATCAATTGAGATGATCATGTGATTTTTGTCCTTCATTCTGTTAACATGAAGTTTACATTAATTGAGTTTCATATGTTGAATCATCCTTCCATCCCAGGAATAAATTCCACTTTGTCATGGTGGATAATCTTTTCAATGTGCTGCTGAATTCAGTTTGCTAGTATTTTGTTGAGGATTTTTCATCACTATTCATCAGTATTGGTATGTAGTTTTCTTTTCTTTTAGTGTTCTTGTCTGGCTTTGATATTGAGGTAATGCTGGCCTTGTAAAATGACCTTGGATATATTCCCTCCTCTTCAATTTTTTGGAAGAGCTTGACATGGATTGGTGTTAATTCTGCTTTAAATATTTGGTAGAATTCTCCAGCGAAGCTCTATGGTCCTATACTTCTCTTTGTTAAGAACTTTTTAATTACTGATTTAATCTCCTTACTGGTTATTGATCTATTCATATTTCCTATTTCTCATGATTCAGTCTTGGTAGGTTGTGTTGGATTGTATACATTTCTTCTAGGTTATCCAATTTGTTAGCATACAATTAATCTCTTTTCATCATTTCTATTTCTGTGGCATTTGTTGTAATATCCCCTCTTTTGTTTCTGATTTTATTTAATTCAGTCTTCTTTTTATTTCAATTAGTTTAGCTAAGAGTTTGTCAATTTTCTTTATCTTTTCAAAAACCTAACTCTTAGTTTTATTTTTTATCTACTATTTTTCTATTTTCTACTTAATAGTACTAATCTCTTCTCTAGTCCTTATTATTTTCTTCTTTCTAGTAGCTATAGTTTAGTTTGTTCTTCTTTTCCTAGTTCCTTGAAGTATAAAGTTAAATAGTTAAGTTTTTATCTCTCTTCTTTTTTAATGTATGAACTTATAACTACATACTTCTCTCATAGCACTGCTTTCACTGTATCCCATCAATTTAAATATGGGATTTTTTTCATTTTCATTTTTCTCAAAGTGTTTTCTCAATTTCCCTTTGACTTCCTCTTTGACCTATTGGTTGTTAAATAGTGTGTTGTTCAATTTCCACATACTTGTGGATTTTCCAGTTTTCCTTCTGCTATGGATTTCTAGTTTCATTCCATTGTGATTGGAAAATATACTTTGAATAATTTCAATCTTTTAAAATTTGTTAGGATTTGTTCCATGATCTAATATGTGATCTGTTCTGGAGAATGTTTCACATGCACGTGAAAATAATGTATATTCTGTTATTGTTGGGTAGACTTTTCTGTATGTCTTTTAGGTCCAAGTGATCTATACTTTTGTTCAAGTCTTCTATTTTTAAAGGTAATTTCTGTTTGGTTATTCTATTCATTATTGAAAGAGGGGTATTGAAATCTACTTTTATTGTGTTGCTGTGTGTTTCTCCCTTTAATTCTGTCAAAGTTTGCTTCATATACTGAGGATCTCTGATGTTTCATGCATAAATATTTAGAATTATATCTTCTTGGTGAATTAATCTTTTTATCCTTACATAATGTCCTTCTTTGTCATTTATAAACAAAAATTTTTGACTTAGAGTAAATGTTTTCTGATTTTAGTATAGCCTATCCTGTTGTCTTTTGGTTACCATTTGCAACACTTTTTCCATCCTTTCATTTTCAACCTATATGTATCCTCAAATCAAAAGTGAGTTTCTGATATACAGTATATTGATGAATCCTGGGTTTTGTTTGTACTTATTTATTTATTTTTATTGAGACAGAGTCTTGCTCTGTTGCCCAGGCTGGAGTGCAGTGCTGTGATCTTGGGTCACTGCAACCTCCGCCTCCTGGGTTCAAGCAATTTTCCCACCTCAACCTCTTGAGTAGCTAGGATTACAGGCATGTGCCACCATGCCTGGCTAATTTTTTAATTTTTAGTAGAGATGGGGTTTTGCCATGTTGGCCAGGCTGGTCTCAAACTCCTGACTTCAAGTGATCCACCTACCTTCGTATCCCAAAGTGCTAGGATTACAGGCGTGAGCCACCATACCCAGCTGAATCCTGTTTTTTAAAACCAAATTTTCGAATATATCTTTGACCGGGGAATTTAATCCATTTACATTCAAA